>NC_000008.11:41072223-41375254 GCF_000001405.40 Homo sapiens
GAGTCATAATCACAATACTTCACTACAGCCTGGGCAACAGATAAAAAATAAAAATAAAAATCTAAGCTTTGTTTTTTTGTTTTTAAATCATGTTACCTTCTATAGTTACCTTTAAAATATTTTATTGTCACTTTGGTTAGATATTATTTCATGGTGACCTATGATCAAGTGTTTAAACCTTTTGACATTTTGACAACTTATGATATATTGCCTTCCCAAAACCAAATCCTAAATGAAATCTGTAATTCAAACTGACTTAGATTTCTCAGAGGCCTCCTGGAAAATCTCAAAGGATTTGTTCTTTTACCTTCTAAAAACAGGAATGTTCAAAAATCATTAGTTTTTTTGATGTGTCAAATTACATGAAAATCTTTGTTAAATAGAAGTGATAATCTTCTTTGTGTTATATTTGCATGAGAAATAATTATTAATATAAATATTTCAGGAAAGTTATAAAATACCAAGAAATATATTAAATTTTTTGCCACCCATGATAATTCTTAATGCTGCTTTGGCTGATAGTAGAAAATAATGATGTAATTTTTGACAAAAAGAGTCAAACTCTGTAAAATATTTGAAAAGATTTATTCTGAGCCAAATATGAGTGACCATGGTCCATGACACAGCCTTCAGGAGGGCCTGAGAACATGTGCCCAAGGTGGCTAGGGTGCAGCTTGGTTTCATACATTTTAGGGAGGCATGAGACATCAATCAAATACATTTAAGAAATACATTGGTTTGGTCCAGAAAGGAAGGACAACTCGAAGCAGAGGTCGGGGGAGGCCTCCAGGCTACAGGTAAATTTAAACATTTTCTGGTTGACCATTGGTTGAATTTGTCTAAAGACCTGGGATTGATAGAAAGGAAATGTTCAGGTTAAGATAAAAGTTTGTGGAGACCAAGGTTCCTTTGAAGTCTTATAGTGGCTGCCCTTAGAGGCAATAGATGACAAATGTTTCCTATTCAGATCTGAGCCATTTCACAGTGTGTATAGAATCAGGTATGACCAGTTTTATGGAACTAAGGTTGACTTATGGAGCCACTATTCATAAAGTTCTCTGGCAAATATCAGCATGGTATGTGGCTTGCCGCATTCCCAGCATTCCAAGTGAGTAAGGAAAGCCACTTCCTGGCAGGCCAAAAACCGCCCCATGGTTTTTGGTGTATGAAAAAATAAAAATAGGCCAGGCACAGTGGCTCACGCCTATAATCCCCATACTTTGGGAGGCCAAGGCAGGTGGATCACCTGAGATCAGGAGTTCAAGACCAGCCTGGCCCACGCGGCGAAACCCTGTCTCTACTAAAAATATAAAAATTAGCAGGGCATGGTGTTGGGCACCTGTAATCCCAGCTACTCAGGAGGCTGAGGCAGGAGAATCGCTTGAACCAGGGAGGCGGAGGTTGCAGTGAGCCAAAATCACGCCATTGCGCTCCAGCCTGGGTGACAAGAGTGAAACTCTGTCTCAAAAAAAAAAAAAAAAAAAAAAAAAGGAAGAAAAAGAAAAGAAAAGAAGAAGGAAAAATAAAAATAAAGAAGCTTAAGATATTTTGTGCATCTTGAAAATGGAGGAGCGGGGCGTGATTGCTCATGCCTGTTATCCCAGCACTTAGGGAAACCAAGGCGATTGTATTACCTGAGGGCAGGGGTTTGAAACCAGCCCAGTCAACGTGTTGAAACCCTGTCTCTACTAAAAATACAAAAATTAGCTGCGTGTGGTGGCATGCACCTGTAGTCTCAGCTACTCGGGAGGCGAAGGCAGGAGAATTGCTTGAACCTGGGAGGCAGGTGTTGTAGTGAGCAGAGATCAAGCCATCACACTCCAGCCTAGGTGACAGAGTGAGATTCCATCTCAAAAAAACAAACAAACAAACAAACAAATAAAAGCAAAAGAGAAATGAGAAATTCACCCAAATCTATAGGTACAGCATGTAAAGTCTAATGTTGAGTTCTTGGTTTGGCTTCATGGCCCCAATAGGCTTTTAAAATCTAATGTGAGATTCCTTATAACAGTTGCTACAAAACAAACTTTAATAGACCTATGTAGTCAATTACTATTCTTGCTGCACTTAGGTAAATAATCAGGCCACAATGAGATAAGACTTATTTTGTAAACAAGAATAATACTACTTTAATTATCTGATCAGAGAAGGAGGTGACTGTGTAGAGATTTTATGCTGCCATAGAAAACTGTAACACATTCTTATGGGTTATCAGATTCTAGTCCTGTTCGTTATTTTTAAAGTGTTATTATCTAACTGTGTATTGGACTGCACCATGCCCCTTGCATACTTTGTCAGACCTCACCAGTTCTCCATTCTTCTATCTTCCTTCAATTTCTGGTCACCACCCTCCAAATTAACATTTCCAAATGTTCTCCTACCCTCTTGACTTGGCATCACTAAATACTGGGATCTGACTACACAGATCTTTATTTGGGACCCTAGCTTTTCTTGTAGCTGCCCCTTTCCACAAAGGATCTGTAAAAGTCCTGCAAGCTGAAGCTGGTTGGCTTGATAAAAACTTCAAAGGACTCATCACAGCAGATCACATATGGGATGTCATCACCAAAGACATTCAAATTACAAACTGGAAAATCCACTGGATTGACATTGCCATTCTCATTCCACTGTCTATAAATATTGCAAACCCAATGTTTAATTTCTGGACTCAGAAATTTCATCTTTTTTTTCATTCATTCATCTTTTTCTTTTGTTTTCTCCCTCTATGTTCTTCTTTCTCTTTGACAATTGATTATCTCACAACTTCTAGCCCAAGCCTTCTGTCTACAGTAATCAGCCCAGCTTCTTGTTTGTGAAATTTCTGAGGAAGTTTCAAGTGTTATAAATAAAGGGATTATCAGCCTGCCAATGTGGCATAAAAATTACTATAAACTGAAAACATTTGAACAATCAGCAGCCATGGATAAAAACATTATCTAAACTTAAAGAGAGCCTCCAGAAAATACAGCTGCCATTGACCACCACCCACCCCAAAAGGAGTTTCCTGTTTGGGAGAAGTTTGACCCTTTTGGGAGAAGACTGGGGGAAGTGTGAATTCAGCTGCTCATTAGCATGAAAAAGACCAATAGAACCTTTCATGCTTTCTCACTAAAGCCCTAGCCCCTTTCTTCTTTTTTGTTAAGCCAGTATGTAAACTTTTATCTGTGGCTATTCAGTGAGTTACTCATTACTGAGTACTCCCACATGCATAATACATCTTCTCCTGTTAATCTGTCTATTGTGAGTCTTGACTAGTCAGACCTAAGTGGATAGAGGAAAAGTCTCTTTCCCAACATCAATAATTATTGTCTAAAAGAGACTAGTCAAGAAATAGGGAGGTATATCATAAGCATATTGTCTATAGTTATAAAGATAACCAGTAGAAGACCTCAAAAACATATTTAAGAGATTTTTTTGAGGAAATGGGAATGGGGTTTGAGAAGACAGAGGAGGGACAGTTCACATGTTTTTCATCATAAACTCTTCCCTAGTATCTGATTTCTTGATATGCATATATTACTTTGATAAAAAGAAAATGGAAGGAGTGAAATGCAGAAGATAAACTAAAAATAAAATTCTAAGCCCCCCAACTGACTGGATGAATCGCCTCTTGGCCTAGGGGATCCCAGAAGAAACTTGAAAACTGAGTTCTCAGCCATGACAGGATGGAAGGTCGGTCAGACACAACTAGTTACCCCTTCTCCCTCACTAACTTTCTTTTTCTTTTTTCTTTTTTTTTTTTTTTTCAGATGGAGTCTTGCTCTGTTGCCCAGGCTAGAGTACAGTAGTGCAATCTCAACTCACTGCAAACTCCGCCTCCTGGGTTCAAGCAATTCTCCTGCCTCAGCCTCCCAAGTAGCTGGGATTACAGGTGCATGCCACCACATCCAGCTAATTTTTGTATTTTTAGTAGAGATGGGTTTCACCATGTTGGCCAGGCTGGTCTCGAACTCCTGACTTCATGATCTGCCCTACCACTGATACCAACCAGGCACCTGACACTGCCCCTCCCTTTTGCAGTTTCCACAAAACAACCAACCAGAACTCCTTTTTGAAAAGAGACCACCAACCATGAAGATGTTCTGCCCAGTCTACAGGGAATGCACAGTGAGGGTTTTTGTGTCCTCTGCTTCACCTTTTGATGTCAGAGGGCCAAAAACTCCACCCTCAGGTCGTGCTAACACCACCATTTTTGGAACATGAGTCCTGTGGAGATGTGTGAAGCTCCATTGTGCTTATGCATGTTTCTCCTTTCATAAATATTCATGACTCCTCCCATATCTTATTGAATATGTATGTTCAGCCAACCTGCTCAGCATGAATTCCTGATCCCTTTGCTCCTCCCTTGAAATGCCTGTTTCTGGCTTCTGACTGGAGGCTACGCTTCCCAGCATGTCAGAATGGCCACCCTGCAGGTTGCAACCCTTTAAGAGAAATAAAGCTCTTTTTTCCAACTGTATGAACCTTGTCATTCTTCAGGTGACAAGAGGAAATGTGCAGCTGTACATGAAAAAGGTGTTCATATCTTCATATGCAGTCATGTGTCACCTGACATTTCAGGCAGTGATCGATCTACTGATGTCTTGATGATCTTGACCCTGCATAGGCCTAGGCTAATGTGTGTGTCTGTCTTAGTTTTTACCAAAAATCTTTCAAAGTTTTTAAAATTTCATAAATAGAAAAAAGCTTACAGAATAAGGAAATAAAGAAAGAAAATATTTGTGTACAGTGGTACAATGTGTTTGTGTTATATGCTGTTATTGCAAAAAAAGTCATAATGTTTAAAAAATAAAATGTTTATTGTTAAAAACTTACAGTAAGCTAAGGTTAATTTATTATTGAAGAAAAATACCTTTTATAAACTTAGTGAAGCCTAAGTGTACAGTGTTTATAAAATCTATAGTAGTGTACAGTAAAATCCTGGGCCCTCACATTCACTCAACCCTCACTCACTGACTCACTCAGAGCAACTTCCATTCCTGCAAGCTTCATTCACGGTAAGTGCCCTGCATAGATGTACCTTTTTAAAAATCTTTTTTTTTTTGAGACAGAGTCTTGCTCTGTTTCCCAGGCTGGAGTGCAGGGGTGCAATCTTGGCTCACTGCAACTTCTGCCTCCAGAGTTCAAGCAATTCTGATGCCTCAGCCTCCTGAGTAGCTAAGATTACAGACGTGCATCACCACGCCTGGCTATTTTTTGTATTTTCAGTAGACAGTGTTTCGCCCTGTTGCCCAAGCTGGTCTCAAACTCCTGGCCTCATGTGATTTGCCCACCTCAGCCTCCCAAAGTGCTTGGATTACAGGCGTGAGCCACCGCACCCGATCTAAAAATCTTTTATACCACATTTTACTGTACCTTTTCTATGTGTAGGTAAGTTTAGATACACAAATACTTATGACTGTGTTCCAGTTGCCCACAGTGTTCAATGCAGTAACATGCAATACAGGTTTGTAGCCCTGAAGAAATAGGCTATATCATATAGCCTAGGTGAGTAATAGGCTATATACCATCTAGACAAAATGATAAAATCGCTTAATGATGCATTTCTCAAGATGTACCCCATTAAGCGATGCATAACTGTATTTCATCTGGCAGTTTGCTCCTCACTATTCCCAGCCCTTCAATGAACTTTCCATAAAACTCTAAGCACAAGAAATTTACATCCCAAGGGACTCACATCTGGGCAAGTGTCCCAACAGAGTATGGGGTAGATGTGGAAATTGATTAAGATTTCAAACTCCAGCCCAAATGTTAAGTGCATATTCAATTGCAAATGTGCCTGCTTTGCATTCCCTCAGGCACTAGTGTGGTATTCATGTGCTAATCAGAACTCACCAAAACAATGTTGTTCATCAGTAACTAAAATCTGTACAAATTGTTAATGCAGAGAAACTTTCAAGGAGCCAAAAGGGAACATACTTCAAAGTGAAGAAGCAGCTTCTAGTTAATTATGAAAAATGCAATTCCCCACCTCCTCCTCATGTATGCCTTTCTTTGGACTATTGAAGGATTTGTGCACAAGATAAACCTGGGCTTGCAAAGCTTCACCTCCACACAAATTTCCCAGGGCTGTGTTAGCCTCTGTGGCTTTGTTGAACTGTGGGCACTGCCCAATTTCATACACTTGGGCTTTTTTAAAAGAAAATCCAGAAACTTAAGGATCTATCCCCAGAAGTTTACAAATATTCTAGTTCTCAGTACCCTTAGTATCTCAGTAATTTTTTTTTACAGCATCTTAGACCGAAAGAAGTACCTAACAATTTGGTTATTTAAGTAGTTGGTTCCCAAACCACTCAGTACATCTTTATGTTCTAATAACTTAATCACAATTTGCAAAAATAATACTCATAAGTTGAAAGAAAGATAATATTTCATTCTTAACCGCGGCTATGTACTCCTGGGATGTGTGGCTGACACTGCCCAGCTTTCAGACCTTGGAATCGGATGGGACACCTTCACCCTCATTTCCTGTTTCCCATTGATTTTTCACATAGTCCTTTTTTACTGCAGCAACAGAAAACACAACCTTTCAATGATATGATACCACCAAAATGAATTCGTGTACTCAAGCTGGTAACTCATGATGTATCTGACAGATGTCAAGTTTCTCCCAAATTTCACAATTTCCCACAGTGCTCCTGTTGCTGGTGGGCCAGTTAAGGTTCTTGACTTCACCACATAGAAGAATTTGAGAGTGAGTCCGAAGTGAAAATAGGTAAAGAAGTTTATTGCAAAGCGCAAGTACAGTTTGATAGCTGGATCACAGCAGGCTGCTCAAGCATGAGCCTGCACTGTCTGGCTCTGAGGAACTTGCGTTTGTGAGAGATTTACATGATTATTCATAAAAGGACAGGAAGGGCTGTTGTGATTAAGTATGTTGTGGGTGGTTTCTTAGGCTTACATGCACAGTGGCTGTATATGCTAGCCCATACATCACATGTCTCATTAGCATTTTAATTCTCCACCCAAGGATGTGTTTTTTACTATTATAATGAGTGTCGGTCAGTCCAAGGAAACTAATCATGGGTTTCTGCGTTTGTACAAGTTTGGGGATTTTCACTTCTTTTTCTTTACCTCCTTGCTGCAGGATCTTCTAACCAGGAGCCCAGGATGCGTTGTGCACTGATGGGCAGTTTGTTCTCTCCATCTATTTGGCAAGTTTGTTCCCCTTTAAGGGAGGCTGTGATCACCCTACCTAACCTACTTCACTCCTACCAGTTCATTGTGATGCCTGAGATGGGTGGGCACATAGTTTAGGAAGAACTTTTTTTCTTTTAATCTTATAACCGTAAGTTCATAAGGAAAGAACTTTTATCTAAGGCATTCGAATCCTTTTAAATTATCAGGCCCAGAGAGGCATTAAAATGAGACAGCAATCACATCCTACCTTCCCCCTTTTTGAAGCTGTGTATTCGTTTACTGAAATTGCTTGATATTATCACAACAGCATTATCAGGCTATTATAAATTAACCTAATAATGCCATACTGAACTCTATAACACACATTCTAGAGCTTAACAATGTATAGCCAATGAGTAACTTGCATTATTTTAATGTAAATTATTGGTAAACAACTCAGGAACTGCTTCATCTTTCCCTTTAACAATCCATTTGTAACTGCTGCTGAACAGAGTGCATATCCAGAGCAACTGGAATCTGTGATCCCTGGTTGCAATCCTCAAGCTTGGCCCAATAAACCCTCTACTTACATTCCTTTTTGCCTCAGCTTCTTTCTTTCAGGTTGGCACAGAGCTACTCTGTGGTCATACTCAGGTTTTTGGAAAGTTAAATAGATCGTGTCAAGTGGCAGATGATGGGAATTTGGGGACTTCATCTTAATACCAAGTAATCAGGAATTTCCAGAAATCTATACATCTAAATTTTAATGTTATCAGTAGAAGATTGTTATAGCAAAAACTCCTGGATTTAAAATACCTCTTGCGGCCAGGCACGGTGGTTCATGCCTGTAATCCCAGCACTTTGGGAGGCCGAGGAGGGCAGATCACCTGAGATCAGGAGTTTCAGTCCAGCCTGGCCAACATGGTGAAACCCTGTCTCTACTAAAAATACAAACATTAGCCTGAGATGGTGGTGCATGTCTGTAATCTAGCTACTTGGGAGGCTGAGGCAGGAGAATCACTTGAATCCAGAAGGCAGAGGTTGCAGTGAGCCGAGATTGTGCCACTGCATTCCAGCCTAAGCAGCAGAGTGAGACTCCATCTCAAAAAATAAAAAAAAATTAAAAAATAAAGTACTTCTTGCTCTAGAAAATAATGCATATGTAAATATCAAAGAACATATAAACTAGGAGGCATGACAGAGAAAAGATAGCTCAACTCCTCCATTTAAAAATAGAGGGCCCAGCCAGGCACGGTGGCTCACACCTGTAATCCCAGCAGTTTGGGAGGCCGAGGCAGGCGGATCACGAGGTCAGGAGAGTGAGACCATCCTGGCTAACATGGTGAAATCCCGTCTCTACTAAAATACAAAAAATTAGCCAGGTGTGGTGGTGGGCACCTGTAGTCCCAGCTACTTGGGAGGCTGAGGCAGGAGAATGGCGTGAAACTGGGAGACGGCAATTGCAGTAAGCCAAGATCATGCCACTGCACTCCAGCCTGGGCAACAGAGCAAGACTCCGTCTCAGAAAAAAACAAACAAACAAAAAAAATAGAGGGCCGGGAGGTGGCTCACAGCTGTAATCCCAGTGCGAGACCAGCCTGAGCAACAAAGCAAGACCCTATCTCCTCAAAAACAAAAACCAACAAAAGAAAGAAAGAAAGAAAGACAATTTTAAAAAATTCAACTGGTTAGATAGATGGAAAAAAAAAAGTAATTTTTTTTTTTGAGACAGGGTCTCACTCTGTTGTCCAGGTAAGAGTGCAGTGGCACAATCTTGGCTCACTGCAAACTCTGCCTCCCAGGTTCAAGCCATTCTCATGCCTCAGGCCCCCTAGTAGCTGGGACTAAGGTGTGCACCACCATGCCTGGCTAATTTTTGTATTTTTAGTAGACACAAAGTTTTACCATGCTGGCCAGGCTAGTCTTGAGCTCCTGGCCTCAAGTGATCCACCCAGCTTGGCCTCCCAAGTGCTGGGATTACAGGCAAAAGAAAATTTTAAAACGAGAATAACTAACATTGTTTAGCTCTTATATACGTCGGTCACTATTCTAAGTACTTTACTACTGTCAATGAAAAGAATTGAACTCTATAAAGTATTTGAAGAGGTTTATTCTGAGCCAAATACCAGTGACCATGGCCTGTGACACAGCCTTCAGGAGGTCCTGAGTACCTGTGCCCAAGGTGGTTGGGGCGCAGCTTGGTCTTACACATTTTAGAGAGGCATGAGACATCAATCAAATACATTTAAGAAATACATTGGTTTGATCCAGAAAGGTGGGACAACTCAAACCAAGTTGGTGGGGGTGGGGTGTTCCAGGTTACAGGTGAATTTAAAATTTTCTGGTTGACAATTAGTTGAATATGTCTAAAGACCTGAGGTTGGTAGAAAGGGAATGTTCAGGTTAAGATAAAGATTGTGGAGACCAAAGTTCTTTGAAGTCTTATAGTGGCTGCCCTTGGAGACAATAGATGACAAATGTTTCCTATTCAGATCTTAGTTAATCTCTTTAGGATTGGGAGGGTCCAGAAGAAAAAGATCTAGCTTTGTTAATAGAGATTCTTTACAGATGCAAATTCTACCCCCAAAGAACAGCTTTGCAGGGCCGTCTCAAAATACGGCAAAGAAACATGTTGTGGGATAAAATATTTTGATTTTCTTCCTTGTCTCATAATGTTATGCCAGAGTCAGGTTGGAAAGTGAGTCATGGTATACAGGGCTAAATAAAACCCATCTGATGAGAATTTATGATTGGTAGGGCATGACTCCCCAGACCACTTAGATAGGAATTTGGGCCAGATAAAAAATCAGAGTTTAGTCCTGACTACATTAACTCATTAATTCACATTGCAACCTCATGAAATGCTATAATTGTTCTTATTTTACATACGAGTAAACTAAGACACAAAAAGCCTAAAATATTTGCCCAGAAACACACAACCAGCAAGTGGAGGAACAGGCATCAAACTCCAGCCCATCTGGCCCCAAAGCGCAAGTTCTTCTTCAAATGGAAAACAGAGCCTGAGAAGATTTTTCTCTAAATATTTAATTCAGTCCTTAATAATTTACAAAGTGCTTTATTATTTATTTATTTATTGAGACTGAGTTCACTCTTGTTGCCCAGGCTGGAGTGCAATGGGGCGATCTCAGCTCACTGTAACTTCCGCCACCCGGGTTCAAGCCATGCTCCTGCCCCAGCCTCCCAAGTAGCAGGGATTACAGGTGTGCGCCACCACCCCCAGCTAATTATTGTATTTTTAGTAGAGATGGGGTTTCACTGTGTTGGCCAGGCTGGTCTGGAACTCCTGACCTCAGATGATCCACCTGCCTCGGCCTCTCAGAATGCTGGGATTACAGGCGTGAGCCACAGTGCCCAACCCAAAAAGTGCTTTAAATCAATTATTTCTCCTTTGAGAATTACAAAACTGCAAAGTGTGTAGGAAAAATATTATATCCAAATTCCAAGTGAGGAAAAGGAGGTTGAGCAGGGTCGGAGTCAAGGTCAAGTTGCTAGTGAGCATAAGGCAAGCCCAGATTCTCGCCTTCAAGTCTAGGGATCTGGCCACTTGGACTGCATTTGGGTGATTTAAAAAAATACTTTGTCTACAATAATGCAAGTGATTTCTTGAAGAAATATGGAAAGACAACTGCTGTCCAGTATTCTTCAGAAAAAATGATGACAGCTTCAAATCATTTTGCCATGTGCTAGGCATCCTGCCAAGCATTTTATCGCCTTATTCTGCTCTGCAGCCTTACAATGTTGATGCTTTTCCTCATTTTACAGATAAGGAAACTGAGGCTCAGAGGACCTGAGTCACTCTGCCAGCATAATTCAGCTCATGAAAAACTGGTTGGCCAACTGTCAAAAGCCTGTGTTAGCTTAACCACTGTGCAGGTTTTACAAAACTCAATGTGTGGAATATGCTTTAATTCTAGGAACGAAAAAGAATTTTCACCACCAATCTCTGTTTTCTGAAAACATTTATCTTACTTGCTGTAAAATACAATTGTGACATTGTAATCATTGTTTCCCTTATTTGGAAGTCATTGGAACCAACTGGAAGGATAACATGAAGAGGTCAAGAGACACAGTCTTCATTTAATTTGGCTTCCTGTGTAAGCAGAGCAGTGGGATTTAAAAAGACAAAATGTCATCAAGAACTACATTTGCTGAGACAGTAAGTAAGGAAAAGAAAAGGTGGGGAACACCATTAAACCCCTGTGGCTCACCACAGGCTCTTGATTCCACATTTCCCCACATTCCCCACCAGATGAGCATTTTCCTGGTTTCTAGATGAGGAAACTGAGGTTGATGTGCTTAAGAACTGGTAGCCTACCCATAATGTCATGGTTTGGGGGCGAGAGTCTAATGCTCAAACCTGAGCTCTTCTGACAAACTTTCCAGACCAAAGAAACTCAGAATGTAAGCATTGGAAAGTGATGATTTGTGCAAATCCATGAATCAACAAAGAGGAGAAATATTTTACAACAATGTTTAAATAGTCCGTAAAAGATTTATAATAAACCATTCCTTTGAAGATCTTCTTTCATAAAGAAAGAGATGTAGACAAACTGACCAAGGATACTCAGAGGCAAGTTGACCAGGTTAGAGAGGGGCATTCTCCTTGTATTGCCCAAGAAGCCAATCCTTTTTATTTTTTTAACATCACTTTGATCAAAAAGCAAAGAGAAGCCAGGCACGGTGGCTCATGCCTGTAATCCTAGCCCTGTGGGAGGCTGAGGTGGGTGGATCACCTGAGGTCAGGAGTTTGAGACCAGCCTGACCAACATGGTATAACCCCATTTCTACTAAAAATACAAAAATCAGCTGGGCGCAGTGGCACATGCCTGTAATCCCAGCTACCTGGGAAGCTGAGGCAAGATAATCACTTGAACCTGGGAGGTGGAGACTGCAGTGAGCCGAGATTACACCACTGTACCCCAGCCTCGGCAACAGAGTGAGACTCCATCTCAAAAAAAAAAAAAAAAAAAAAAAGCAAAGAGGCCTGGAACAGTGGCTCATGTCTGTAATCCCAGCACTTTGCACTTTGGGAGGTCAAGTTGGGAGGATCCCTTAAGCCCAGGAGTTGGAGACCAGACTGGGCAACATAGCGAGATTCCATCTCTGCAAAAACTATATAAAAATTAGCCAGGCATGATGGCACATTCCTGCAGTCCCAAGCACTTAGGAGGCTGAGGCAGGGGGATCACTTGCATCCAGGAATTTGAAGCTGCAGTGAGCTATGATTGCACCACTGCACTCCAGTCTGGGCAACAGAATGAGACACAGTCTATAGAAAAAAGAAAGAAAGACAAAAAAGCCAAAGAAACCTTTTTCTTGTTCATGAATGGTTTCCAAATATAGTGCTTAGATTAGAAAAATGGAAAAGAAAAAAACCCTCAACTATAACTACATTAAGTATGAAACTCGAAGTCAAAAATAGTTTTAAATTCTTGCAAAGAATTATTACAAAGCATTGCTTTATAAAAAGATAAGTTCCAGAGGAGTATTACAAATACCAAAGGGTGCATTTCTATAATTTGTCAAAGGCATATCTCATGCCTTTCTTGGTATTTGCCAGTACAGCGCATGAACTCTTGATGTTTTTCTCCAAGGGAAGTCGATATACATGTGTTTAAATACATTTAACTCCAACAGTGCCATGCAGGCACACACATGAAGAACATGCAGGTTCCAATGCATGTGGACTGATTCGGCACCTACAAAAGAGAAATATGAAGTGTTCCGTGATGACACTACATTAGCAGGAAAACAAAAGTGGGTATTTTTGGTCCTTTCTGTCTTTTCAAATTAGTATCTACAGCATATGGCAGTGGTTAGAATAAATGAGTGAATGCATGCCATGTGCTTACAGTTGCAAGCATATAAAAAGTCCTTCACGTTGGGAGGCTGAGGGGGGCAGATGACCTGAGGTCAGGAGTTCGAGACCAGCCTGGTTAACATGGAAAAACCCCATCTCTATTAAAAATACAAAAAATTAACCGGATGTGGTGGCAGGCGCCTGTAATCCCAGCTACTTGGGAGGCTGAGGCATGAGAATCACTTGGACTTAGGAGGCGGAGGCTGCAGTGAGCCCAGATCGCACCACTGCACTCCAGCCTGGGCAGCAGAGTGAAATTACATCTCAAAAAAAAAAAAAAGCACTTCAAATTAACGCTGCCCATTACTATTACTATTATTATTGTCATGTTTACACCCACTGGCCTACATTGGCATTCTGATGAGACTCGCAGGTGATGGTTTGCAATGACAGGGAGTCATGAGAAGTACGCTCTGCTTGGGTTTGGTTTCCCTGTGACTGCCGCCAAGGGAGCCTCTTGAGATAGAAACAACTATTAGACCAGACTCGTTTTCAGTTATTAGAATGTCATGTCAGAGTTGCAGTTGTTAGAACACACCATTCAAATGGCTGAGGATTAAATCTGATGTCAGCATTTGGTTTATTAAGAATAAGTTACTACTATCACATTGAACTTGAAAAAATTGTAGTTCTGTTTTATTCTTTAACCTTAAAATTTTACAACAAGGAGTAGCATTTATTTATTTAGTTTGTTGTTTGTTTGTTTCTTTATTTATTTATTTCGAGACAGGATCTCACTGTTGCCCAGGCTGGTGTGCAGTGGCGTGATCTTGGCTCACTGCAACCTCTGCCCTCTGAGTCCAAGGGCTTCTCCTGCCTCAGCCTCCGGAGTAGCTGGAACTACAGGGGTCTGCCACCATGCCTCACTAATTTTTGTATTTTTTGGTAGAAATGGGGTTTCACCATGCTAGCCAGGCTGGTCTCAAACTCCTGACCTCAAGTGATCCACCCATCTTGGCCTCTCAAAGTGCTGGGATTACAGGCATGAGCAACCATGCCCGGCCGAGGAGTAACATTTAAAAAGATTAAATTGACGGTGGCCGTTTTTACTTCTGTTTCTTCTGATGTTAAAAACTAAATTCAAATGACACACATTGGAAGTATAGGAAGAAGGGAGTAGTTCGAAAGACAGATGTCAGCATTTATCAGAAAGCGCTATCTGGTATTTTCTAAGCACTCCCTCCCCCAAAAGCATGTATCTGTTAGAGACATATCTTGTTTTAGTGTACTTTGCTTTATTGCACTTTGCAGATATTGCATTTTAGATTAAAGGTTTGTGCCAACCCTTCATCGAGCCAAGTCTATTGGCACTGTTTTTCAAACAGCGTGTGCTCACTTCCTGTCTCTGGGTCATGTTTTGGTAATTCTCATGACATTTCAAACTTTATTATTATTACCACATCTGTTAAGGAGATCTGTGATCAGTGATCTCTGATGTTACTATTATAATTTTTTCTTGTTTTTGGTTTTGGTGGTTTTTTTTTTTTGGGATTGGGGTGTCACTCTGTCACCCAGGCTGGAATGTAGTGGTGTGACCATAGCTCACTGCAGCCTCAAACTCCTGGGCTCAAGAGTTCCTCCCTCCTCAGGCTCCTGAGTGGCTGGGATTACAGGTGTGAGCCACCATGACTGGCTTCGTAATTGTTCTGGGGTACCATGGATCTCATTCATGTAAAATGGTAAACTTAATCTATAAATGGGTGATTTCCTTTTTTTTTTTTTTTTGTCTCGGTCTGTTGCCCAGGCTGGAGTACAGTGGCGCGATCTCCACTCACTGCAAGCTCCGCCTCCCGGGTTCACGCCATTCTCCTGTCTCAGCCTCCCGAGTAGCTGGGACTACAGGCGCCCACCACTGTGCCAGGCTAATTTTTTTGTATTTTTAGTAGGACTGGGTTTCACCGTGTTAGCCAGGATGGTCTCAATCTCCTGACCTCGCGATCCGCCCTCCTTGGCCTCCCAAAGTGCTGGGATTACAGGCGCGAGCCACCGCGACCGGCCTAAATGGGTGATTTCTGACTGCTTCACCAGCTAGCTGTTTCCCCACCTCTCACTCTCTCCTGCAGTCTCCCTATTCTCTGCGACACAATGATATTGCATTTAGACCAATTAATAATCTATAACGGCCTCTCAGTGTCTAAGTGAAAGGAAGAATCCCACATCTCTCACTTTAAATCAAAAGCTAGAAATGAGTAAGCCTAGTGAGAAAGGCGTGTTGAGAGCTGAGATAGGCTGAAAGCTGGGCATCTTGTGCCAAAGTTAGCCAAGCTGTGAACACAAAGGAAAAGTTCTTGTAGGACTTTTGTGCTTGTGCTCCAGCAAACACATAAGTGATAAAAAGCCTTATTGCTGATGCAGAGAAAGTTTGAGTGGTCTGGTTAGAAGATCAAACCAGCCACAACCTTCCCCTAAGCTATGCCTAATCCAGAGCGAGGCCCTAATTCTCTTCAATTCTATAAAGGCTGAGAGAAGTGAGAAACTGCAGAAGAAGAGTTGGAAGCTAGCAGAGACTGGTTCATAAGACTTAAGGGAAGAAGCTGTCTCCATAACATAAAAGTGCAAGGTGAAGCAGCAAGTGCTAATTTAGAACTGCAATAAGTTGTCCAGAAGATCTAGCTAAGATCCTTGGTGAAGGCTGCTGCACTGAACAACAGATTTTCAATGTAGAGGAAAGCGCCTTCTATTGGAAGATGCCATCTAAGACTTTCATAGTTAAAGAGGAGAAGCCAATGTCTACATTTAAAGGACAGCCGACTCTCTTGTAAGGCTCATTTACCCTTCTGAAAATCCTAGGGCTCTTAAGAATGATGCTAAATCTACTCTGCCTGTGCTCTCAAAAAGGAATAACAAAGCCTGGCTGTCAGCACTTCTGTTTACAGAATGGCTTACCGAATATTTTAAGCCCACTGTTAAGATCTTCTGCTCAGAAAAAAAGATTCCTTTCAAAATATTACTGATCATTGACAATGCACCTAGTCATGTACAGAGACCAATATTATTTTCCTGCCTTCTGAGACAGCATCCATTCTGCAGCCACATAAATCAATGAGTATTTTTGACTTCCAAGTCTTATTACTAAAAAAATACATTTTGTAAGCCTATAGCTGCCATGGATAGTTATTCCTCTGATGGATCTGGGCAAAGTAAATTGAAACCCTTATGGAATAGATTCATCATCCTAGATGTCATTAAGAACACTCATAATTCATAAGATGAGGACAAAATATCAACATTAACTGGAGTTTGGGAGAGGTTGATTCCAACCCTCATGGATGACTTTAAGAGGTGTAAGACTTCAGTAGAAGAAGTTATTGTGGATGTGGTAGAAATAGTAAGAGAACTAGAATTAGAAGTGGAGTCTGAAGATGTGACTGAATTGCTGCACTCTCATGATAGAGCTTTAACAGATGAGGAGGTTGCTTCTTATAGATGAGCAAAGAAAGTGGTTTCTTTTTTTTTTTTTTTTTTTGAGATGGAGTCTCACTCTGTCACCCAGGATGGAATGCAGTGGCGCGATCTCGACTCACTGAAACCTCCATCTCCCAGGTTCAAGCAATTCTCCTGCCTTAGCCTCTTAAGTAGCTAGAATTACAGGCACCCGCCACCACGCCCGGCTAATTTTTGTACTTTTAGTAGAGATGGGGTTTCGCCATTTTGGCCAGGCTGGTCTTGAACTCCGGACTTCAGGTGATCTGCTCACTGTGCCTGGCCAGAAAGTGGTTTATTGAGATGGAATCAACTCCTGGTGATTCCATGGAGTAAAGATTCTGTGAACATTGTTGAAATGACAACAAAGGTTTTAGAATATTCCATAAACTTAGTTGATAATGCAGCAGCGGGGTTTGAAAGAATTGAATCCAATTTTCTGGTGGTAAAATGCTATAAAACAACATCGAATGCTACAGAGAAATCTTTTGTGAAAGGAAGAGCCAATTAATGTGCTAAACTTCATTGCTGTCTTATTTTAAGAAATTGTCACAGCCACCCCAAACTTCAGCTATCACCATCCTGATCAGTCAGCAGCCATCAACATCAAGGCAAGACCCTCCACTAGCAAAAAGATTACAGCTCGCTGAAGGTTCAGATGATCACTAGCATTTCTTAGCAACAAAATATTTTTAAATTAGGATTATACGGTGTTTTTTAGACATAATGCTATTGCACACTTAATTGACTGCAATGTAATGTGAACATAAATTTTATAAGCACTAGGAAACCAAAAAAATTCATGTGACTCACTTTATTGTGTTATTCTCTTTATTATGGTGGTCTGGAACTGAACCCACAATATCCAAGGTGTGGTTGTCTATAAATAGAATACTGATTTTTTTTTTATTTTTTTTTTGAGGTAGGGTCTTGCTCTTTCACCCACGCTGGAGTACAGTGGTGTGATCTCAGCTCACTGCAAATCTCTGCCTCCCCGGCTCAAGCATCTTAAGTCTTCCCACCTCTGCCTATCTAGTAGCTGGAACTACAGGTGCATGCCACCACTCTCAGCTAATTTTTTAATGTTTTGTAGAGATGAGGTCTTGCTATGTTGCCCAAGCTGATCTTGAATCCCTGGGCTCTTGTTATCGTCTCCCACCTCAGCCTCCAAAAGTGCTGGGGTTACAGGCAGGAGCCACCACACCCAGCCTGAATTATATTTAACAGCGGCCAGGATCTGTATTGTAAAAGACACATGTATATGTGTCTTTTAATGCAATCAGTTAACTAATATATCCCTTTTATTTTATCTTTGATCTCCAGAGTGTTCCCTTGTGTGCTTTAGAACATAATAGCCTCTCAAATACTACTTAAACAATCAAGTTAATCAATTATTCAATGAGTATTTAATGAATACCCACTTAATTGTATAATCCTATCTTGACACTGTGGAGGATGCAGATAGATATGAGAAATAGCTCTCATCTGAAAGAAATTTAGAATGAAATGGAATAGACAGGGCTCTCAATAGAAAGGCAGGCAGACAAGCAGGCAGACAGGGAAAAAGTGACAGTAAATTCTTCCTGTTTAAGGATGATGAAAATCAAAATGGTGATTCCAGGAGGGAGACCACCTACCATATTCTCATCCTGGAATCTCCTACAGTGTCTAGCATTATTTACTGCATGTGGTAACTGTCTACTGTTTGTGGATTGAATCAATGAACATGATATATGCTGTGAGATTTGAATGTGAACTTTAGAGCTCACAGTCTCGTCTCCTCAGGTTACAGATAAGAGTTGCTCTAAATGGCGACTCCCCTCCCTTTCAGGCCCTCCTCCCACATCTCCATTTCTCAAGACCTGGGTCATACTTCCTCCTCTTGGCAGTCTTTGCTGACTATCTCCATGCAAAGTGACCTATGAATTCTTAGAGATCTCAAGTTCTTTCTCTTTCTTTGTTTCTTCCATTCCTTCTTCTTCTTCCTTTCTTTCTTTTGGGTTTTTAATTTTGTTGTTACACATTGTCCATAAAATTTATTTACAATTTTTTTCTGCTTCTACTATATAGAAGCTCATATAATCTTTAAGATTTGAAAAAAATTCCAGCCACGCAGAGTGACTAACCCCTGTAATCCCAGCACTTTGGGAGGCTGAGGCAGGTGGATCATGACGTCAGGAGTTCGAGACCAGCCTGGCCAACCAACTTCTCTACTAAAAATACAAAAAATTAGCCAGGCGTGGTGGCGGGTGCCTGTAATCCCAGCTACTCAAGAGGCAAAGGCAGGAGAATCGCTTGAACCTGAGAGGTGGAGGTTGCAGTGAGCCAAGATCATGCCATTGCACTCCAGCTCGGGCGACAGTGGGAGACTCCATCTCAAAAAAGAAAAAAATTTCAAGGATACATAAATACAAAAAAGATGATAAAACATAAAACCAAATGCTCACTGTCCAGATTTATCAAGTGTTCACATTTTGTCACATTTGCTTTAACTCTTTATTTAAACATATGTAATAAAACTATAAAAACTGACCTGAGAGAAAATACTCCAATCTCAGTGTAGTGATTACCCCTGTGAAGGGAGGATAAGGCAAAGCGATGGGACAGGAGTGAAGTTTGGGGATGAAGATATTAACTGCCTTTAAAACATTGACAACAGCCAGGCATGGTGGCTCACGCCTGTGATCCTAACAATTTGGGAGGTAGAGGCAGGTGGATCACTTGAAGTCAGGAGTTCGATACCAGCCTGGCCAACATGGTGAAACCCTGTCTCTACTAAAAATACAAAAATTAGCCAGGCGTGGTGGCACATGCTTGTAATCCCAGCTACTTGGGAGGCTGAGGCAGGAGAATCGCTTGAACCCAGGAGGCAGAGGTTGCAGTGAGCCAAGATCACGCCATTGAACTCCAGCCTGGGTGATAGATCAAGACTCAGTCTCAAAAAAAAAAAAACATTGAAAGCAACAGAAACACCCTGGAAACTGGTTTCTGTTCTTGCCGCCCATTCCCTCCACTCTCATTTAACCATCAGATGGCTCTTTGTCATCCAGCTGGGGCTGTCAGACTTTGAGACGCAGTGTCGTGTATTTAAGCCTTGTCTCAACAACCAACTCAACTGCAAGCATCCAGAGGGAAGGATCTGTGTCTCAGGCTTGCCTTCTGCTCACCACGGAGCAATATGGAGCATATTAGAGGCTTATTTCATTTTATTACATCGTGCAGTTCCCCTGAACAGGGTATATGTAGCTCATTTTTAACATTTTAATGAGTTTCTCTCCCAAATTATGAACTTCGCAACGTCTTCATTTATCATCTTACTCCTAGTCCTCCCAAGAATGTTGTAAAGTGTAGCCAGTCAAATTTACATATGATCTCTAGCTTGTTTCCAAGGGATTCCCATTACAATGAAGGTGAAAAATTGCCAAAGACCATTTCAAACCCATCTGCACATACTGTGCTTTAGGGATTCATTAGACACATTTTCCTTGCCTGTTTTGAAGATGAACTGTTGCAATGTCTCTGCAGTGGGGCAGATGTAATCTTCCCTGGCCTGATCCTCTGCAGATGCTTAGCTGCACGGTGGATTGAATGTCTCAAAGGTCAATAACCCTTTCTATCATTTTTCATTAAAGTGCTTGGAGCGGGCAGTTCCTGCAGGAATAATTACTCGGAATCTGGCATACAATTCTTGTACACCCCAGCAAGTTAACCTTGAGAATTCAACTCCAAAGCCAGTCTTTGACAGGTTTTTGTGAGAGTTTCACCTCACACCTTGGAACAACTGAAACGTCTTAGGAAATTCATATTTCCAAAGCCCGAGTTCCCAGGCTGGGTGCACAGAGCACAATGATCATGGTGTCTGAGCCCGGGCAGACCTACCCCATGGGAAAGGGAAGGGAAACTGGGGGAAGGGAGAAACATCATGCCTGCTTCTTGGAATTGCTTTTGCTTCAAACCTTGCCTTCCTCTAGGTTCAGGGAGAGTCAAGAAAGCTGCCGTTACTCTAAATTCCAGACTCTGATAATGTAACCCAGCTCCTAAGAACAGCCTCAGCGTGAACCGGAACCTTGAGGAGCTCACTTGCCTCGCTGACCAGCAGACGCCTTGATTTAAATCCAGTGCTGGTGGCCAGAGCTAGAGATGTCTTGAGGGACAGAGGCAGCGGCAGGGTCTGGGGAAGCAGAAATGATGCTATCCTGAGTGGTTCATGGCAGATCACGCTGGAGCGTGACGCGCTGTGAGCGCTGCAAGTGTTCTGTGGACCAATCTGTGCAACCACCGGAGGAGGCTCCGGTTCGGTTAATCTGTTCGTTAAAGTGTCTTTGATTACGAACAATTCAAACTATTCTGGTTGGGATCAACTGAAAAGAGAAGTGGGGTGACTCCAGGAAGCAAAATGCAGCTGAATAACCCAGGCCTGCGGAGGATGGGAGCCCCCCAGCACAGGGGGCTTCAGGGACCACTTCTCCAGAGCAGAGCTGTCAAACGACATAAAGCTCCAACCATGTGTGCAATATTATATTTTCTACTAGCCACATTTTAAAAGGTAAAAAGGCCGGGCGCGGTGGCTCATGCCTATAATCGCAGCACTTTGGGAGGCCGAGGCGAGCGGATCACGAGGTCGGGAGATCGAGACCATCCTGGCTAACACGGTGAAACCCCGTCTCTACTAAAAATACAAAAAAAATTAGCCAGGCGTGGTGGCGGGCGTCTGTAGTCCCAGCTACTTGGGAGGCTGAGGCAGGAGAATGGCGTGAACCCGGGAGGCAGAGCTTGCAGTGAGCCGAGATCGCGCCACTACACTCCAGCCTGGGCGACAGAGCGAAACTCAGTCTAAAAAATAAAAAAATAAAAATAAAAAGATAAAAAAAGGTAGGAGGAATTTATTTCCATAATATATTTTATTTAACTCAATATTTAAAATGTGATTATTTTAACATAGAATCAAGGAATTGTCAATGAGATATTTTGAATCTTTTTTTCATATTTAGACATTGAAATCCAGTGTGTATTTTACACACACAGCACATCTCTACGATGGAGCAGGTTTGGGACACACTGATCCATTATCCCTGTATTTTACAGATTAAGAACTGGGGCCGAGAGTGTTTATTTAACTAGCTTGCAGACATTGGCTCTCTTTGCCCTGCCATATAGCTGTAGTTTGGCAGGGCAGGGGTGCAGCTTTGGTGACTTTATTTCTCCACTCACTGAGAAGGTCTCAGCGAGTGCTCTCAACTCCCCAGGGAGGGGTTGGCCCTTCCTAAACCCGTGGAATCGGGTAACTTTGGTTATATAGGATTCATTCCCGGAATACTTCAGAATCCTGCCTAGACCACAACGGCCCTTCTGAGCCAATCTCAGACTCCAGGCCCTGGGGGTATCTTTTCTCCGCTTCCCTTCTCTCTCTCCAGTTCCAGTGGAGTTCCAGTAAACCACGTGGTGAGAGAGGTGGGAGCTCTGATTTGTAGCGTCTGCCTGTTTTGGTGGTATAAATCCTCCCACCGTGGCCAATTTCAAGCTATCAACATGACATCAGCCTGTCTGCAAAAATCCTGAAAATTTAACAACTGGGTCTTGAGACCCAGGGCAAGCTGGACCCAGCTCATCACTGCAGCATTACCAAAACATTTCCTCCCCTGAGCCATGCCTGTTCTGTTCTTTCACTTCTATCTGTTCCCTAGAGATGCCACATGCTATGGACACTGGCTTCAGAGAAAGTCAGACAGGCCTAACTCAGGTCTGCCTCCTTCTCCCTTGTTTTTTTTTCTCTTCTCTCTTTTTTTTTTTTTTTACGTTTGAATTAATGTTAACTAACTTACAGGATGCTGGAGAGGATTAGAACAAATCCTTGTGAAGCCCACATGTAGGAGGTACTCCATGTATGCGACTATTAGCCTTTTTTTTTTTTTTTTTTTTTTTTTGAGACAGAGTCTGTCTCTGTTGCCCAGGCTGGAATGCAGTGGTGCCATCTTGGCTCACTGCAACCTCCACCTCCCAGGTTCAAGCGATTCTCCTGCCTCAGCCTCCCAAGTAGCTGGGACTACAGGCACGGGCCACCACACCCAGCAAATTTTCATATTTTTAGTAGAGACGGAGTTTTGTCATGTTGACCAGGATAGTCTCAATCTCTTGACCTTGTGATCCACCCGCCTTGGCCTCCCAAAGTACTGGGGTTACAGACGTGAGCCACCGCGCCCGGCCAGCATTTTTATTTTTCAATTTTTTTTTCCTTTTGAGACAAGGTCTTTCTCTGTCATTCAGGCTGGAGTGCAGATGCACAATCACAGCTTACTGCAGCCTCAACCTCCCAGACTCAAGCGATCACCCCCCTGAGCCCTCGGAGAAGCTAGGACTACAGGCATGAGTCACCACGCCCAGCTAATATCCTTACATTTTTTTCTAGAGCTGGGGCTCTCATCATGTTGTCCAGGCGGGTCTCAAACTCCTGGGCTCAAGCAGTCCTCCCACTTTAGCCTCCCAAAGTGTTGGGATTACAGATGTGAGCCACTGCACCTGGCCTCCTTTTCTAATTTTTAACATACAAACTCACACAGCCAGCCAGAACTAAAGCCAGTATTAGAACCCAGAAAAGCCCCTTCAAGGATTCCAAACTAAATTGCCAAAACTGACTGGTTCAAGATGGTGTGAACAGGTAAGACATTTCTTCTGACCTTTGCATGTATCCTTTGGAGCAAGTCAGGGGAGAATCACAGGGAGCAGAGGTGAAATCATCATCAGGAATTGTGATGATGCAGAAATGGAAAATCATACTAGGACCTGTGTTTGTTTCCTAAGACTGCCACAATGATGTACCACAGGCTGGATGGCTTACAACAGCAGAAATTTATTCTCTCATAGTTCTGGAGGCTAGAAGTCCAAAATCAAGGTGTTGGCAGGACCACGTTCTCTCCAAAATCTCTTCCTTGCCTTTCCCAGCTTCTGATAGCCCCTGGCATTCCTTGGCTTGCAGCAGCATAAGCCCACCTCTGCTTCTGTCTGCTGCGGGCAGGAGAGCAGTTTTCTCTGTGTGTCTCTTTCACCCACTTCTTATAAGGACACCAGTCTTATTGGATCAGGGCCACCCTAATGACTTCATCTTAACATGATGACATCTGCAAATACCCTGTTTCCACATAAGGTCCCATTCACATGTACCATGGTTAGAACTTCAACATACCTTTCAGAGGACACACTTCAACCCATAACAGATCCTTTGTAAGACCTTAATATTACAACATAAAATCTCTAGATGTTATTCTGGGTGTTCCAGCCTCCTTTCCCCAACCAAAAGGAAAGCTTTTTTGTTTGTTTGTTGTTTGCTTGTTTGCTTTTGAGATGGAGTCTTGCTCCGTCGCCCAGGCTGGAGTGCAGTGGTGCAATCTCGGCTCACTGCAACCTCTGCCTCCCAGGTTCAAGTGATTCTCCTGCTTCAGCCCCGAGTAGCTGGGATTACAGGTGCCCACCACACACCCAGTTAATTTTTGTATTTTTAGTAGAGACGGGGTTTCGCCATGTTGGCCAGGCTGGTCTCGAACTCCTGATCTCAGGTGATCCACCCTCCTCAGCCTCCCAAAGTGCTGGGATTACAGACGTGAGCCATTGCACGTGGCCTACAACATAAGATCTCTAGATGTTATTCTGGGCCTTCCAGCCTCCTTTCCCCAACGAAAAGGAAAGGTTTTTTTGTTGTTGTTGTTTTTGTTTTTGTTTTTGTTTTTGTTTTTAATGAGAGGCAGAGTCTCATTCTATCACACAAGCTCAAGGCTGGAGTAAAGTGGTGTGATCACAACTTACTGCAGCCTCAAACTCCTGGGCTCAAGCAATCCTCCTGCCTCATCCTCCAGAGTAACTGGAACTACAGGTGTGGAGCACCATACTCAGTTAACTTTTATTACTTTTATTTTTGTAGAGATGAAGTCTCACTGTATTGCCCAGGCTGGTCTCAAACTCCTGGCTTTAAGCAATTCTCCTGCCTCAGCCTCCCAACATGCTGGGATTACAGTTGTGAGCCACTTCTCAGGGCCTAGAAACACATTTTTTAATAATCCTAAATTAAACCAATGTATCTTAAATCTTTGTTGAAACATTAGAGAATCTGGGTCCCTTCTCTAGCTCCTGTTGACCAAACTCCCTCTGGCAAAAAGTACTCAGCAAATCTGTTTCTCAACAAGAGGAATGTGAGCCCACAGATACTAAGAGGTCCCCCATAGTCACACAGCACTGAGTTGGGAAGCTGAGATGTGTGGAAAATAGTTTTATTAGGTTGGTGCAAAAGTAATTGCCATTACTTTTAATGACAAAAAACTGCAATTACTTTTGCACCAACGTGACAGCTTTCTTGCAAATCCCTTCCATCCCTCCTCCATCTCAGCTCTCTTAAAATATGTTCGCAGTTCGCTCATTCATTCATTCAACAAGTAGGGATTCAGTGCCTACCACTAAGGGGCAATATTGCGTAGTATTTAAGTCATACCTGTATTTGCATTCTGGCTCTAACTTACTGCTGTGTGACTTTGGGCAAGTTGCTTCTCCTCTCTGTGCTGTCTGTAAAAAGAGAATAATAACAATACCCATGTCACTGAGTTGGTGGGAGGGTTATAGGACATGGAGCACATAAGGCACTTGCCACAGAGCCTGGTTAAGCACTGACATGTCACTCTTCAATATTTGCTGGTTACTAAGTGCCTGGCCCTGAATCGAACCCTGGAGATACCATGACAAGAAAACAGACAAGGCCTGGCTCAAGGGGTTACATACAGTCCAGAGGAGACCACTGGTCTCCAAATGGACACAGCAATTTCAGATTTAAAACACTGTATTTTGCAAAATCTTATTTCTACAGCTATTACCTTTGGCCCATCTGAGTTTCTAATTTTGTGGCCAGCCAGATAGGTTAAGAGAACATCATCTGAGTCAGTCAAAATTTTCCAATCCAATCCAATCCAGTCCAGTCCAATCCAGTCCAATGCTTTGATGCCATTATCTACACATAGGGGCTTTATATGTAGGATGGAAGTGGAGAAAGGGGTAAGAGATAAGGCACTCATTTAGTCCTCCCATAGGGCTTTCCAGTATGGCTGCTGTTGAAATAAAGAAGAAAGAAGAGACGAAGGGGTTGAAACCATTGAAGTTTCACCAATATAAGCCTGAAAGCAATTTTGATCCATTCCACACATTCTCTAGTAACATTAAAAGAAAAATGTACAATCCTATCAGGGCTCAGTCCAGTGAGAAACATCCCAGTGAGTTTTATCAGCAATCGTTCTGGGAAGTGGGAGACAGGGGGTACCGGGACATCGGTCAGTGTGACCCACGCCAGGAGGGCTGTGTTCCTTGGCGGGGGTGGGAGGCCTACCAGAGTCAAGAGACAGGCCTTTGGCTCTTATAAGAAACTCCTTTTGTTGCATGTGTGTACTGAACCCATTTATACAATATCTTCTATCTGCAATGAATCTATGAGCCAGTTCTGATTTCACATATCCAAGCATGAAATTAAGAACTATTTATATTTTGTATTTTTGACTTACATTTTTACTTTTTTTCAAGAAGACACATTATAGCTGTCAGACGTATGTGAATCAGAGCAACTCCATCTTGAATAGGAGCTGGGTAAATTGAGGCTGAGACCTACTGGGCTGCATTCCCAGACAGTTAAGGCATTCTAAGTCACAGGATGAGACAGGAGGTTGGCACAAGATACAGGTTGTAAAGACCTTGCTGATGAAGCAGGCTGCAATAAAGAAGCCAGCCAAAACCCACCAAAACCAAGATGGCCACGAGAGTGACCTCTAACTGTCCTCACTGCTACACTCCCACCAGCGCCATGACAGTGTACAAATGCCATGGCAATGTCAGGAAGTTACCCTATGTGGTCCAAAAGGGGAAGGCATAAATAATCCACTCCTCGTTTAGTATATAATCAAGAAATAACCATAAAAATGGGCAACCAGCAGCTCTCCAGGCTGTCTGTCTATGGAGTAGCCATTCTTTATTCCTTTACTTTCCTAATAAATTTGTTTTCACTTTACTCTATGGACTTGCCCTGAATTCTTTCTTATGTGAAATCCAAGAAGCCTCTCTTGGGGTCTGGATCGGGGCCCCTTTTCTGTAATATAGCTATCTTTCAATTATATATCTTGGTGGGACTTTTCATATAAGTTATTCCATTAATCAGGAAAAACATCGTTTTTCAGGTCATGTATGTTGATGTCTATCAGTGGATTACAGTCACTGCTAGAAATCTGTCATCTGCTAGAGAGCAAAAACAGAATCAGTGAGAAGGGATCTTACAGAAGGGTGTGTGTGTGAGAGAGAGAGAGACAGAGAGAGAGAGACAGTACGTGTGTGTGTGTGTTAGAGAGAGACACAGAGAGAGTGCATGTGTGTGTGTGAGAGAGAGAGAGACAGAGAGAGAGAGAGAGAGAGAGTGTGTGTGTGTGTGTGTGTGTGTGTGAGACACAGAGAGAGAGAGAGGGCATCTCCCCTCCCCATTCTGATATCCCACTGTGTTTGGGAACCACTGAGCCAGTCCAAGCCCTTCATTTGACAGATGAGACACTGGTGACTTGGCATACATGGAGGGAGGGTGTGACACTTGTGTTCTCCCTGTCTGCTCCAGGGCCACACACACACAGTAACAGTTGAATTAAAGTGCAGCCAGCTACCGTGGTGGGGACAGGCCAGCAGTGAACAATGCAAGACAGGATGGCACAGAGGTGAAGAGCACCAGCTTTGGAGCTGACAGACCCCCTCCTCAGCCCTAGATAGTACGCCTGCAGGCACACCAGAGGCAGAGCAGGGTGCCTGAAAAACCTAGGCTCTCTGCTATTCCAGCTTCGCCTGGAGGTTCCAACGTGCGTTTCCACAAAATTACAAATGTCATAGAGCATCAGAGTCACTCTCAAATCTTTGGAACCACAGATGTTGAGTTCATCAATAGCAAATGTTGCTGAAGTTAACAAATTAGATCACCCCCTGCTCAGCCTCTACATAAAGCCGAGTCCAAGGGGCCTCAGCTAAGCGTTTAATCAGGCCCTTGCTGGATGTGCATGGCCATCTGAAAGCAGTATTTTGGGGTAACGAATCTCTCTCTCTCTCTCTCTCTCTCTCCTCATGCAGTTTCTCAAAGGAGAGTGGAAATCTGCATGAAGAAGGGAGGAGAAGGAAGCCCTGAGTGGGGAGGAGCTAATAGGAATCAGGGATGCTCCCAGGAAGGAACCTCCTTGTGAAGTTTAACTTGCTAGCTCTCAAAAAGAAAAGGCCATTTAGTGTGCCTTTAAGAACTTACTTAATTCTTCTTTGTTTCATTGCAATGAATGCAGCATCAGGTGCACTTTAAAACTTCCTTCTTCCTTCTTTTTATTTATTTATTTTTTTTGAGATGGAGTCTCTCTGTGTTGCCCAGGCTGAAGTGCAGTGGCATGATCTCGGCTCACTGCAACCTCCACCTCCAGGGTTCAAGCGATTCTCCTACCTCAGCCTCCCAAGTAGCTGGGACTACAGGCACACGCCACCACGCCTGGCTAATTTTTTGTATTTTTAGTAGAGACAGAGTTTCGCTATGTTGGCCAGGCTGGTCTCAAACTCCTGACCTCAAGTGATCCGCCCACCTCGGCCTCCCAAAGTGCTGAGATTGCAGGCGTGAGCCACCGTGCCTGGCCTTATCTTCCTTCTTCCTTCTAATTATCACTGGTTACGATTCCTGATACACCGTGCTGCTGTGTCAGGGAAAGTTCACAGCAGGGCAGCCCCACAAGGGAAGGAGGCTGCCCACACCCGCCAGCAAGAGGAAGCCCCTGTGCTGAAGTTCCTCTCGAGCCATATGAGGGTAACAGTGAGTCCCCAGTGGAGAGAGGATGGAAGATCACACCTGCCCTTTCCCAGGGAGGCTGGGTGGCAAATGCAGGTGGTGGGGCTCGCTTCATTTATCTCTCTTTAGCCCGGTGCAAGTTGCAATGCCTTTAGGAGTGTATATTTGCAATGCTGAAAGCTAGGAAGAGTGTTTGTGGCCAGGCGGGTGGAAAGGGCCTGTGGTTCTGATGGTCCCTGAGGAAGGGCGATAAAGAGGGGCCCCTTTCTCTGTGCCACCACCCTCTTAGTCCTGTCACAGATAACTCCAAGGCACCATAATGCTTCCTGGTTGTAATGGAATTCAACATCTGTGATTCCTAAAGTTTAAGAGTGACCTTGATAGTGGCAGAATTCCTCATGATCTAACTCCCTCCATAGACAGGAGTCGAGGAGCACAGGCAGAAAAGTGGGTCCCGCATGATTTATTTGTACTTACAATCTGAGCACAAGTCCCTAAACGAGCTTCAGAAACATGAGGGTCCCCCTGGGCCTGCTCCCTTCGGCCACATACCCCCACCTGACCCCCTGCGGAGCCTTTTCCAAGAGCCTCCAAATTTGAGAGCTAAAGAAAGATGCAGGTGGGAGCTGTCTCCTCTCTACTTCTGCTCGTAGCCCCTGGAGCCTTGCCAGGCACTGATGAGTCACCCCCATCCCCACTCTTCATTCTTGTCTCCCTGGGGCAGGCGACACACTCAGGCTTTCAGAGTTAGACAAAGCATCATTGTCTTTAGGGCTTTTTCTGCACAGAGATCAGGATAAGAAAAGGAAAAACATCCCAAGGCCTAACAGTGAAGGCATCTGTTGCTGACCACACTGAGGGCTGTGGCTTCTCTTCAGACCTGGACTGGTGAGGTCTGCAGGCCTCTGGGCTGAGCCCGACTCCTCTTCAGCCTCATTAACCCAGAAAGGGGTCTGGAGAGGTGAATTTAGGCAGATTCCAACGAGCAAGAACTGATCATCGTTCCTGCTTACCGCTGGTTGTTCTGGACAAGAAGTGATAGGTGAGGGAGTTTCTAGCACTTTCCTTTACTTTAAGTCATGTTTCTCGTCTCTTGCTCTTTCTTTATTTTTTCTTTTTATTTTCTTTTTTCTTTCTTTCTTTTTTTTTTTTTTTTTGAGATAGATTTTCACTCTTGTTGCCCAGGCTGGAGTGCAATGGTGGGGTCTCAGCTCACTGCAACCTCCACCTCCCGGGGTCAAGCGATTCTCTTGTCTCAGCCTCTCGAGTAGCTGGGATTACAGGCGCATGCCACCATGCCCGACTAATTTTTTGTGTTTTTAGTAGAGATGGGGTTTCACCATGTTAGTCAGGCTGGTCTTGAACTCCTGACCTCAGGTGATCCACCTGCCTCGGCCTCCCAAAGTGCTGGGATTACAGGCGTGAGCCACCGTGCCCGGCCATTATTTTATTTTTTCTGAAACAGGGTCTTTCTCTGTCACTCGGGCCAGAGTGCAGTGGCACAATCATAACTCACTGCACTGGAGCCTCGAACTCCTGGGCTCAAGTGATCATCCCACCTCAGCCTCCCAAGTACCTGGGACTACAGGCGCATGTCACCATGACTGGCTGATCTCTGTAATTTGTGCAGCAATGGGGTCTTCCTATGTTGCTCAGATTGGTCTCAAACTCCTGGGCTCAACCAGTCCTCCTGCTTTGGTCTCTCAAAGTGCTGAGATAACAGAAAAGAGCCACTACACCTGGCCTTTGCTCTTTCTTTAAAACAGTGTTTATTGAGCACCTACTATATTGGGAGTTAGGGAGAGAAAACTGCAGTCCCTGTTCATGAAGAATTCAGAGGAGATTTTCCTGCATTTCTTGAGGTAACTGTCATGGCCTCGCCTTGGCAGTGGGTTTGGGAGACACTGCTAATTCTCCTCAGGTCCACCTTGTTTCCAGACCTATAACCAGATTCAAATCCAAGGCCACTAGCCTGGAGACCCAGTTGCAGTTCAAGCCTGAAGCCGGTGTGTGGGAAATTCCTTCTTGCTCAAGGCCAGTCAGTCTTTTGTTCTAGTCAGGTCTTCAACTGATTGGATAAGGCCCACCCACATTATGGAAGGCAATCTGCTTTATATGTTAATTTCATCCAAAAACACACAGAAACATCCTGAATAATGCGTGAGCACATATCTAGGCACCATGGCTTAGCCAGGCTGACACATAAAATTAACCATCGCAAGTCCTCACCTTGTCAGCTCGGCACTCATGCACCTCCTTACACCATACTTAATCTCCGAGAAAAGCACTTTAGGAGATCAGGGTGGGAGGATCACTTATGGCCAGGAAGCGAGGAAGAGCACATCTGGAATGCAAGAGATCCCTTAGGGCGTATCTTGGTATTACCACGGCCTATGATTCAGGTCAATGGAAAGCTACAATAACTGCAATGGAAAACTACAATAAGTCAATCCAGGCAGGAATATGGGTCAGACCCTTTAGCAATGAAGGCTTGGGTCACCCCACAGGTAAAAAACCACACCAGCTGAGGTGCTTGCTAAGGGTGAAGGGGATATAGCATGATTAGTAGAAGAGGTAGTTGTAACTACAAGCCATGACCTCATGACCGGCTATAGAAATATGGTTATAGAAACCCACAACAGAAATGAATATTTCTTCCTTATTTGTTGTGAATACCTGTGTGTACATATCTCTGTATCTATAGCAAGTATCTTTACTTTCCTCCCACTCTTATCCTTCTATCATGTAACATAAGATGTGTTGACCTTATATGATAGTATTTAAGCATTGTTAACATTACATCATAGTTTTTAAGTTACAGAATATCAAGGAGAAGGGTAAACATCACCCAAGAACTTTGCAACTTCTTCTGGGACAAGAATTAGTGTTTTTGATTTTATGTAGGATAGTTGTATCATGTTAGGCAGAATGATGACCTTGTGACTGTTTTACTTTACTTTTTAAAAAGTGTTGGATTCTCACTCTGTCATCCAGGCTGAAGTGCAGTGGCACAATCACAGCTCACTGTAGCCTGGAATTCCTGGTTCAAGGGTTTAAGTGATCCTTTTGCCCTCCTGAGTAGCTGGGACTACAGGTGTGTGCCACCATGCCTTGCTAATCAAACGCCTCCTGGGTTCAAGCAATTCTCCTGCCTCAGCCTCCCAAGTAGCTGAGACTACAGGTGCATACCACCATGCCGTGCTAATTATTGTATTTTTAGTAGAGACGGGGTTTCACCATATTGGCTAGGCTGGTATTGAACTCCTGACCTCATGATCTGCTTGCCTCGGCCTCCCAAAGTGCTGGGATTATAGGCGCCAGCCACTGCACCCAACCCCTGCACACTTTTAAATGACCACATCTCCAGAGAACTCACTGTTGTTAGGACAGGACCAAGTGGGATGGGGCTAAACCATTCATGAGAAACCACTCCCATGACCCAGTCACCTCCCACCCGGTCCCACCTCCAACACTGGGGATTACAATTCAGGATGAGATTTGGGAGCAGACACAGATCCAAACTATATCAGGACCATAATATCCTGAGACATTAAAAATATGGGCTGATTTGGGAAAGAGGAAAGCTAGCTCTGATTTTGAGGAGCGTGAGAGGGAAGGGAGAGTTATTAGGATCACGGTTCAGAGAACAGTCCCACATCAGCCCAATATTTAAGCAAGGACCCCTAGAAGCTGCATTTCTTCAGAAACAAGAAGGAGCAAGTAACTGGCCCGAGTGTTGAATTTCTTCCTCACAGCTGAGAAGCCTTCAGTTTTGTGGGTTTTGGGACGTGGTCAGTCTACTTCTCCACGTTCAGAAATTGTAACAACAGTGCACAACCTGTGGGTGTGTGATGATGCTAGGAGACGCGGCCTCCCTCACCCCTGGCAGAGAGTTGCTCAGGTAAAGTGCGAGTGATTGAGTTAAGCATATAAACCTGAGGTCGGATGCGGTGGCTCATGCCTGTAATCTCAGCACTTTGGGAGGCTGAGGTGCGAGGATCGCTTGAGCCTAGGAGTTTGAGACCAGCCTCAGCAACATAATGAGACCCCATGTCTACAAAAAATACAAAAATTAGCCCGGTGTGGTGGTGTATGCCTGTAGTCCTAGCTACTCGGGAGGCTGAGGTGGGAGGACCACTTGAGCCTGGGAGGTTGAGGCTGCAGTGAGCCATGATCACAGCACTGCACTCCTGCCTGCGTGACAGAGCAAGACCCTGTCTTAAAAAGAAAGAAAGAAAAAAAGCATATAAACCTGATGCTTAGTTTACTTTTACAAATACAGTTTATTTCCATTATAAAATGAACATATAATAAAAGTTAGAAAATACAGAACATTCAGAAGAAGAAATGAATGCTCATATCATCTTACCATGTAAAGATATTTATTAACTTTTTAATGTGATTTTCATTCTATGTGCAGCTTTCTGTTCTTTTTGTACCGAACATTATATGATGGTCATTTTTATATATTTTTACTAAAAACCATTCATAATCATTACTTGTGCTTGTTTCAAATTAGCCATTGAGTGACTAAGCTATTATGACAATGATTTCTATATTCCTGGGACTTTTAGATTGTTTCTAATTGCTTACTAACAAAAATAAGTGACCATCTTAACTCAGAAAAGTTTTTTCAGTTCCCAAGAACAGATTCACTGGGTCAAAGCAAACGACACTTGACATATAAATTATAAAATGCTTTTCCAAATCGTCTCACCGCACTTCAGTCTTATGTTGTAAGTTGTAAGTGCATGGGAGAAGCACAAGGGGCGCTGTTGAGGTAGCACTATAAGTAAAGGAAATGGAGTCCCCTCTAGGAGTTAAGCTGCAAAGCCAGCAAGCACACCTAAAGCACAAGCGCAGGAAGTGAGTCCGTGCTGGCTTGGCAAAGAGGCTGTACACTGGGGAAAATAAAGTTGCATCTCCTGCTCATCCATACACAAAGGTAAACTGCAGGTGGATTGAAGGCCTAAGAGCGAAAAGCAAAACCAGTGTGGTAAGAGAACTGTGCAATGGATGAGAGACGTCTTATCTCTAAGACGTCAGGAAGCTAAGGATTTCCTAAATAAGCCCCTCGAAAGCATAAAGCACAAAAGCGGGAAACAGTAGATTTAAGTCTATTAAAAGTAAGGATTTCTGTTCATTAAAAACACAATAGATGAAATTGACAAATTGGTGGCAAATCTGGAAGACATTCACAATTTTAAAAATCAACAAGGGATCACGTCTATTATAGAATACGCAAGGAACTTTTAGCAATCAACTGAGAAAAGACGGAAGCCCATAGAATGTGAGCAAGAGGTAGGAATTAGCAATTGACAGAAAGGAAAGCCTAGGTGGCTAACAGGTATACATGGTGTTCAATTTCACTGGCATTCACAAGTGTGCAAATTAAAGCCACTTACCACCTTCCCCTCATCAGAGCGGAGAAAGTGGGCAGTTAAACAATCCTCTCAAGCGCACTGGTGGGTGTGGAACGAGGACCCCATTCTGAGACAGGATCCTACAGTCCTTCATGATGTCAGGAACGCATCTGGCTACGGGTAGAACGCCCTCTCCTGGGGTGTGCTCCTGAGAAAGCTTTCCGAGGCCCACAGGGGATAAAGCATACACACCCAAGCAGGCGTGTTAAACACGTCAGAGCAGATGAATGTGGGGAAAGAAGATGGAAATTGGGATGAGGAAAGAGGGGGAATATTAATGAAACTACAGTCAGAGAGGAGTTCTGCAAGGCTGGTTATAGCACGCCATGAGCTGAGGCGTGTAATTAACTAGACACTCTCCATCTGACGTCCAATTTAATTAATTAATTAATCAATTAATTAGTTACTTACCTGGACTCTGCCTCACGAGTTAGATCATCCCTTGGCACTGATAAAAGGCAAGTCTGAGCTGACAAGGCAAAGCTGCTTTCTACCAGGCTGGCCTTGGATGATGCCATTATGCACCATGAGTGCAAATCGTTTCTACAGGTACTCTTGGTTTTAAAAATGTTTGTTACTCTGATAAGTAGAAATGTACAATTAAATTTTAAGAGGTATACAAAGATTTTAACATGACATCTTTCTTTCAAAGTCATGTATGCCAGGCAAAGTGGCTAACACCTGTAATCCCAGTATTTTAGGAGGGTGAGTGGGGAGGATCGTTTGAGTCCAGGCATTGGAGACCAGCCTGGGCAACATAGGGAGACCACATCTCAAAAAAAAAAAATTAGCTGGGTGTGGTGGTTCACACCCGTAGTCCCAGCTACTCAAGAGGCTGAGGTGGGAGGATCACTTGAGCCCAGGTCAAGGTTACAGTGAGCTATGATCAAGCCACAGAACTCCAGCCTGGGTGACAGAACAATAGCTTGCCTATTGAAAAAGAAAAAGTCCTGTGTATTTCATTTTATAAAATGAAGATTTACAAACCCCTTGCTGATCCCCAAGAAATCCTGGGCTGTCATAGGTAGGGCTTGGTCAATGTGGTAGGCAGAATAATGACCACCACCCCAAAAATGTCCATGTCTTAATCCCTAGAATGTGTTACCTTCCATGGCAAAAGAGACTTTGCAGATGTGAATGAGGTCAAACACCTTGTTGAAGGAGATCATCCAGGAATATCTTGGTGAGTCCAGTATAATCACTGTGCCTTAAATGTGGAGAAGTCTTCCTGGCAGCCTTCAGAGAGGGAGAGGCATGCTGCTGATTTGAGGACAGAGGAGGGGCCACAACCTAAAGAATGCAGGTGGCCTCTAGAAAGTGGAGGAGGCAAGAAAATGGATTCTCCCCTAGAGCCTTCAGGAAAGAATCCAGCCCTGCTGGCACTTTTATTTTAGTGCAGCAAGACCTATCGGATCCTGACCTGCAGAACCGTATGAGGAGGATATATATTTGTGTTGTTCTGGGACCACTGCATTTGTGGTGATTTGCTACGGCAGCAATAGAAAATTAACACAGTAGACACAACCTGACTTAACCCCATTGACAGTCTAGAGTTAGCTTTCTCCTTCTTCTTCTTCTTCTTTTTTATTTTTTTTTAACATTTTCTGCTAAAACCCTACAGAGTCTCTTCAGCAACATGATTCTGGGGAGGCAGGCCTGTGGAAAGCTCACAGAATGGTAGAATTAGAAGCCATCACAAAAGTAACCCAGTGCAACTGCCTGCCCAAAGCTGGAATCTCTCCCACAACGTCCCTGATCATTGGACACTCAGCGTTTGCTTGGACCTTGGGGGTGAAACTTTAGTTCCTGGTCTGCCCCAACTACACATTGAATTCTCTCTTCACAGCTGACTTAGTTCTGCTGTCAGAGAATATTCTTTTTTTTTTTTTTTTTTTTTTGAGATGGGGATCTCACTAGTCTCAAATCCCTTGCCTCAATCAAACCTCCCACATTGGCCCCACAAAGTGCCATGATTACAGGTGAGAGCCACCACGCCCGGCCAATAACATTACTTATAAGGAAATCTGTTGCATTGCTCTGTTAAAAGGGGATCTGCTAAAACATTCTTTCTTGCTATGAACCAACATCTACTGCTCTCAAATGTCCATGTTTTGACATTAGTTCTGCTTTTTAAAGTGATGTAGAACAGAACATACAGGCTGTGCCTAGGGCCTGAGATAAAAGAATTGGGTTCAGAAGAAAGGCTGGCAGATTATTGAGCTGCATTCAACTCAAGCCTGTTCCACTGGACACATGTTCATTGAGCATCTATTTTGTGCCAGGCATTCTGTGAGCTGCCGTGAACCATGAGCACACAAACACAGCCCCTGCCCTAGAGGAGCTTACAGTTTAAGTGAAAAAGGTGGTAAGTAGATACTCACACAACAAAACAGAAAACATAATTACCGATTGTAATACAATCTGTGAAGGAAAAGTACAGCTATTATAAGCACATATACAGAGGTACCTGACCACTGGTCAAAAGGGTCCCCATCTGTCCAAGGACCCTGTTTGAGATGAAACTTCCCTTAGTCACTGGATAACCCTTCAAGTTCTCAGAGCTTTAGATGAATGTAAAAGTGCTCTGTGTAACCTGACTATAATATAACAGTTTGAATGTGGGTGCCTCTGCTCTGTTTAATATAGGGTTGTGGCTGCCTTTGCTATGCATTTTTGGTAGATTTGTCAAGAGTAGTGGCCAAGGTAGCCAGCCCCTGGCTGTCATTTCTGTACTTGGGAACCCCCTCACATAACCCCATTGTTACCCTGGCCTGGTTTGCTGGTAACTCCAGAGAAGAGTCAGAACTCCCCACAGCAGGTCTGATAAAGAGGGCCCTGAACAACCCATTGCCATCCATGAGGTTACCAACAGCCATCGCTGTTGACCTGCTAGGACAGACAGGAGGAGGCTACCAGACATCCAGTCATCGCTGTTGACCTGCTAGGACAGACGGGAGGTCCTTCCTCTGGACAACTCTCTGAGAACTCACTGCTGTTGGGACCAGAAAGCTGGTATATGTACATTTATTTATATTAATCTGTATATCTACATAATTAATATTATCAATGGTAATATAAATGACATTGTAGGTGACAGCAAGGATCAATACATAATGGTAAAATATTCCATTTGCTAAGATGTTATTTTAAATACATATATGCCAGGCTGGGTGCAGTGGCTCACGCTTGTAATTCCAGCACTTTGGGAGGCCAAGGCGGGTCAATTACCTGAGGTCTGGGGTTCGAGACCAGCCTGGCCAACATGGCAAACGCCGTCTCTATTAAAAATACAAAAATTAGCTGGGCATGGTGGTGGCGTGTGCCTGTAGTCCCGGCTACTCAGGAGGCTGGGGCAGGAGAATCGCTTGAACCCAGGAGGCGGAGGTTGCAGTGAGCCGAGTTCATGCCACTACACTCCAGCCTGGGTGACAGAGCAAGATTCCATCTCAAAAACCAAAACAAAACAAAACAAAACAAAATGAAAAAACACATCTATACCAAAAAAAAAAACCCTTCAAAATATGAGAAACAATTTAAAAATCAATCTTCAGGGAGAAATACTAAGTCCACCATCATAGTAGAATATTTCAATATACCTTTTTGTTGTTGAATGAGCCATAAGACAAGGGAAAAAATCATCAAGGATGCAGAAGATCTGTAAAACTCTATGAACAAGGTCGGCCTAATGAATGTAAAATCAGTGCAACATTAGAGCATACGCATTTCCCCTGAAGAACACCTGCTATACTTCCAATAATTGATCGGGAGCAATGACATAAAAATAATCTCAGTAAATTTCAAAAAGTAAGTGTCATACAGACTGTGACATCTGCATGCAACACAATTTGGCTAGAAGTTAATAATACATACTCTCTACTAAAACAACCGAAAGCTCATTGATGAAGAAGTGGAAGAATATGCAATGGAATATTACAACACATATGATGATGTAGATCAGGGGTCTGCAGATATCTTAGGCTTTGGGAACCATAAGGTCTCTGTCACCACTACTCATCTCTACTGCTACCATGCAAAAGCAGCCATAGACAAACAGGCACAGCTATATTTCAATCAAACTCTATTTATAACACTAAAAGTTGAATTTCAAACAGCACAAAAACATTTTGACTGTTTTTTCAACCATTTAAAAATGTAGAAACTGGCTGGGTGTGGTGGCTCACACCTGTAATCCCAGCACTTTGGGAGGCTGAGGTGGGCAGATCACCTGAGGTCAGGAGTTCAAAACCAGCCCTGCCAGCATGGTGAAACCCCATCTCTACTAAAAATACAAAAATTAGCCAGGCATGGTGGCACGTGCCTGTAGTCCCAGCTACTTGGGAGGCTGAGGCAGGAGAATTGCTTGAACCCGGGAGGCGGAGGTTGCAGCAAGCCGAGATCGCACCATTGCACTCCAGCCTAGGCAAAAAAGAGTGAAACTCCATCTCAAAAATAAATAAATATATTAATTAATTAATTAATTAAAAATGTAGAAACCATTTTCAGCTTGTGGGCAGTAAAAAAACAGGGCCCAGGCAAGTCTGAGCTGACTCTCTAATTCACCTCTTAGAGCAGCCACACTCCTCTCTCTCTGTCCTGGCAGGTGACACAGGAAGCTCATTGGAAAGGATCAGCAGTGAGACCTGGCTGAGGAAGGGCGTGTGCATTAGGAGGCTGCACCATGCAGCCTCCAATCCATGTAGGATGCTGACCAAACATGTGGCTGGAGCATGAAACCAGGGCAGAACTATTTGCTTGAGAATAAATTATAGCCCTTCCATTATCTTGTTTCATGACTCTCCTGTGCACATTCTATCCACTGATTGCAGAGAGAAACTATTTTATTACCAGCCACAGGGATCTCAGGTTCCAATTTATATAAAGATAATGAAATGTCAAACTGACCCAGTCTTGTTGCTATAAATAGCTTATCACCCCTGTCAAAATAGTCCAGTTCATAACAGCTCTCCTTTGGCCCCCTGGGAAGCCCAGTCCTGCAGCCCTGGCTCTTGGAGACACCTGGCACTCCTGGCTGGGCCCAGATCCACCTTCACATCCAGATCTGAGCTGTCTCTCTGCAGACTGCAGACCCCCAAGCCCTGGCCTGCCTTCCCTAGATTCCGACCAGAACCTCTTTCTTAAGCATTGCATCCCAGGCCCTTTCCATATAACTAGGGAAATTACGTTCAATGCCTGTTTCCTTCTTTCTAGCCCTTTCCAGCTGTCTTGCCTCTGGTCAATTCAAGCATTAAAGGCTGTTCTTACAACAGTCCAGTTTGCCTCAATTAATCCTCCTGTCTGATTTTGTTTCTTCTAAAGCTTGCTTTTTTTCCCTTCACTTAAAACATGGGTCTCCACTGCTGAGGAGGCATTTAGACCCTGTGATAATATGAGTGACATCTGCTTTGGGTCCTTGCCTAGTTCACAATCCCATTCTGAAGGAAACTGCCCCTGCTTCTAACCCAGGTTTCCTCCCCAGGAAGCAGCCCTATGTGGTTGCCTGTCACCACGCTGGTACCAGGTGACCCCTCACTCTTCCAGGTGGGCATTTGATATGGTTTGACTCTGTGTCCCCACCCAAATCTCATCTTGTAGCTCCTATAATTCCCATGTATTGTGGGAGGGACCCAGTGGGAGATAAATGAATCATGGGAGCAAGTCTTTTCTGTGCTGTTCGCATGATAGTGAATAAGTCTCATGAGATCTGATGGTTTTAAAAATGGGAGTTTCCCTGCACAAGCTCTCACTCTCTTTGCCTGCGGCATCCATGTAAGATGTGACTTGCTCCTCCTTGCCTTCTGCCAGGATTGTAAGCCTCCCCAGTCATGTGGAACTGTAAGTCCATTAAACCCTTTTTCCTCTATAAATTACCCAGTCTCACATATGTCTTTATCAGCAACATGAAAAAGGATTAATACAGCCCTTGACCTCAGGGTGGTCAACCTGAAAATGCTCTGGCCAAAAACAGAGAGGGAACAACACAGTCAGGGCCTCTTGCATAAACCATGTGATCAGGATATTCAGTCGAGTCTTATTAGTTGAGATAGTTATGTTCTATTCAGTGCCAAGGGCACTGAATTAACCAATACCAAACCATTGTTCCCAGGGGAAATTCATGGCTACTTTCCTGCAAGCCTCTGGTCACATTTTTGTCAATCAGTTAATATATAACCTTGTTTTATGTGTGTTTCTCTTTCAAGACACCTTATTTAACATATAAGGTTGACTCATCAACATTGAACTCACAGGCAATGGCACTATAACTCACCTCTGAACAAAGCTTATCTAACACATGTCTTCTCCATAAGGCTCATCACAGCCCTCTGGGCCTTAAAAACACTAGACAGTACTTCAGTGCTACCCTTGGGGACATTTTATTTTATTCTATTTTATTTTATTTATTTATTTTGAGACAGTCTTGCTCCATCGCCCAGGCTGGAGTGTAGTGGCGCAATCTTGGTTCACTGCAACCTCCGCCTTCTGGGTTCAAACAATTCTCCTCCCAAGTAGCTGGGATTACAGGCGCCCACCACCATGCCTAGCTAATTTTGTGTATTTTTAATAGAGATAGGAATTCACCATATTGGCCAAGGTTGTCTCAAAGTCCTGACCTGAAGTGATCCGCCTGTCTCAGCCTCCCAAAGTTCTGGGATTACAGGCTCGGGCCACCAAGCCCAGCTTTGGGGGCATTTTAAACAGGAAAATTGCCAATAAAAAAAGAGAAAAATGCAAAAAAAAATGGCGCTAAATAGATGGTGAAAATAACACAAGTCCACAGCCTGAGAGCCGAATCAGGAAGGCAGAGCCTCACCTTGTACTGCCTCAGCTGGGGACATGTGCATCAGGCAACTCAAATTTTTCATCATTTTTCACATGTCAAGGAATGACTGCGAACATGCTACAGGTATTGATTTGGGGTAGTACAAGTAAATTTTGGTGAGTAGAATAATTTGCAAATATGGATTCCACAAAATGTGAGAATGGACTGTAGTTAATTGCTTGGTTGGTTGTTGTCTGGTTTGTTGGTTAACAGCAGGAGAAAATGCTGGGAGACCTCCTACAAGACAGCATTTGCATATTCCAAAAGGCTGTGGGAGCCACATGTGAGTCCAGGACAGTAGAAACGTTGTGGCAATACCCTGTTGCATGGCTCACCAAAGAGTCTCTGTTCCTTGCGATCAAAAAGCCAATTGGTGACCAAGCGAGGCAGGAGGATCTCTTAAGCCATGAGTTCGAGACCTGTCTGAGCAATATAGCAAGGCCTCATCTCTACAAAAAATTAAAAAATTAGCTGGGCATCCCAGTTACTGGGGAGGCTGAGGCAGGAGGATCCCTTGAGCCCAAGAATGAGGCTGCAGTCAGCTGTGATCATACCATTGCACTTCAGCCTGGGGGACAGAGTAAGACCTTGTCTCAAAAATAAAAAATAAATTCAAAAAAAGCCAACCAGTCAGCATATACCTACCAATATATTACTCTCACTTTGTCCTGAGAGTTTTGATAAGGATGATTTCTTTTGGAAAGTCCTGTTGGTTCCAACAGAGCTTGCACTTGGAGTCATTAGGCCTGGCCATACCACTTCTCAGTCACGTGACTGAGTTCTCTGACTCAGTTGTTTCATCTGACAATGGGATGGATACTGGGTCTCCAAGTTCAGAGAGTTATTATGAGGCTACATGAGGTCACACAGGTGGAATGAGCATCACCCTTGTCATCTTCTAATCCAGCCTCTCCTTTTCTAGACGAGAACCCCAAGGCTCAGCAGGGGAAAGAGATTTGCAAAGATGGCCAACAGAAGACAGTCCAGGATGCTCACAACTCCCTGGGGTGAACGTTACCCCTGCCAATGTCACACTTCCCCAAGGAGAGAATACACCCCTGCCCCAGCAGTTCAGGCACAGCTGTCCTGTCTCATTCTTACAGAACAGAGGGTCTGCAGGCATCTCAGTAAGATACTAAAGCAATTTGTTTTATTTGTCCAAGGGAATACTGCCCTTATTTGACTGAATAAGCATAAATAGCCAGGGAGGGGTCTGTTTGTGGCGTCACCATCTGCACCAGCAGAAGAGCCCTCACACATTGTCTCTTTCCCAGCAGCTGCAGTTCTCCTAAAGAAGTCAGATCAAGTTCAGGTTTAAAATAAGTAATCTGGATTTGCAAGGTGCCATGAGGATGGCAGTGCCACTATACCAATTCCCCAGGGAACTATTCCCAGGGCTCCAGGCCCCATGGTTTGACTTCTCTTCTCTGGCATGAGAAATCAGTGTATTCTCACATTGTCTCCTGAGATTCAGATCCTCTGCCAAACGATGGATCTGAAACCACTCTCATCTCTACCTCCATGCTTCAACACCTCCATCTGCTCCAGAGTGGACTACTTGGGACAGATACATAAAAATAAAAGACAGTGTTTCAGGGAAAGGGAAGAAGTGTGGACCTTTGGTGGATACCCATTCTACTTCATTGGATCATCCTGATAACTCAATATGCTCAGTGTTATTATCACATTGTGTAGATGAGGCTGAGAACATGCGCTTGTCTGTGGTCACACTACTGTGCAGTGATGGAGTTGGAATACCAGCTCATTTGTCAAAGCCTGGGTTCCCCTCAAAGCTTCTTAAACTTTGGCAGGACTAAAATACTCCTAATGCAAGAGATGGGTAAATGCACACTCCCGGGTGAGCTTGGGGCTCAGTATACACAGTCCGTGGTGTTCAGTCAGCATGGAACATTGTTCCTGGCCTTTCACTGAGAAGACTCTCATTGGTCCTTCCCTCAGCCAGTCATTTCCTCCAGGAAGCTATTTCTGAGCTCCCCGGTCTAGGCTCCGTTGCCAACCCCCGAGGTGCTCCAATATTGCATATTCTGTGAGGGCACTCAGCTTGTGTTGTGTTGCTTAATTATTTGTCGGTGTGGCCTCAGGAGGTCAGGGACCACATCTGCCTTGTGTCTTCCTATAGGTACCCCCAGCAGCCAGCACACTGCTCAGCACAGTATAACTGCCCAATGAATAGCTGTTGAGTAAACATTGACTCCAGCTAAAGCTTCTATCTCATGTGTAAATTGCCTCTCGAACAGATCTGTTAGTTATAATCCAGCCTCTTCAAACACAGCACCAACAACAGAAAATTCAGAAAATGAAGAGGCAAAGACTGGATGCAGTGGCTCATGCCTTTAATCCCAGCCATCTGGGAGGCCAAGGCAGGAGGATTGCTTAAGCCTGGGAGTCAGAGACCAGCCTGGAAAACAAAGCGAGACCCTGTCTCTACAAAAAAAAAAATTTTAATTAGCCAGGTGTGATGGCATACACCAGTTAAAATGGGAGGATCACTTGAACCTGGGAGGTCGAGGCTACACGAGCAGTGATGGCACTGCTGCACTCCAGCCTGGGCAACAAGTCAACCCTGCTCAAAAAAAAAAGAGAGAGGCAAACCCTTCTATGTTCATCCCACACCATACCCATTCTACTCCATATTCTTTGTTGATTGTTTGGGTTTCGTTTTGTTTTGTTTTTTGAGACAGGGTCTCACTCAGTTGCCCAGGCTGGAGTGCAGTGGCACAAATACAGCTCACTGCAGCCTCATCCTCCTGGGTTCAAGGGATTCTCCCACTTCAGTCTCTTGAGTAGCTGGAACTACAGGTGCATGCCACCATGCCCAGCTAATTTAAACAATTTTTTGTAAAAACGGGGCTCTCACTATGTTGCCCAGACTGGTCTTGAACTCCTGGCCTCAAGCTATCCTCCCGCCTCAGTGTCCCAAAGTGCTGGGATTATAGACATGAGACATCATGCCAGCCTACGGCATATTCTCTGTATTCCAGGCACACTGGCCCTCCTTGAGTTCCTTAAATGCTCTATGATCCCTCCACCGCATGGCTTTTGCACACCCCATTCCCTCTAATCCCCACTCTTGCTCTTTCTCCAGATCTCAGCTCAGTCCCAGTTCATGTTCTTGGGGCACCATTTGGCTCTCTCTCATACCTTTAAGCACATGGTTTGTGTCTGATTGCATGTCTTGCACTGCGAAGGCAGGTGTGAGGTTTTTTTGGTCTTTGTTTACCCTCGTGTCTCCAGCATCTAGTGGCTGGCATAGTGTACAAGCTCAGTACACTGTGCCTGAACAATGAAGTGATGTTTAAATGGAGGTCTGTGCAGGTGGAGTATTCTAAGCAGGAGAAACAGGTAGAGCAAAGCCCTGAGGAAAGAGATATCAAGTTGCATTTAAGACTGAACGAAGCCCACTGTAGCTGAGCCATAGAGAATGAGGGGGAAGAGCGCATCATGGTAAGGCTCTAGAGAGGTAGGCAGAGCCTCACAGGGTCTTAAAAGTGAGTTAAGACCTTTGACTTGCCACCATCGGGTTTTAAGCAGGGTGGTAATTCTCCCGTTCTGCACAGGACCTCTACTAATGCCACCCCATGAGGGAAGGTGGTCTTTTAAACCAGAGGTCAGCATATTGCATGCATGCACATTAAATGTCATCATAGTTAGCTGAGTCTATTGTTCTAACCTTCTGAGATCATTTTGAGCCTTCTTTGTGCCTTCTAGCTTGGCATCATCAGCAATTTGTGGTAATAGAAGGGGGCCCGCCTATCAAGAAATATCAGAGAAAACAAAGGCAGTACAGTTCCACGGGGCTCCAACCACAACACAAGTCCTAGCTCCTGTGGCATTGGGAATTCCAGCCATGGATGTCTGGGACTATAACCCGGATCTCTAATAGACTACAAGTTCAGCAGTGTCATCCTTGCATACTCTAACGTTTTATGTACATATCCTTTTTTTTTTATTTTTTAATTTCCCTTTTTCCTCTTTAAGCCCTCCCTAATAAAGGACGTGGAGAGGAAGAGTTCCTTGCTTACTTCAACCATATAAACTGGATTTTTCTTTTCTTTTCTTTTTTTGAGACAAGGTCACTCTGTCACCCAGGCTAAAGTACAGTGGCACAATCATAGCTCACTGCAGCCTCAACTTTCTAGCTTCCTATCCTCCTGCCTCAGCCTCCCAAGTAGCTGGGATTACAGGCACATGCAACTGGACCTGGCTTTATTTTTTTTGTAGAGACAGGGTCTTGCTATGTTGCCCAGGCTGGTCTTGAACCCCTGGGCTCCAATAATCCTTCCACTTCTGCCTCTCGAAGTGCTGGAATTATAGTCAGGGGCACCATGCCCAGCCTATAAATTGGATTTCTTTTTTCCCTGAAGAAATTTTTATTGTTTTCTTCCTGCTGTCTGATGTGTTTTAATAAATAGAATGTTTGTCTTTTGTTTGCATATATTCCAAGAACTGTCAGAAACTCAAGGCTTGATAAGTATTTTGAAGAAAGGAAAAACTCCAGTTATTCTTTGAGGTCACAGCATCCTTTGGGTCTGAGCAACTATCACAGAAAACACGACTGCTCTGTTCCTGTCGCGCACAGCTGCCCCAAGATGAACTGGAACTAGTAGCTTTTTGTTACAAACTGTGTTCAGGCATTTTTTGCTTAGTTGAGGGTTTGTTTTTTGCTTTTGGCAGATGATCCCATGCACAAAAATAATCCCCAAATCACCATTTTTACCTTTATCCATTATGAACTGGGCATGTTTCAAGCATCCAAAATCCAACTTTTTGAAATGATATTTCTAAATTCGTAGATCTTAAAAAATCAAAGTAAGGAGTTGTTGGACTTTAAAAAAAAATTTATTTATATTTGTCAGGAAAATAACCCAGAGAGGGAAAGAAGGAGAAGAAAAACATAAAGGAGAAAAATCATGCCTTCTCCATAGCTCTCATTCCAAGCTTGAAAAACTATTTTAAAAATTATGAATTTGCTTTATCAAATTGAAACTAAAAGAAAAGCAATTCCTGCCCCCAAAATAAGTAATGAACCAGGGGAAGAGGGTGATGCTGAGGACATAGATGTGTGCCTTCTGCTCAGGCTCAGGTGCTCTCTACAAGGTCACAGTGACCCATTGAGGCACATTAGCTTCCTTCTAGACTCTTGGTCAGTTTCTCCAGCCTGCCTGCAAAGAAATGAAGAGGGAGCACTGGCAAGAGGGTCTGCTGAAACTCAGAGGTCCCATGCCCCCGTGCCCCACTAAGTATTCCATGATGCCAGTTTCAGAAGAGACAGGAGCCCAATCTATGCCAACTGCTTGAATAGTCATCCCTGGGCCCCTCTCCAGATGCTTAGAAAAACAACTCGTTTCAGAATCTTACCAAGGGTAGGTGTGAAGTTCACTGCCCATCCCATTCAGAAAGGATCCCTTCTTTCTGGAAGCTGCGATCAATTGGGCCGCCATCTTCAGCATTCACGAACTCAGGCAGAACCCAGCAATTGCTGCCTGGTGAGGCCAGTCCTTCATTAAATCAGAGCCCATGACCTCACTTTCAGGCCCTTAACTAAGGAGCAGGCATCCAAAAGCAAAAACCTTCATTTGGAAGAAAATAAATTTTTCATGAAACTTTTTTTTTTCTTTTTGAGACGGAATTTCACTGTTGTTGCCCAGGCTGGAGTGCAATAGCGTGATCTTGACTCACTGCAACCTCCGCCTCCTGGGTTCAAGCGATTCTCCTGCCTCAGCCTCCCAAGTAGCTGGGATTACAGCCATGCACCACCATGCCTGGCTAATTTTGTATTTTCAGTAGAGACGGGGTTTTGCCATGCTGGCCAGGCTGGTCTCGAACTCCTGACCTCAGGTGATCCACCCGCTTCGGCCTCCCGAAGTACTGGGATTACAGGCGTGAGCCATCGCTCCCGGCCCTGAAACATTTTTTAAATGCAAAGAAAGTGCCAAAATGTTTTCAGATTTGAGGCTCAAATGTGGTTCGTGAAACATAACCAGCTGACCACTGGAACTTGAAGTTCGTGTCTGGCATGTGAAGTGCTCTAGGCCCCGCCCAGCAGCCCCTCTCTCTCAAGTCAGACAAGGTTCTAGAGAATGGTCCATGAATACCTTGAAGAGATCCTCGAGTCCACGCTGGCTGCAAGATACTCATTAATAACAAGTCCACGGGGAAGCAAATCCTCCAAGACTGTCAGGCTGGCTCACTGCTTGCCCCACCTCCCGGCCCTTACCTGGGGGTGGGGACTTACGAAGGGACTGAGATCGTGACTCTGTTACCGTCTGACTGATTAAATCCAGGTGCTCTGTTTACTTTGGAGTGCAAAAAAACACACCAAGAGCTTAAAACTTACATTTACAGACAGGAAATGGCCCCCCAGGGACACGGATGTCTGAAACCTGAAGACCAAGACAGGCTTCTTCTCAAACAGGGAATGTTTCTTCCAGGCTGGGGCCCAGGCCTGTGCCTCATGATGGAAAGGGGACCTCGGCCTCCTCACCTGGGACAGTTCAAGGCTCCCTGAGTTATAAATTACATATTTGAAATGTTCTTAGTCTGTCCTCACTCCTTCTATTTAAAAGCAGATGGTTTAAACTTAATCCCAGCCATGCTGTCTCAAAAGAGATGGTCCTTGTAAACTGGCCATTCAAATCTCTCTGAAAACATATTCTGAATGCACAGCAAGAACAAGGGTGGTATCAGGGCAGCCAGAGAGGGTAGCTGGAAAAGGGAAGATGCGGAGACAATAACAGCCTCATTAAACCTAATCACTTTCATTGCTTATTGAGACACGGAGATTGGAAGGGGAATTTGTGGAGGGGTTTTCTGAGTCCTTTGTACTAAAGTGATCCCCTCTCCCTTTCCCCCTTCCTCATGTACTCACTCACCACATCCCCATCTCCCCACCTTCACATCAATAACACTGAGAAGATTATTATCATTATTATTATTATTATTATTGACATAGGGTCTGGCTCTGTCACTCAGGCTGGAGTATAGTCGTGTGTTCTCAGCTCATTGCAACGTCTGCCTCCCAAGCTCAAGCAATCCACCCAAGTAGCTGGGAAGCCCAGCCATTTTTTTTTTTTTTTTTTTTTTTAGAGATGGAGGTCTCACCATGTTGCCCAGACTAGTCTCGAACTCCTGAACTCACAGAATCCTCCTGCCTTGGCCTCCCAAACTACTGGGATTACAGGCATGAGCTACTGCACCAGGCTTGGAAAGATTATTTTTCTAAAAAAAATCTTTTTCTTCCTTGACATATTAGGCACCCTTATCTCTGCTATATTTCCCTTTGATGAAATGTGTCAGGAAGTAAATACCGTATCTTATGGTCTCCTTCAATAACGCCCAGTGTCTATTAAAACGTTAAGCATACAGTAAGTACATGAAGCACCTTGCTTGCACAGCCTCCAGCTTGTGCACACTGGGAGCACTCCGCATTAGCAACAAAAATCCCACTGCACAGTAAGCAAGGTATGCAGGGTGAGTCGCAGTCCTCCCAGTGGCCTTTAGTCTCCTCGGCTGTCAAGTGAGGGCAGAGGATAGGGTGACCCTCAGGCCATTCCTGCTCCAGAATGACAGTTGCCATGTCTGCCTCTACTCACAGAGGCTGCATGCCTCCGAAGCCTTCAGTTTAAGCTGTCTCTGATAACCCACCAAATAATGCAAACAATAGAAAAAAGACTAGAAGGAAACTGGCTAAAACATAACAGTGATGTGTCCATTTTAGAGCTGTTGGTTGTAAGCCCTAACGGTCTACTTTAAACAAGAAGAGTTGGCTGGACTGAATCGAAAAAAAAATGCAGATCAACAGGGTTTTTGGAAGGACAGACGCAAGGGCAGGTTTGAAGAATTTCAGGAGATGGAGCTGTGAACAGTTCCACCGTGTTGCCAATGTCTAAATGACTCATCTCTGGCTGATTTTATTCCTGATATCGTCACTACAGATTCCCATTCCTGGCGGAAAAGAATCATTTGGTCCATCTGAATCACATACCAGCTCCTTCGGCTATGTGGGCAAAGTGCAGATTGACAGCCCAGCCAGGACCACAGTGGAGCAGGGGAGGCCCCCTAAGGAAGGAAGGCTGTGTAGACAGAATCAATAGATTCCATGAGATGTTGGAACCTCTGGGTTATCATAGTTTTCCCCCGCTTTTTTTTTTTTTTTTTTTTTTGAGACAGAGTCTTGCTCTGTCACCCAGGCTGGAGTGCAGTGGCACGATCTCAGCTCACTGCAACCTCTGCCTCCCAGGTTCAAGCAATTCTCATACTTCAGCCTCCCAAAAAGCTAGGATTACAGGGATGTACCACCACATCCAGCTGATTTTTGAATTTTTAGTAGAGACGGGGTTTCACCATGTTGGCCAGGCTGGTTTTGAACTCCTGACCTCAAGTGATCTGCCTGTCTCGGCCTCCCAAAGTGCTGGGATTACAGGCGTGAGCCACCGTGCCTGCCCTTCCTCTGCCTTTGATGCTTTTCTGTGATGTCTAATTGTTTCAGACGTTCAACTCCTACAGTTTTTGCAACTGTATGTGTATTTCTGTGCATATATATGATATATGTTCTAATATATAAATATACTACACACACACTTGAGAATAGCAACACTGAATTCTCTCACCCCTTAGTATGAGTGCATTTTAATGGAGGCTGTTTTCTAAGAACAGCGGTTCTGTCCAGCACAAAGATGCTGAGAGCCCTGTGGATGGAAAGAGTATAACACATTAAAGGTGACAGGTGCTCAATCAGTTTCGTTAAATAAAAACTGGATGAGGAAAAGCTACAGAAAGGGAAGATACAAGCCAAATACTTCACATGCTGTCCAGTACATCCACCTGCAATGACCCAGGGGATCTGACAACACCCCCTTCCCCAACTCTACTGCTCTGCCCCTTCTCTTAAGAGGAACAGCTAATAGATTCATAGATCTATTAATGCTTTGAGAATACTTTTTCTATCTTTAACCTGTGGTTGCAAATAAAGCAGATACTAAGTCTCCTCCCACTCCACATCATTGCCAGCCCCTTAAGCCAAAAGCCAGCCTTATTCCTGTAGGACTGGCATGTTGGACAAGCTCCACTGGTGGAATAGGATCAAAGCACACCTCTATTTTTTGACTCCCACTAACTCGTTAAAGTTTATTGAGCAGGGGAGGCTTTTCCTCTGCCCAAGGTGAAAACTCACCAAGTCAATGACTTGTCTTTGTTACTTTTAGCATAGAGATAGTCTTGTATTCACTGAGTCACAGAGCATGTTTCCTCAGTTTGAAAAGTGTCCTACCCAAAACATTAACCCACACTTCATTCTCCATTATCCTCCTTGATAAAGCCTAAGATGGGCAGCCAGTCTTTGGGCAGAGGATAGCCACTTCCAGTCTCTTTCTCCACTAGTCTCCTCCCCCATTCACTAGCTGCTGTTTGGGAGCCTGCCAGGGTTTGAAGGAGGTGGGCGGGGTGGGGATTAAAGGGGAGAGGTGAAGAATAGGACAGTTCTCACCTGGGTGGATGCATCCCTGCTTTCCTGCAGGCAGTTGGTGAAAGTGGACTCTGATGGGCATCTCCACGGGTCCTTTGGGGATTCCCAAGCTGGGGCTCCCCAGATCTGAGCATCCCACTACTCAGATGTGAATGAGGCTCTCCTTCAGCAGACCATGCTACACCTAGGTCCTCTTGGACAGGACTCAAAACAGGTCCAAGTGACCTACATGTCATCCATAGGGGAAAGTTACGGAGCCCTTGTTCCACCTTTGGATAGAGAATTCCTTCTTCACGTGACCTCTGCTCCTCTGTCCCACACAGATCACTTAATGTTCCTAGCAGCAAGCCAAGCTCCAAGCCTGGAGCCCCCAGCTGCAGGGAACACATCCCTACCTTGCTAAAGGAGTTCTCTCTCTCCCTCTCCTTCTCCTCTGTCTCTTTCATTTTTTTTTTGTTTTGTTTTGTTTTGGTAGAGATTGAGTCTCACTATGTTGCCCAGGCTGGTCTGAACCTCCTGGCCTCAAGGAATACTCCTACCTTCGCCTCCCAAAGTGCTGGGATTACAGGTATGAGCTACTGTGCCCATCTTGAGTGAAAGACACAGCACCAACAACCCTTGACTTTTGAGGGCAGAGTGGGGACCCCACAGATGGCAACTGCAGAAATCCCCTCATCCTTGACTCTCTCCCCGACATGCTCCTGACCCCTTTATATTCTCATCCTGGGGAAGGGGTTCCAGAGTCTGTGTTTTCAAGTTGGCATTTTAAAGGTTTCTCCTGAGTAATGTGTTCTCACACTCAACTGAGCATCTAATGTTTTACATCTGGGTCAAAACTTGAATTTTAGTAACCTGTCACATTCAGGTCCTTACAGCTTTTACATATGTTACCTATCAAACTGAACCTGTTCAACATTCCGATGGGGTTTTCAGCCCATTTTATAGATGAGAAAAGTGAGGGTCAGATAGTGATGGAACATACCTGACGTCACTCAGCAGGCACCTGAGGGAGGCCAGATTCGAGCCCACACCCTCGCTCTCTCTTCCCTACATTGCATCAAGCTGGCCTTCAAGGAGGAGGAAAAGTCTGTCCTGCTCTGCAATGTGGGATTCAATCCATTCCTCATAGGTCACTCTGGTCTTTGACTGTCATTTGGCCCCAGTAGAAGAAAAATACCTTCCCGTAAAACAGTTATTCAGCATTGCCCAGGGGACAGAAATGACTCATACCTGAAGCCAATCTGTAAGTGCCTCAATACTCATTCTAGAATTCAGATCATATAGGTGTGACTGGCCTTAGGTAAATTCAGAATCCACAATGATACAACAGCTGAATGAGAGGATAGTACTATTTCTTCTGTAATAAGATCCACCTAAACTTTCCTTCAAGAAGTGAAGTTTCCTGAGCAAATTCAATAACTTGATCCCCCAAGGCCTCAGAGCCCTGAACTCCAAGTCATAGAACAAGTGCTGTCTTGGAATGACTCCCTTCCTCTCCTTCTGCCCTGGATCCCACATCCAGTGGCTCTAAAGACAATGAGAGTCTTTTTTTGGGGGATGGACTTTAGCTCTTTCGCCCAGGCTGGACTGAAGTGGTGCCATCTCAGCTCACTGCAACCTCCACCCCCCAGGTTCAAGTGATTCTCCTGCCTCAGCCTCCAGAGTAGCTGGGACTATAGGCACCTGCCACCATGCCCTGATCATTTTTGTTTTTGTTTTTGTTTTTGTTTTGTTTTGAGACAGAGTCTCACTCTGTCTCCCAGGCTGTACAGTGGCTCGATCTCGGCTCACTGCCAGCTCTGCCTCCCAGGTTCACGCCATTCTCCTGCCTCAACCTCCCCAGTAGCTGGCACTACGGGTGCCCGCCACCACGCCCGGCTGATTTTTTGTATTTTTAGTGGAGATGAGTTTTGCCATGTTGGCCAGGCTGGGCTCGAACTCCTGAGCTCAGATGATCCACCTGCCTCGGCCTCCCAAAGTGCTGGGATTACTGGCATGAGCCACCATACCTGGCCGAGAGTCACTTTGAAAAGAAACTGCTCTCTTGGTCTAAGAAGGCAGATTCACGGCCACCCTGGCAATACCCTGCTATGAGGAAACCCTGCACAAAATGGCCCAAAAAGTCCTAAGGGTGATTGACACTGGTATATTTTTCTTGCAGGGAGTAACTGTTGCCAAAAACATTTGAAAGTCTGGCTAGTTTTAAGGAATTTGAACTTTACTTTTTCCCCAGTCAAGGACTTAGCCAAGACAGGGATTTTATAGCAAACAGCAGAAAAATGGAGAAAAAAGATATAAAAAAAAAAAAAAGGAAGAGAGCAAGGAGGACAGGTGGGAAAAAGGAGAAGGGGCCTCAGAACAGGGAGGACATTGTCCCCTGCCTTAAAGATGTCAGTTACCTGTTCCCACGCCACCCACCTGTGGCCACACAGACCTTGTCTTCCCTGACTCGTGGGCTCCACAGCTCTCTGGGCTCAGAGCCACCCCTCGGGTCCTCTGGCCTAGAACACCTTCCACCCCCACTCCCACTTCAGCCCCATCTCTGCAGACCTCATCTGCTCTGGAATCAGAGCCATGACCAGCCCGGGGAGCAGCTGCTTCCCCTGAGTATGTTCTTCAAAGTCATCACTTCCTAAGGCAAGCTTGTCTAACCTGCGGTCCGCAGGCTGCATGCAGACCAGGGCGGCTTTGAATGTGGCCCAACACAAATTCATAAGTTTTCTTAAAACATTGTGAGACTTTTGGTTTTTGTTTGTTTGTTTTTAGTTCATCAGCTATCATTAGTGTTAGTGTATTTTATGTATGGCCCAAGACAATTCTTCCAATGTGGCCCAGGGAAGCCGAAAGATTGAACACACCTATCTTGGGTGGTGTGACAGTCATTAAGGCTAGGAAGAAAATACATGGGAAGAAAGCAAGACCAGGAGACCCAGGAAGAAGTTTATCAAACACCGCTGGCTTTTTTAGAGGGTTTAGCCAGACTCCAGTGGTACAGACCCCAACTCCTCTCCTCCACACGGCCCTGCCCAGGCTCAGGTCTCCTCCGTGCACTCCTGTCTGGCTTCTCCTCTTTTGTCCCCTCTCCAGGAACACCCACGGTGCTTCAGGCTGCAGCAGCACACACTACATTTATGACATCGCCTTGGTGCCATTTTGTATGAATTAATCTTAGGAAGACACTGCTTGCCCAGGTTCAAGTGGGCAGATTCACTGCGGATCTCAAGTGGAGTGCAGACTCACTGGGGTCAAGAGTTATATACTGTTCTCTGATCACCGGCCCCTGCAACATTCCTTGCCCCTCCAACCCTACCTAAGTGAGCAGATAGTGGGCCCCCTCAGATATTTTCTGGAGGATTCCATGTCCTTCTTTCTCCACACTGTACCCCGTGGACTCCAGCCCAGCAGCCAGTGCTTTCAGAGCAGCCTCATCAGAGCTGCGGGGCTGAGGTTAAGTCTGCCAAGCTGTTACAGGACAGGGATCCCGATCCAGATCCCAAGAGCAGGTTCTTGGATCTCATGCAAGAAAGAATTCTGGGCAAGTTCACAGTGCAAAGTGAAAGCAAGTTTATTAAGAAAGTAGAGGAATAAAAGAATAGCTACTCCATAGAGCAGCCCCGAGGGCTGCTGGTTGCCTAATTGTATGGTTATTTCTTGATGATATACTAAACGAGGGGTGGATTATTCATGCCTCCCCTTTTAGACCATATTGGGTAACTTCCTGATGTTGCGATGGCATCTGTAAACTGTCTTGGCGCTGGTGGGAGTGTAACAGTGAGGACGACCAGAGGTCACTCTCGTCGCCATCTTGGTTTTGGTGGGATTTGGCCGGCTTCCTTACTGCAAACTGTTTTATCAGCAAGGACTTTATGACCTGTATTTTGTGCTGACTTCCTCTCTCATCCTGTGACTTTGAATGCCTTAACCATCTGGGAATACAGCCCAGCAGGTCTCATTTTACCTAGCTCCTGTTTAAGATGGAGTTGCTGTGGTTCACAGGTCTCTGACAAAGCCACAGACCTGGACCAGAGCTGGGGGCTGCCAGGCTTATCCGTTCGTCCATGCTGTCCCTCTGTGTGTCCCCAGTTTGTTCCCTGTCTCGGCCATCAGATGGCACCACTATTCCACAGGTCACCCAGGACAGTTGGCCAGGTTTTGGAAGGGGCACTCACCACCCTGCCGCTGCCCCTCCTTGCGTGGGTGGCATTCCCAGAGCCAGCTGTACCCCTGCGGGCTGGAGCTGGGCTGGCCCTGCCAGCTGCATGGCACATGAGGACGCAGCCCCCTTCTGTGTGCTGAGGGCCATGAAGCAGTGGGGCAGGGGCTTAGTGGGACCCCCAGCGGCTCTCGACTAGGGAGGTCGAAGAGGACAGCGCGAGGAGTCTGGCTTCATCATTGAAACATTGGCTTTAAGGAAGCTCGAGGGGTCTGGCTTCATCATTGAAACACTGGCTTTAAGGAAGGTTCCTGAGGCCCCAGATCCAGGCTTCCTTCCTCTCCATCCGCCCCACCCCCACTCCCACTTTCCTGATTTGAGCAGGACATCCAAGCCTGTGCTGAGTATTCCCTAATGAGGGTCATGGTAGACAAAGGGGAGAATGTGCCTGGAGTACTCCCTGCCCAGGAAGCCACATTCCCCAAATCCTAGAGCATTTTCTTCCTAACGCCACTTCTATTAATAAGCCTTTCTAGTAACGCTCAGCAAAGACACCATTCTAAAATGTATTTCCCCAATAAATGTATTTTGCCAATTGGTCCTTCTCTCCCGAGGCATAAAAATTGGATGATATTAAATAATCTTGATTTCAATCTAGTGCAACCAGGGCTCTTGTCACAACACCCCAAGACTTGTCCTACGACATGAGTATCTGTTGCCTCTGACCTTGGCCATGGGTCTCCACGTACTTTCCTTGTTATATAATTCTAGGGTTGTAAACAACCTGCAGGGCTTCTAATGGTGAGAAAGAGAAAGAACAAAGGAACACAACCCTTAAACAATTTACTAACAGCTTAAAAGATACTAATATTTTAACTTAAAAGCCACATAGTCAATCTAGTATATGTGAACTGCACGCCAACAATCACATAAAAATACAGAGCAGACAGAATGTGCTATTGTAAAGTATATTTTTGTTCTTTGACCCCCGTTTCCTGGCATACAACTTCTAAAATCCTTAGAATCTCCAGAGTGATGTCTTCTTGTATGCCAATGAACTGGTGGCTGGGGGCCCCTGGGTAACCCTGGGTTGGGGGTTAGACACTAGAAAGAGGAAGGCAGGATTAGAGGGTTGGGAGTTTCAGCCCCATCCCCAGCCTCTTGGGAGAGAAGAGGGGCTGAAGGTTAAAATGATCGCCAATGGCCAGTGGTTTAATCAATCATGGCTATGTAATGAAGCTTCCATTAACAACCCAAAAGGTCAGGGTTCTGAGAGATCTTAGGTAGCTGAACACCTGGAGGTTCCTGGAGGGTGGTGTCCCAGGAGGCATGGTAGCTCTGCGCCCTTCCCCTACACCTTGCCCTGTGCATCTCTTCGTCAGTGTTCTTTGTACTATCCTTTATAATAAACCTGTAAATGTGATTCCCTAAGTTTTGTGAACCACTCTAGCAAATTAATTAGACCCAAAGAGGGGGTTGTGGGAACCCTGATTTATACCTGGTCAGTCAAGCACAGGTTAAAACAACCTGGCGCCTGTGATTGGCATCAAGAGTAGGGGTAGTCTTGTGGGACTGAGCCCTCACCCTGGGGAATCTGACACTATCTCCAGGTAGATAGCATCAGAGGTGAATTGGATTGGAGAATGCCCAGCTGGTGTTCACTGAAGAATTGATTGCTTACTTGCTGGTGGGGAGAAACCCCCACATTTGGTCCCAGAAGTCCTCTGTGTTGATTTTTTTGGGGTAAGAGAATAGAAAAAGCACTTTGGTTGTTTTTTTTCCACTCACACAGGGGTTGATCTATAAGTTCAGCCTTATTTTGAGTCCATGTAATCCCCAAGACAGGCCGGGCACCTGTAATTCCAGCACTTTGGGAGGGCAAGGCGGGTGAATCACTTGAGATTAGGAGTTCAAGACCAGCCTGGCCAACATGGTGAAACCCCGTCTATATTAAAAATACAAAAATTAACTGGGAGTGATGGCGCAGGCCTGTAATCCAGCTACTTGGGAGGCTGAGGCACAAGAATCACTTGAACCTGGGAGGCGGAGGTTGCAGTGAGCTGAGATCGCACCATTGCACTCCAGCCTGGGTGACAGAGACTCTGCCCACCCCCCCTCAAAAAAAAAGAAAAGAAAAGAAAAGAAAAGAAAGAAAGAAAACTCCAAGACAGATTCTGAATTTTAGAGGGGTGTGTGTGTGTGTGTGTGTGTGTGTGTGTGTATGCACTCCCACACCCTCGTCTCCCTCTCTCCCTCTGTCTCTATACTCTCTCTCTCTTTTCCTTCCTTTCTCCCTGCCTCTGTCTCTCTCACCAGCACACCCTTTAACCTAGAAACTAGACACGAAGGGAAATCTTCAGGAGAGCTACTGGGGTCAGAAGCTCTCTCCCGAGACTCATGGAATGTTTTTCCTAATGCCAGACTCTAGAGAAAGGGGCTTAGGTAGATGTTGGCATCCCAACTGCTTAGGCTTAAAGTTGATACCTGCAGGTTGGTCAGGGTCGGGCACAGACACCACCACAGAACATTGAGTCAGTAGAAAAACTGACTCTAAAAAGGAACCATAAAACTTCTCTTCTGTCAGGTGCTAGATCTTCCACTTGTCACAGCCCCTGAGGCCGATGCCTTTTTTTAGCTGCCTCCAGCTCTCAGAATAACTGCAGGGAAGCTGCTGAGCTTGTCAGGGCCTCAACCTCAGCCTCTTCATCTCTTGGTTTACATCTGCTCAGCCTTAGCTGAGGAGCACGGCTCAAGTTCATCTCTCCCTCCAAGGGCAACTAGAGACATGGCACAGAGACGCTTCCCACTCACTTCTGTCTTTGAACTCCGTATCCTTAGCCTGCTCCCTTGAAGTTTCCCCTCTCAACCAAAGTCCTACATTTTCTGGGATGAATAAGTAAATACAGGCCAGGTGTGGTGGCTCATGCCTATAATGCCAGCACTTTGGGAGGCTGAGGCAGGAGGATTGCTTGAGCCCAGGAGTTTGAGACCAGCCTGGGCAACATAGTGAGATCCCATCTCTACCAAAACAATCCTGAAAAATAAATAAAAATAAATCCATAAAAATTTTAAAATTGGTATAGAAATTCTGAAGGGGCCAAGATGGTCAATTAGAAGCAGCTGCAGTCTGCGGCACTCACAGAGATGAAAGGGGCGAGTGAATTCAGCACCTTCAACTGAAATACCCAGGTTCTCACATTGAGAGTGACTAGGCATACGACTCGACCCAGTGAGAATGAAGAAAAGCAGGTGGGGCAATGGCCCACCCAGGAGCAGTGCAGAGGCAGAGGAACCCCCGTGCCCCGCTAAGGGAAGTAATGAATGATTGTGTGACTCCACCTGGGAAGTCACGCTTCTCCCACAGATCTTTGCAACCCCTCACGAGATCCCCTCATGATCCCACACCACCATGGCCTGGGTCTGATACACAGAGCTGTGTGGAGTCTTGGCAGAGCAGCCGCTCAGGCACACACAGAGACCTAGGAGTTTTACACACTCTGGCTCCAGGATCTCCATCAAGGTGGGAGAAGTATCCATCCATATCCCCAGAAAGGGGGCCGAATCCAGGGAGGCAAGTAGCATTGTTCCATGGGCCCCACTTCCATAGCACCTCACAAGTTAAGACCCATGGCTTGAAATTTCTGTCAGCCAATGGCAGTAGGCTGGATTCTGCCTGAGATGTGACCAAGTTCCCAGGGGGAAGGGCGGGCACCATCTCTGCAGTTCGATAGACTCAGCCATTCCAGCGTGCCAGCTTTGGAGAATCCAAATGGTCTGGACAAGGAAGGGTCCTCCAGGGCATCACAGCTGCCTTGCCAGATCATGGCCAGACTGCTTCTTTAAGTGGGACCCCATCCATTACTCCTCACTGGGTGGGATCTCCCCGCAGAGGTTTCAGCCACTCCTGCCAGCCACAGTTCTACAGATAGAGCTCTGATTTATCCCTGGAACAGAGCTCCCAGGGACAGGGGTGGCTGCAATCTCTATGGTTTGCTTGACTCAGCCATTCCAGCCTGCCAGCTTTGGAGAATCCAAATGGTCTGGATGAGGAAGGGTCCCTCATAATACAGCACACCTCCTCCACCAAAAAACAGCCAGACTGCTTCTTTAAGCACGTCCCTGATCCTGTTCCTCCTGTCTGGGTGAGATCTCCCAACAGGGATCTCCAGTCACCTCCTATAGGTGCGCTTGGGCAGACAATATGTCAGTACCCCCTTGGGATGGAGCTTCCAGGAGAAGAAGCAAGATGTCATCTTTGCTATTTTGCAGGCTTCACTGGTGATACCTCTGGGTACAAAAAACTCCAAGGCAACTAGGGTCTGGAGCGGACCCTCAGCAAACTGCAACAGCCCTACAGAACAGTGGCCTGACTGTTAAAAGAAAAACAAATAAACAGAAAACAACAACAACATTAACAAAAGAGATCCCACAAAAACCTCATTCAAAGGTCAGCAGCCTCAAAGATCAAAGGTAGATAAGCCCACAAAGATGAGAGAAAATCAGCACAAAAATGCCGAAAACCCAAAAAGCCAGAATGTCTCTTCTCCTCCAAATGACTACAATACCTCTCCAGCAAGGACACAGAACTGAGCTGAGGCTGAAATGGCTGAATTGGCAAAAGTAGGCTTCAGAAGGTGGATAATAACATACTTCACTGAGTTAAAGGAACATGTTGTAATCAAATGCAAAGAAGCTAAGAATCATGATAAAACAATACAGGAGCTGATAGCCAGAATAGCCAGTTTAGAGAGGAATATAACCCACCTGATGGAGCTGAAAAACACAACACGAGAACTTCTTAAGTATCAACAGCAGAATAGATCAAGCAGAGGAAAGAATCTCTGAGCTTGAAGACTATCTTTCTGAAATAAGACAGGCAAACAAGAACACAGAAAACAGAAAGAAAAGGAAGGAACAAAACCTCCAAGAAATATGGGATTATGTAAAGAGACTGAACCTACAACTGATTAGGGTACATGAAAGAGACAGGGAGAATGGAACCAAGTTGGAAAACATATTTCAGGATATCATCCAGGAGAACGTTCCCAATCTAGGAAGACAGGCCAACATTCAAATTCAGGAAATGCAGAGAACCCCAGCAAGGTAATCCACAAGAAGATCAATCCCAAGACACATAATCATCAGATTCTCCAAGGTTGAAATGGAAGAAAAATTGTTAAGGCCAGCCAGAGGGAAAGGCCAGGTCACCTACAAAGGGAAGCACATCAGACTAACAACAGACCTCTCAGCAGAAACCCTACAAGCCAGAAGAGATTGAGGGCCAATATTTAATATTCTTAAAGAAAAGAATTTCCAACCCAGAATTTCATATTCAGCCAAACTAAACTTCATAAGCAAAGGAGAAATAAGATTCTTTCAGACAAGCAAATGCTGAGGGAATTCTTCACCACCAGGCCTGCCTTGCAAGAGCTCCTAAAGGATGCACTAAATATGGAAAGGAAAAATCATTGCTAGCAACTGCAAAAACACAGTGAAGTATACAAACCAGTGAGACTATGAAGAAACTACGTAAAGAAGTCTGCAAATAACCAGCTAGCATAATGATGACAAGATCAAATTCACATATAACAATACTAACCCTAAATGTAAATGGGCTAAATGCCCCAATTAAAACGCATGGAATGGCAAACTAGGTAGAGTTAAGACCCATCAGTATGCTGTCTTCAAGAGACCCATCTCACGTACGAAGAAACACATAGGCTCAAAATGAAGTGATGGAGAAAAATTTAACAAACAAATGGAAAACAGAAAAAAGCAAGGGTTACAATCCTAGTTTCTGACAAAACAGACTTTAAATCAACAAAAATCAAAAAAGGCAAAGAAGGGCATTGCCATAATAGTAAAGGGTTCAATTCAACAAGAAGAACTAACTGTCTTAAATATATATGCACCCAATACAGGAGCACCCAGATTCATAAAGCAAGTTCTTAGAGATCTACAAAGAGACTTGAACTCCCTCCCACAATAATAGTGGGAGATTTTGACACCCCACCAACAATATTAGACAGATCATTGAGATAGAAAGTTAACAAAGATATTCAGGACCTGAACTCAGCTCTGGATCAAGTGGACCTAATAGATATCTACAGAACTTTCCATCTGAAAGCAATAGAACATACATTCTTCTCATCACCACATGACACTTACTCTAAAATTGATCACATAATTGAAAGTAAAACTCTTCTCAGCAAATGCAAAAGAACTGAACTCATAACAGTCTCTCAGACCACAGCACAATCAAATTAGAACTCAAGATTAAGAAATTCACTCAAAACCACACAACTATATGGGAACTGAATAACCTGCTTCTGAATGGCTCTTGGGTAAATAATGAAATTAAGGCAGAAATCAAGAAGTTATTTGAAACTAATGAGAACAAAGAGACAATGTACCAGAATCTCTGGGATGCAGTTAAAGCAATGTTAAGAGGGAAATTTATACCACTAAATGCCCACATCAAAAAGCTAGAAAGATCTCAAGTTAACAACCTAACATCATAACTAAAAGAACTGGAGAACCAAGAGCAAAAAACCCCCAAAGCTAGCAGAAGACAAGAAATAACCATGATCAGACCTGAACTGAAGAAGATAAAGACATGAAAAACCCATAAAAAATGAATAAAATCCAGAAGCTGTTTTTTTGAAAAAATTAATAAAATATATAGACCTCTAGCTAGACTAATAAAGAAGAAAATAGAAAAGAATCAAATAAACACAATCAGAAATGATAAGGGGGATGTCACCACTGACCCCACAGAAATACAAACAACCATCAGAGAATACTGTAAACACCTCTATGCACATAAACTAGAAAATCTAGAAGAAATAAAAAAATTCTTGGACACATACACCCTCCCAAGACTGAGCCAGAAAGAAATTGAATCCCCGAATAGACCAATAATGAGTTCTGAAATTCAAGCAGTAAATAGCCTACCAACCAAAAAAAGCCCAGATCCACACAGATTCATAGCCGAATTCCACCAGAGATACAAAGAAGAGCTGGTACAATTTCTACTGAAACTATTCCAAAAAATTGAAAAGGAGGGACTCCTCCCTAACTCATTCTATGAGGCCAGCATCATTATGATACCAAAACCTGGCAGAGATACAACAACAAAAAATTTCAGGCCAATATCGTTGATGCACATTGATGCAAAAATCCTCAAAAAAGTACTGTGAAACTGAATCCAGCAGCACATCAAAAACTTATGGATCACCATCACGTTGGCTTCCTCCCTGGGATGCAAGTTTGGTTCAACATATGCAAAACAATAAATGTGATTTATCACATAAACAGAACTAAAGACAAAAACCACATGATTATCTCAATAGATGCAGAAAAGGCCTTTGATAAAATTCAACATCCCTTCGTGTTAAAAATTCTTAATAAGCTAGGTATTGAAGGAACGTACCTCAAAATAACAAGAGCCATATATGACAGACCCACTGACAACATCATACTGAATGGGCAAAAGCTGGAAACATTCCCATTGAAAACTGGCACAAGACAAGAATGCCCTCTCTCACCACTCCTATTGAACACAGTATTGGAAGTTCTGGCCAAGGCAATCAGGCAAGAGAAAGAAATAAAGCATATTCAAATAGGAAGAAGGAAGTCAAATTACCTTTGTTTGTGGATGACATAATCCTATATCTAGAAAATCCCATTGTCTTAGACCAAAAGCTTCTTCAGCTGATAAGCAACTTCAGCAGTCTCAGGATACAAAATCAGTGTGCAAAAATTGCTAGCATTTCTATACACCAACAAAAGGCAAGCAGAGAGTGAAATCATGAATGAACTCCCTTTCACAATTGCTACAAAAATAATAAAATACCTAGGAATATAGTCAACAAGGGAAGTGAAGAACCTCTTCAAGGAGAACTACAAACCACTGCTCAAAAAAGTCAGAGAGGACACAAACAAATGGAGAAACAGTCTATGCTCATGGATGGGATGAATCAATATTGTGAAAATGGCCATACTGCCCAAAGTAATTAATATATTAAATGTTATTCCATTAAACTACCACTGAAATTCTTCACAGAATTAGAAAAAACTATTTTAAAATTCATATGGAACCAAAAAATAGCCTGAATAGCCAAGACAATCCTAAGCAAAAAGAGCAAAGCTGGAGTCATCACACTACCCAACTTCAAACTATACTACAAGGCTACAGTAACCAAAACAGCATGGTGCTGGTACAAGAACAGAAACATAGACCAATGGAACAAATAGAGAACTCAGAAACAAGACTGCACACCTACAACCATATGATCTTCAACAAACCTGACAAAAACAAACAATGGGGAAAGGATTCCCTAGTTTTTATTATTATTATTATTATTATTATTATTATTATTATTATTATTATTATTGAGTCAGGATCTCACTGTTGCCCAGGCTGGAGTGCAATGGCGCAATCTCGGCTCTTTGCAAATTCTGCCCCCCAGGTTCAAGCAATTCTCCAGCCTTAGCCTCCTGAGTAGCTGGGATTACAGGTGCCCGCCACCACACCCAGCTGATTTTTGTATTTTTAGTAGAGACAGGGTTTCACCGTACTGGCCAGGCTGGTCTCTTGGGCAGGCTGGTCTTGAACTCCTGACCTTGTGATCTGCCCGCCTCAGCCTCCCTAAGTGCTGGGATTACAGGCATGAGCCACTGCACCAGGCCCAGGATTCCCTATTTAATAAATGGTTCTGGGAGAACTGGCTAGCCATATGCAGAAAACTGAAACTGGACCTCTTCCTTATACCTTATACAAAAATTAACTCAAGATGGATTACAGACTTAAATGTAAACCCCAAACTATAAAAGCCCTAGAAGAAAATCTAGGCAATACCATTCAGGACATAGGCATGGGCAAAGATTTAATGATGAAAACAGCAAAAACAATTGCAACAAACGCCAAAATTGACAAATGGGATGTAAGTAAACTAAAGAGCTTCTGCACAGCAAAAGAAACTAGCATCAGAACACAGGCAACCTACAGAATGGGAGAAAATTTCTGCAATCTATGCATCAACAGAGGTCTAAGATCCAGAGTCTATAAGGAACTTAAACAAATTTACAAGAAAAAAACAACCCCATTAAAAAGTGGGCAAAGCACATGAGCAGACACTTCTCAAAGGAATACATACATGTAATCGACAAATATACGAAGAAAAGCTCAACATCAGTGACAATTAGAGAAATGCAAATCAAAACCACAATGAGATATGATACCATCTCATGCCAGTCAGAATGGCTATTATTTAAAAGTCAAAAAACAACAGATGCTGACAAGTTTGTAGAGAAAAATGAATACTTTTACACTACTGGTGGAAGTGTAAATTAGTTCAACCATTGTGGAAGACATTGTGGTGATTCCTTAAAGGGTAGACACAGAAATACCACTTGACCCAGCAATCCCGTTACTGGGTATATGCCCAAAGGAATATAAATCATTCTATTATAAAAACACATGCATGCATATGTTCACTGCAGCACTATTCACAATAACAAAGACATGGAATCAACCTAAATGCCCATCAAGATAGACTGGATAAAGAAAAGTGGTACATATACATCATGGAATACTATGCAGCCACAAAAAGGAAAAAAATCATGTCCTTTGCAGGGACAGGGATGGAGCTGGAAGCAATTATCCTTGGCAAGCTAATGCAGGAACAGAAAACCAAACACTGCATGTTCTCACTTCTAAGTGGGAGCTGAATGATGAGAACACATGGACACAAGGAGGGGAACAACACACATGGGGCCTATCAGGGGTGGGCAGGGAGGAGGAAGGGCATTAGGAAAAATAGCTAATGCATGCTGGGCTTACTACCTAGCTGATGGGTTGATCTGTGCAGCAAATCACCATGGCACATGTTTACCTATGTAACTAACCTGAACATCCCTGCACATATACCGCTGAACTTAAAGGTTGAAGAAAAAGAAATTTTTTTTTAATCAAAGGACTTAAAAATCCTGCACTTCCCAGTTATTTTCTATTAGCCAGAATGAGTAAGGAATTCTTGCTCTCTGCTCCTCTTGGCTTACTAAGGAGGGAGGGAAGCCAGCACTGCTCATGCTATTCATGGAATCAAAAGAATCTTCGCAAGTCAGGTCTCCACAGTGGTTTCCACTCGATGCCCCCTGACCACTCCCTCTAAAATTTCTCCTCCCCATCTCACTCCAGCCTCCTGCCAACCCTTCCTCTACTGTCTTTTACTTCACTGTACTCGCCTCCACCTAAATCATATGAGCTATTTATTCGTTTACCTGATTGTGCTCTGTCTTCTCCTCTAGAATATGAGCTGCTTGAAGGCAAATACTGCCTCACTTGCCTCTATAGCTGCAAGCATGGAGGAGAGCCCAGAGTGCAACAGGAATTCAGTCAATGTTTTCTGAATGAATGAATGAATGAATGAACAGATGAATGGATGAAAGGAGGGAGGATTGCTCCCCTGCCTCTGCTTCTCCAGCTCCCGCTCCTCTCTCGCCCTCATGTGCCTGGGCCACTCTGGTCTTCTTTCTCTTTTAGAGACAGAGTCTCACTCTGTCGCCCAGGCTGGAGTACAGTGGCGCGATCTCAGTTCACTGCAACCTCTGCCTCCCGGATTCAAGCAATTCTCTGCCTCAGCCTACCAAGTAGCTGGGACTACAGGGGCCCGCCACCACACCTGGCTAATTTTTGTATTTTTAGTAGAGACGGGGTTTCACCATCTTGGCCAGGCTGGTCTTGAACTCCTGACCTCATGATCCACCCACCTCGGCCTCCCAAAGTGCTGGGATTACATCTGGTCTTCTTGTTGTTCCTCTAATCACATTTCTGTCCTCAGGCTCCTCACACACCTAAGGTCCCTCCAACTCTCTAATGCTCACTCCTTCCAGATCTCAGCCCCAGCGTCTCCTTCCCACCACTCATGTCCCCAGCTGGCCTTGGGCCCCATCACACACCTCCCACCTCCCTGGACTCTTTCCACAGAGCACTTATCATGGTTTGCAATATGGCATTTATTTGAGAGACTATTTACTCCATGACTTAGTCAAAAACCGCCTTCTTGCCATCATATTCCCAGTTCACAGCTGTGTCTGGCACACAATCAGTGCTTAATAAATATTTGCCTTTAATATTTATTATGATTAAATGAGCAAAAGTTTCCTCCAAACCCTTGAGTTTTGGGATAAAGGGTACAATTTACAAACATAGAAGTTTGTAATTGTCCCAGATTACCAAGTTTTTTAAGACTTTCTGGGTAGACTTCCCCAAACTTTCCTACTTTCATAAGCCAAGCCACATAGGATTAGACCCATCATTTTTCAGCTATATGCTAGCCATGATTTTCTCAAGTGGATGATCAGAAGAACGGAGAGGTGAGGTCAGGGGTGGGGAGTGGGGTGGGGAATAACAGGGGAACAGGAGGGTTTGCTCAAGTAAGAGGTGAAGGTTACTGGGTGACTCAGAGGCTTGGGCCTTCCTTAATATTGATGACCTTCCCGCCTCCCACCATCGTATTAGAAAAAGACAAAACATAATCTGTTATCACAGAAAAAACCTCAGTGATTAATATTGTGAATATATATCTGCTTTTACTTATTGCCAACAGATTAGCAAGACACCCTTGATCCAATTTTATAGCATTTTGGAACCAGTAGGTATCTAGGGACTTAGGCAATCTGGCCCTCTAATTTTACAGACAAAGGCACTGAGGTCCATATGTTACCCAAGTTGACCAAGCAAAAATTATAATTCAGTCCCATCTCCTAGAACCATATGCCTTTATCTTTGTTGCAAGTTTTTTTTTTAATTTGCTACATTTTCCTACATTGTTTGTTGTAGCAGAATATGGTTAGTAACACAGGCAAATGATTATTGACAAGCACAACATGTGCTTATTAGCCGCATGTCATTGCTTCACTAGGGTTTCCCCAGAGCAGCCTCAGAGACAAATTGATGGGGAGGTGAACTCAGGAAGCAGAGGAGGGAATGGGGAAGGGAGACAGGGAAGGGAAGTAAGTCCCCAAGGTGGAGCTAATGGGCAGTTTTCTGGGTGGACCAGTGGGGCTTTATCCAACTGGGCAAATCTCAGATTTGTCCCATGGAGAGCAAGGCAGCGGGGTCAGTTACTTGCCAGCTTCTCTCCTGTATCACTGGAGGGCTGCTGTGGTTCCTTAGCTGTGACGTCCCAAAACAGAGGGGCCACGAGGGAAGCTGGGATATGTGGAAACTGTCTGCAAGGCAGCCTCCAAGTTAGGTCTAAGGGCATCTACAGACTTTCCTCTTGCCACTCTCCTGGAGTGTGGGAAATGCGAAGCCTGATAAGGCATAATGCCTGATTTCAGATCCCACAACCAGGAGGGCCCTAGAAATCATCTAGGCCAGAGGTCTGCAAAGATTTTCTGCAAAGGGCCAGAGAGTAAATATTTTAAGTTTCATGGATCGTCTGTCCTCTGCTGGGAGAACCAACTCTGCCATCGTAGTATAAAAAGTAGCCGCAGATAAGATGTAAAACATTGAGCATGGCTGTGCTCCAATCAAACTTTATTTACAAAAACAGGGTGAGGTGTTGGATTTGGCCCCAAGACCATAGTGTGCTGATCCCTGATTAGACAACCCTTTTTATTTTAGCATGAAGAAAATTGAGACCCACAGAGCTTCTCAGGGCCACGGTTCAGGACTTTGTGGTGGTGTCAGAGCTGGGAGGATCAAATCAAGTCTGGCTTTCAGTCCAGAGCACTTTCCACTCTGCCCCATCCAGTCTTCTCCCAGTAGGGGCTTTTCTTTGACTGCTACCCACCCTGCACTGACCTCCTGGACATACAGAGGAGGGACAGCCAGAGGAGTGTGCAGGAGCCCCTGCTTTAGAGGCTGTGCATCTTGGATTTCCCAGATCTTGCCATCTGCAGAGATACTCCTTATTCCACCTGGATCCCTTCCTGCCTCAGCTGTGCCCATTTTCTACCTCTTCTAAGTTAAAATCCTAGCACTTTGGGAGGCCAAGGTGGGCAGATCACTTGAAGTCAGGAGTTCTAAGTGAAAATCAACCTGGTATTGATCTATGAAAGTTTTCAGAAAACTCAGAAGGCCACCAGGGATTCATCCATGCCAGTGATGCTGTGTATAAAGCCAGGTACACAACATGTGTGAGACCCCACCTCTCTCTTACAACATATATTATTAAAAGTTTCTTTCCGAATTCTAGCCAAGCATTTATGGTCAGGACAAGCAAATAATTAGGAATAACATGCTTACTTTCTTCTCCTCTTTTTTTCTCACCCTGTGCACCCAACACACACACAGACACACACACACATACACACACACAGACACACAGACACACACACACACACACACACATGTGCATGCATGCACATGCATCAGTAGAGGAACCAAACAGAAAAGAATACAGAACGGAATAGTGTTCTCCTCAGACCGAGTGAAATTAACTCTAGTGTAAATGACTTTGTAGAGTCAGGAGAGCAGGGTCTGAACCCACACTTTTCCATGTGTTTGCTGTTTAACACTGAACAAATGACATAACTTCCCTGATTCCCCCAGTCTTCTTATTTCAAACTCGGTAACACTGCATGCCTCATGGGTTTGTTGTGCAATAAATGTGAAATCACATGACCTCTGGGAGGCTGTTACCAGGCCAAGTCCATAGCAGGCACTCCACGAACAATGGGTTGCTCTCCCTGACCACAAGGAGGATGTGATTCCATGTGTTCCCTGCTTCTCCCCTGCCTAAAACTCCTGCCTAGTTTTCTTTCTTTCTCTCTCTCTCTCTCTCTCTCTCACACACACACACACACACACATGCTCTTTGTCACATTCAGACACTTATTTCTGGCTTCTATCCGGTGGTTGCACACCCTCCCAACATCGCGAATCTTGGAGACACTAACCAGGATGTGCTGCCACCCGCTCTGTTCCCTGTGCAGAGTGGCAGGAAAGCTTGACCTGGGCACCTGAGCTCGGTGTGTCTGTGCATGGGGGGAGTGGGACAGCACAGGACAGGGCAAGGGGCACCATCTCTTTTTCCTCTTCTGAAATCACTGGAAGTAAATTTCAAATTTTTGTCTTAACAATATCCTGAGAGCCCTGTGATTAATGCTGAGCATGCTTTTGAGATGGCCTTGCTTGAGCCAGTTCAGGTTTTACACAGGTAGGTTTTCAGTCTGAAAGGACTCAGGACTCTTTCCTGGTTTCAAATTGCTGTTTCAACCAATGGAACCAACCAGAACTTACATCCTGCTATCCCAAACCCTGGGGAGTGAGAGCCGCACGGGGCAGGCTTTCTTTATTCCTTTGTGTTGCTATAAAGAAATACCTGAAGTTGGGTAATTTATAAAGGAAGAAGGTTTATTTGCTCATGATGATGCTGGCTGGAAGACTGGGCATCTGGGGAGGGCCTTAGGCTTCTTACACTCCTGATGGAAGGGGAAGGGGAGCTGGCACATGCAGAGATCACAGGGCAAGAGAGGAAGCAGGAGAGGAGAGGGGGCCCAGCTCTTCCTAACAACCAGCTCTTGCAGGAACTAGAATGAAAATGCACTCATCCCCCAGGAAGGGGATTAATCTATTCATCAGTGATCTGCCCCCTGACCCAAATGCTTTGCACTAGGCCCCACCTTCAACATGGGGATTAAATTTCAACAGAAGTGTGAGGGGACAAACATCCAAATGACACAAACATCCAAACCACAGCACTGCCCACAGCCTCTCTCATTAGTGGAGGGGAGATGAGTTGCCTACAATAGGAAAGGCCTGTGGAAATCTCCTCTGAAAACACAATGTAAGCCTTTTTAAAAATTATTATTTATTTTTATTTAGAGACAGGGTCTCACTTTGTTGCTCAGGCTGGAGTGCAGTGGCACAATCACAGCTCACCGCAGCCTTGACTTCTTGGGCTCAAGAGATCCTCCTGCCTCAGCCTCCTGAGTAACTGAGACTACAAGTGCATATCACCACACCTGGCTAAATTTTGCTTATTTTTTGTAAAGACAGGGTCTCACTATGTTTCCCAGGCTGGTCTCAAATTCCTGGGCTCAAGCGACCCTCCTGCCTCAGCCTCTCAAAGTGCTGGGATTACAGGTGTGAGACACCGTGCCCGGCTAGTGTACACGGTTTGATGTGCACGCTGTGCTGGATCTCTTCTGCTTTGCCCTCTAGATGGAATTTCTATCCTCCACTCTGCCATGAGCTCCTGAAAACTGGACATGTGCACAACAGCAAGCCCACATAACTTCTGTCTTCCTGTTGAGTTCAGCCCAAGAAAGATCGGGAAATCTACTTCCTCATGCCCCTCCCAGGGGTACCGCTGCAAGCTGGCTGCAAGTCCTGCCGGGCTGGTTCTGATACTGTCCCCTGCCCTTGTTCCTTAAGCCCAGTGGGGGTAAGACCTCCCCAGTTCCAGTCCTGTGTTCTTCACTATACTTCGTGGCCAGCCTACACTCTTCCCACACCTTTGTAAAAAGCCCTTGTGTTAAACACCCTCTCAAATCTCCCGGTTCCAGCATGCCATCTGTTTCCTGCAGGGACCCTGGCTGATCAGGTACAGCACATGGCAGAGGAATGTTCAAGACTGGAGGTCTGCGGGGAACAGACCATCTCCCGGCAGGTTCAACAGGGGATGCTGCATCAGGCCCAGAGGACAGGGTCTGAAGATGCTGGAAGAAGGGGATGAAGAGGCTACATCCGGAGGCAGAGAGGATGGTGGTATGATGGGGATGGGGTGTGGCCACTTCAAATCCTCTGCCCCAACATTAGCAAGAGGGAGAAGCTCAGGACATCAGTCCAGGTTCTGGGAGAGCACCAGGGACACCTGCAGTCCAAATGAGGAAAGCGTCGCCCCCACTGGCCAGCTGTCACCACAGAGCCAAATGGGGAAATCAATCAGGATTATGATTATGGGATACAGGTTGGGGATGCTCTAAAAAGAGCCCCCAGCGTTCACGACAGTTTTCCAGTCAATCTGAACACAGGTAGAGCAGCCAGTGAAAGGTTGCAGCTCTTCCCAAAAGGATGTGGGGTCAGATTCGGAGCCTGGTGCCACTGACAAGTCCTGCCTTGCCTTTGGGGACAGATCCAAGGCCCTAGGACAAGAGCCAGAGGCTGAAGAAACTTGGAAGAAACAGCTGCCCGGCCTCAGGAAGAGGGCCCTTCTTTCTTGGTGGGTTGTCTGGGAAGAAAGCTAATGTTTTTGATTGTAGGCAAGCAGGGTACCAAAACTACATCCCTTGTCCCTTCCCTAGCACAAACAGAGAAACCTTGGAAAAGGAAGCCAGACACACAGCCAGTCTCCAAAGTGGGGCACACCATCTCCAAATGGATTACATGACCCATTGAGCAGCCTTCACCGTGGATTATTTAGGCACTGTTAAGAGTCAGGGCTCTATAAATTGGATGTAAAATGCATGCGGGTTTCCTGTAGTTTATCAAGCTGGTAACTCCCTAAAACCAGAACACAGAGCAAGAATATGCCAAAGAGCTGAAGAAGGAGGAGATGAAAACTTTCTAAAGTTAACGCTGGATTCAGAACCCAAGATTTAGCACCCTGCTCACCCAGCCCACGGGTATTTAGGGGAGGGCCCACTTGACCTTGGCCTCAAAGGCAGGAGATGTCGCCCCTGGTTATTTTTTATGGATTCATCATGCACAATTTACTTGTTTCCGCAGAGATTTATATTTTTAATCTGGACTGACTCTTGCGCTCTCTAAATTTACTACCTTGGAAACAACAGTACTTCCTTTTGTTTATTCTACACTGTACTTCTTTCAAGCCGTGAAGAGTGTTCCTGAACTGGGTGTTCTGGAAAAGCTCCCTCCGGCTATTCCCACTCATCAGTTTAGTAGGCTTTGGTCATATTTGCTTTGAGTTTCATCCATCCAGCCCACCTGTATTTATTGAGCACTTACTATGTGCCCTGAATTGGGCATCTCTGCCTCCACTACACTCATTTTTTTGGTTCTTTTGATTGTTCTTCACTCTTTTCTTTCTTCACTTACCCATCTAAATAATTTCACTGGGCGAGGTGCAGTAGCTCATGCCTGTAATCCCAGCACCTTGGGAGGCCAGGGAGAGAGAATCACTTGAAGCCAGGAAATTGAGACCAGGCTGAGTAAGAAAATGAGATGCCATCTCTACAAAAAAAAAGAAAAAATTAGCTAGGCATAGTGGTGCGCTGGTAGTCACAGCTACTTGGGATGCTTCTGAGGAAGGATCGCATGAGCCTGGGAGGTCAAGGCTGCAGTGAGCTGTGACCATGCCACTGCACTCCAGCCTGGGTGGCGCGGTGAGACCCTTTCCCTAATAATAATAGTAATGATGATAGCTTCACTGACCTGCAAAAATTAAATAAGCATATCACCATTTTCTTTTCACAAAAGAGGGAACCAAGGTGCAGAGATATTTCATTCTCAAGAACTACTGCAAAGCTGCAGTCTCATCTGAAGGAGATGAGTGTTGAAGTTTGCAGACTTGGGTTCAAATTCTGGCTCTACTGCTTACCAGCCAGGTGACCTTGGGTATGTTGAGGAACTGCCCTGAGCCTTAATCTCCTCATCTGTAGAATGGACGTCATATCACTTCTCTCAAAAGATTCTGAAGAATTAAATAAGAAAAAAAAAAAAAGAATTAAATAAGAAAACACTTGCATGTGACATAGGAGCAGTTCTTCATATGAATCCAGGCCACTTGTTTGCAGAAACATGGCCCTTCCACTACAAGAAGGCATAAGACTACAGAGGCAGGACAGGGACAGGAAGGCAAGAGTTAGATTCATTGATTTCCTGACATCCTGCACATTATGAGAAGGAAACAAAATTAACCAAATGCCAAGCACAGCTTTCCCCTAAAGTGGGAGTGTCAGCATCCTCTCTCTCCCTGGCCAACGTCTTCCTTCAGAGGGATGTCATGCAGAGAACAAGGAACCAGAGTCACGAACGGGCCGGGCCCTTGTTTCAAGTCATAAGTTAATGCCACCTTTGGCTGGTTGCCATTTTGTGAAATTGTAGGAAGATGTGTCAGTCTTTCAGTGTTTGATCGCTCTCTAACCTAAGAAAGAATTTCCCTCTAGACCTGGACATGAATGTGAAGGCTGGGGGCATATTTGGTACCCAACTGAGAATAGAACTCTTGCTAAGCAAGAAAGACTCAAAGCCCTTGAGAAAGATTCATGGCGAGGACTGTGCAGAGGAAACCGACTGTTTAAGGACACCTTCCAGGTCTGTGTGGGTCCAGGGCAGGAGCCGCAGAGGGGCAGACCCCCAAGGTGATCAGAGCACTTGATTGTGGCAAGGAAGGGCATGTGGTCCCTTCTGTGCCCCATAGGTGAGATCAGTAGTGACCAACCTGGGGCCCACACTTGTTCTCTGCAGGCTTGCTAGCAGATGGCTTGTGCTGTGTCCTCCCCTCAGTGTCATCCTTTTAACAAGAATCACAGAATTGAAGCTTTCAAGGGTCTCCGGGTAGCAGGTGGTGGAGGCTCCGCTAAGGCTCTGGGAGGTGTACTGGAGTTGAAGTGAGAGGCATCACCCTGGGAGGGTCTCTCCCATCCTTGCTCCTCCCCTGTCCAGTGAGGGACTAGATCAGCACTTCCCTCAAAGTCTGCTGCCTGGACCATCAATTTCAAATGACCAAGGTCCATGGTAACGGTGTGGATTCCTGGCCCATGCAAGCTGACTGGGTGATTCTACTAACTTTGAGAACCCCAGACACAATAATCAGTAACTCTCTTCCAGACCTAATAACACAGAACTGCGTGACCACACACAGACAAAAACACCTCCAGCACCTCACCTTGTCACCTTTGGAAAGACTGGGCCCTGAGTATCAGAGTCTGATCAGAACACCACCCCTACCACCTTCATTTCTTTAGCCTAAAGCTCCGGCCTTCATTGAAATAAAATCTCATGCAGTAAATTGTTATCAGTCGTTTATACCCCCAGGAGCCTGAGCTTCAAATAATTTGCTGAGGACAGATGTGAGCCCAGAGAAAAACCAGGAGGGTAGGGTGGGGAGATGGGCAGGAGAGGGGAAAGTGTAGGGGAGAGGGTCCAGGGACCTAGAAATTTCTGAGATAAATATTGCCCCATTCACAATTTCAACTATGGCTGGTGCCGAATAAGAACGAATCTTCCCAAACAGGCACATACCTAGTGGTTCTCGCCCATCCTACTTCGGGAGTTTGTTCCTGACCTTGCTACTTGTTTGAAGCTTAGCACATCCTGACCGAAGCCTTAGACCCTGCTTCCAACAGAATTTGAACTGGAAACTAGTGTTTGCCCAAGGCTTTCCTGCTGAAAAATAATATTTGTGGAAGGACAGAGCTGGCTCAGAAGTTCTGAGCAGATCCAGAAGCTTCTCTTTCACAGTCTGTGTCTGTGTAACCGGCCACTCCTCATCCACAACTCCATTCATCTCTCATGTTTTGGCACTTCTGGGGGACATTCTGGCCCCTTCAGACCCTCAAAAGGGAACCAGGAAAGAGTATACAGGGCTTTTTTTTGCAGGGCTATGAATACCCTCACTCAGAAAGGGTCAGGGCAGGTACCAAGCTGTCTTATCCAGAATTTGGTGCTGTTTTTGCTTGCTCTTTGAAGCTACTTAGGCTTCCCTTTGCACTCCTGTGACTCTTTAGAAGAGTCCAATTCCTCCTTATTTATTTATTTCATGCTGACTTCTAAGCTCCCCGACACCCAGTGAGTCCCCTCTTCCCCCAGACACATCCCCGTCCCATCCTCCCTTCTCACTGTGCCTGCATGTAAGGGCTCACTCAGCCCTTTCTCAGATCTGCTGGAGGTGCTCTGCTCCTTTAAGGGGCTCCTCACAGCAGGACGTGGGACCACAGCCTACAGGACCGGCCAGCCATTCTGACAGGTGAGAGCCTGGATCCCTGCTCTCCAGAACCTCAAGAAGCTCAGAGCCTGAACGTGCTGACACAAGGGGCTCCCTCTCTCACAAGGACACTCTGTGCCAGATGCATTGTGCAGAGTACCTCCACCATGACCAGGTGATTTAGGCATCCTTGTGCTTTCTGCAGATAAGGCGAGGGGGACTCTTGGAGGTGACCTAGCTTGCCCAATGTCCCGCCCAGGCACATGGAGAGCTGTGATTCTAAGTCAATGTCTCCAACCCAAAGCCCAGTGCCCTTCACATCTGATAGGGACAAGACAGCAATACCAGGAGGGACCTGCAGGTGGAGTGGTGACATGATGGAAGCAGTAGCTTCTGGAAGAGCTTCTGGAATCCATGTGTGAGATGGACTGGGAGGAAGATGAGTAAAGATCGGCCACAACGGGGAGGCGGTGAGAAGCATCAAAATGATTAGGTGACTTCGTGGATGTAAATCCTTTTCCAGGGCAAAGCTAAAAACAACTCTTTGTGACAGGAAGGGGTTAACTCTCTCAAGAGAGCTCAATGACTACCCAGTCTCAGAGCCCCTGCTGTGCTCAGGCAGAAAATGGGCAGGAGTAGCCCAAGGAATACTTTATTGATGCGGTGATCGGCCTCACATGAAACTGCAGTTTGTGGAGGGCAGCAAGCAGCCCAGACTGTGATAGTTGAAGCAGGTTAGAGCTGCATAACCCTAAACAGCAGAGTTTTATCAGTCCTTCAGCTCCTGTGCCCTCCCAGCTCCAGACATCCACCAGCAGGCTCTAACCTCAGGATTTCCCATGGTGCACAGAAGACTTGTCCTGATTTGGGATAATGGAGACAGTGTGACCATGGTGGTAGTTGGGAGTGGGAACTGTTCCCTGAACCCAGCCTGAAGCAATTTTAAAGGGCAGGGCCACCCGGGGCCCAGGGTCTGCAGCTAGTTAAAAAAATAATCTCTGATGAGGTCTCAAGGTTTGGCTCTTTTTCTCTCCACTGATTTCTCCCAGACAGACCAGATGGATTTGGTTCCAGGTCAGCGTGTTCTCTTACCCTTCAGCTCAGCAGCCATCCATTTCTCCTGTCTACCTCTCCTAACTATCTGCAGTAATAAAATCCTACCTTGAACAGTGCATTCTGATTTGCAAAGCTCCCTCAATGCACGATCTCATTTGGTCTTCTTAACAATACTAAGGTAGAGGTATTTTTTCCCATTTTACGGATGAAAACCTGAAGCTCAGAAGCTATCACTTGCCCAAGGCCATAAAAACTGAGCCCAGGCACGACACAGTGGTGCCTGTAATCCCAGCACTTTGGGAGGCCAAGGTGGGCAGATCATCTGAGGTCAGGAGTTCGAGACCAGCCTGACCAACATGGTGAAACCCCATCTCTACTAAAAATACAAAAATTAGCCAGGTGTGGTGGCACATGCCTGTAGTCCCAGCTACTCTTGGGAGGCTGAGGCAGGAGAATCGCTTGACCCCAGGAGCCAAAGGTTTCAGAGCCAAGATTGCGCCATTGCACCCCAGCCTGGTCAATGAGAACAAAACTCCATCTCAAAAAAAAAAAAAAAAAACTGAGCCCATAACTTTCCTCCAGATAAGCTCTTCCTCCAATTTCCTCCATACTAATGATCGAATCCACCAACTACCCAATGATTCATGCCAGAAGCCTGAGAGACAGACACCTTTGACACTGCATCTTCTCTGAACTTCCTCTCAGCAGTTACCAAATCCCATCATTTTTAATCTCCTAAATAAGTCTCTCCATCTCCACACTAGACTGTCGCCTCCCTCACTGTGATGTCTCCCCAGAGCCAACAAGGCAGCCTCTTCTCTGGTCATCCAACACTACTCTTGCCATATTTGTGCCATTCTCACAGCATGCTGAGTGTTGTTTCAGAACTGAAACCTGCTCATTTCATTCCTTAAGTTAAAACTCATACGAGGTCCCCATTATTTCTAGAAGAAGAAGAAGAGAGGGAGGAGGAGGGGGAAGAAGAAAATGCTTAACATGACTCCCAAGCCCTTTATGGTCAATCCCTGTCTACGTCTTTATCTTTACCTTCATCACACCTAATTCTTCCCACCATCCCCCTGAGCTCCAGTCACATTAGCCTTTCTTTAGCTCTTCAAATGTGCTAAACAGTTCCTGCCGCAGGATCTCGTACCTGCTATTCCCTCTGCCTGGAATATTTCAATCCAACCTCGTTTTGCTTAGTTAAATTCTTACTCAGGGTCTCAACTTCAACGTTATTTCTTCAGAAAAACCTTCTTTTATCTCCCCAAAAAGGTTGCGTTACTCAGTTCTGTACTCTCATATCTCTTCATATTTCTCCTTCATGACAGGTGTCACAATTGTAATTAATTATTTGTGTGATTGTAACAATTGACTGTGGGCACAAAAATACTGCATAACAAACTGCTTCAAAATCCAGTGACTTGAAACCATATTCCCAGGTTCTCATGGGCTGCAGGTCAGCTGGGCATGACAGGTCTAGTTCAGGCTCAGATGGTGGCTTCATTTCAGGATGCAGTGGCGGGGTGGCCACTCTGCTTCTCATTGAGGTTGGTGAGCCACTGGGACCAGCCTCTGCTCCACACGTCTCTCACTCTCTTCAGCCCAACTGACTTCAGTGGGTTCTTCTCGTGGTGATGGTAGGGGCAGAAGAGGGCAAACAGACGTGTGTGAAGCCTAGGCTTGGAATAGGCACAAGGTCATGTCTGCACCATTCCACTGGCTAAAACCAAAGTCAGAGGGTAGGAAAAAATATGCCTCATTCCTTTAGTAGGACAAATTCTAAAGTCACATGGCAAAGAACAAGGACAGAGAAGGGATGTGAAATATTAGGGCAAAGAATGCAATCTACCCCAGTACTTATTGAACTGCATTGAACTCCGTTTTTTCATTTAAATGGTAAAATCTATGAATACATAGTTTTCTAAACTGCATAACAAATTACCACAAATTTAGTGACCTGAATAACAGGTGTTTATTATCTCACAGTTTCTATGAGTCAGGAATTCAATCATGGCTTAGCTGGATTTTTTGTTCACAATCTCATAATGCTGCAATCAGGGTGTTGACTGGACTGTGTTCTCATCTGAAGGTGTGACTGGGGAGAAATCCACTTGGAAGCTCCCTTAGGTTGTTGGCAGAATTCATCATGTTGCTGCAGGACTGAGGGTCCTGTCTTCTTGCTGGTCGTTGGCTCAGGGCTGCTCTCATCTCATTACCACATAACCCTTTCGGTGGACTGTTCACCACATGGCTGTTTGCTTCTTCAAGGCCACCAAGAGAGCCAGATCAAGTCTTCCCAGAGTAACCACAGGAGTGATATCCCATCACCTCTCCCGTATTCTTAAAACTAAAAGCAATTCAGAGATCCCACCTATATTCATGCAACTGGTACTATATAGGTTGTAACAACAGGGAGTGGAGATCATGGGGACCACCTTAGAATTCTGCCTACACACTGTGATGATAGAAAGAGATGGACTTCATCTGTCCTGGTATTTCAATATTTCTATGCTTCACACAATACCACAAAGATAGTTTGTGTTCAGTAAATATTAGTTGAAGGGATTAATGAATGAAAAAACACAAATGATGATAGTGGAATAGGACTTAGGTCTAGGTCTTTCAACTCTGACTCTAAAATTCTCCCATTATCCCAGCTGCCTTCTCAGCCCACTTTTCTGCTCGGTCCCTCCCTCTCACATCATGTCTTCATTCCCAGTGCTTCCTAAGTTTTAACTCCACCACATTGTCTTATCTTTTTTTTTTTTTTTTTTTTTTTGAGACAGAGTCTCGCTCTGTCACCCAGGCTGGAGTGCAGTGACATGATCTCAGCTCACTGCAACCTCTGCCTCCCCAGGTTCAAGCAATTATCCTGCCTCAGCCTCTCAAGTAGCTGGGATTACAGGTGCCTGCCACCACACCTGGCTAATTTTTGTATTTTTAGTAGAGATAGGGTCTCACCACGTTGACCAGGCTGGTCTGGAACTCCTGACCTCAGGTGATCTACCCACCTCAGCCTCCCAAAGTGCTGGGATTACAGGCATGAGCCACTGCGCCCAGCCCCACACTGTCTTACTTTATCTATCATTCTCTTCCTCTGTTTCATTCGTGCCACCACTATTCCTCTCCTGCTGTTTTCTCCTCACTTCCAGGCCCACTCCCCACACTTCCTTAGACTTTATATGATTCCCAGAGCACCAAACTCTTTTAAAGACAATGGGAGAAAGAACAAGATACCTTCCCTACCAGCATAGAGCAAGCACTCCAATAATATGTTTAAATGAGTGAATGATTGAAAGAATGAATGGAAAATATATTTCCAGGAAGAGAAAGACATCTTATTGTCTTGGATGTGTCTGCCTTTTGATGGACCTGAAGGTGGAAATGCCAAATATGAGCAGGGAGACCTGGAAGGGATCTCTGGTGACCTAATGGAATAGGAAAGTCATCTGTTTCATTTAAACTTTGGGGACTGTGTGTCTGTCTGTCTATCTGTTGGGACAAAGACTTAGATAGAATAATAGGAGTTTAACTCACACATATTTGAAAATACAGAGCTCTAGTCCTCTGAGTCTCTTAATTTTACATTCTAATTTATGTTCAGTGTTTTGCACAAAATGTGGATGTCACACTCAAAAACGATGCACTTTTCCACCCCCCACTTCCACATACCACATGCCCTTTCCTGACACCCTCCCAAGAGAACAACAAGACAATCCACTATGGTGGTTAGTTTTATGTGTCCACTTGATAGAGCCATAGGGTCCCCTGATATTTGGTCAAACATTATTCTGGGTGTTTCTGCTAAAGTGTTTTGAGATTAATGTTTAAATCAGTAGACTGAGTAAAGCAGATTGCTCTCCATAATGTGAGTGATGGGGGGATTATTCAATCAGTTGAAAACCTGAATAGAACAAAATTACTGACCCTTGAGTAAGAGAGAATTCTTCCTGCCTATCGGCCTTTGAACTGGAACTACACCACTGGCTGTTCTAGTTTTCAGGCCTTCGGACTTACTGAAGTTAAACCATCAGCTCTCCTGGATCTCCAGCTGGCCTCCTGCAGATCTTGGGACTTGCCAGCCTCCATAATCATGTAAGCAAATTTTTTTTTTTTTTTGAGACGGAGTTTCACCTTGTCGCGCAGGTTGGAGTGCAATGGCGCGATCTCAGCTCACTGCAACCTCCACCTCCCGGGTTCAAGCAATTCTCCTGCCTCAGGCTCCCAAGTAACTGGGATTACAGGTGCCCACCACCACACCTGGCTAATTTTTTGTATTTTTAGTAGAAACGGAGTTTCACCATGTTGGCCAGGTTGGTCTCGAACTCCTGGCCTCAGGTGATCCACCCCCCTCACCATCCCAAAGTGCTGGGATTACAGACGTGAGCCACTGTGCCCGGCCTGATTCTTTATAATAAATCACTCTCTCTCTCCTCTCTTTTTTTTTTTTTTTTCTGTCTCTCCACACACCCACACACACACACACCATTGCTTCTGCATTTCTGGAGAATGATGACTAATACAGTGACCTTCTGAGCTTGCGTCGAGTCAGGGTGTGGAATGCATGAAATGTATAAGGTGAACGGCTGGCTTTGTGAGTCACATCCCAGGTCAAGGACTCAGCATGGTGGGCAGGTCATCACCATCACAAATCTGGCCCTGTCCAGTCTGTTTGTACTGCCATCAAGGCACACAAAAATCAGAGGTTCCAACCACTGGGTTGGGCTAAGCACACTGGGAACATGGGTGAAGTTTACTGGGGGCCAACCTGCTGGATCTCCTATCATCAGCTTTTCTCTGCATATGCAAACTAAAGCTTTATGAAGGAAAAGAGTTCTGGAAGACAGAAAAGCCCTGAGGATCTAAAGAAATAATATCTAGGCATAGAATCGTCACCATAGCACACACGTGGACAGAGAGCAAGCTTGGGGAAGAGGTGTCTTCCTCCAGGTCGTGGTCTCCAGCTCGTCCCCTGAGGCTGTGGCTTGAGCCACAGAGGAATACACTCAACCTTACAGCTGGAAGGACCTGGCCCTAATAAAAATATGCCAGTGGCTTGTAGAAGAAAGAACTTTCCCCAGGCTGCAGTTATCAGAAAGATTGATGTTTTCCATACCCTGGAAGGTGATTTAACTGAGCTTCTGATCAAACACACGACAATCTGGAGTCCTCAACTGATTCGAAATGAAACTCTATTTCCTGTCTTTGGCATCATTTCCTTCCGGTCAACATTTGTTCCACCATTTCCAGGTTGAAGATTATTCTCTTTAGTGGAAAAGACATGGTAACTAGGATTTGATGGGCTCTGTGTTCTCTGAGTCAGAAGGTAGAATAGAAAGAGTTATTATACTCACAACAGTTGACATAGGTTCTGGTCCCACTTCATCAATAACTTATCAGTGCTTTTAAACATATCTGGGTGTCTTTCCCTCTTCTGCAAAATGAGACCTTTAGATTGTGTGCTGATTAAGGTTTATAGGCTAAGGTGTTGTAACAAAGACATGCCAAAGTACAGTGGCTTAAATAAGAAGTTTATGCCTCTTTTTCACCAAACCTAAAATTATTAGGTTGGTGCAAAAGTAATTGCGGGTTTTGCCATTAAAAGTGGTTCAGGGATGGTGGGTTAGCTCTACTCAAAAAGGTCCAGGGAGCCAGGCTAGGGGGTCAACATGTGACTTTTGCTTCTGGATCCAAGGCAGCAGCAATGGGGAAGGAAGGCCCAGGACTTTCCTCTTTAACTAGAATTGCACACATCATTCTGCTCATGCTCATATCCCACTGGCCGGTGTCATTGCCACATTGCCACCTAGCTGTGAAAAAGGCTGGGAAATTCAGTTTGTAATTGAGCGGTCATGTATCCAGCTAAAGCTGGGAATGGGGCAAGGGGGAAGAGAGCTTTATTAGTCAACAAGAAAAGAGAATAATAAATAGGGGGAATGACTCTACCACTGACAACATGATCTTGAAAGTTCTTTTGGCTCTTAAGACAAAAAGAGGCTAGGTTCTTCAGCGATTACACAATCTTTCCCCGGCATTGGCTTTATTCTGTTGTCATTTCCTTACTCCAAATAGTCCATTTTGTTGTTTGACACATTTCACAATCCACAGCTCATTGTGGCCCTGAGTCTCCCTGACCTCATCCCTGTGGACTGGCCTTAGCTTCCATCTTTTGGGGGATCACTCTTAAAATCTGAACTCATCAGCGGGTTTTACAGGCAGTTATGTTGTTTCTTAGATGCCTTCCCTTAGTCTCTTCCTTGCTACTATTCCTGGTTATTAGTTGAATCTTGGAATCTCCTGGGTTATTTTCAGGTTTTTTTCTCCCAGTAATCTTTCTGAAAGAGGAGACATGTAGGTGGCATTTATCTGGTAATGCCCAGATAAATTTCCCTGAGGTTCCCGTACCATATAGTGCCCAGCCCTGGTGGACAGAACCAAGCCTGGGGGAGGAGCCCCCTATATCATTTACCACTCCTTTCAGAAGCTGAAAGAGATTAGGGCAAGTCAGTATCCACAAGGCTTGATTTTCAGTAGACAAGCTATTGTCCCATTACTGCTTCCTCAGTCTAGAGTGAAATTTCGACAACAGTATTTCACCTGAAAATGACCATGGCAAGCTCTTCATGTCCCAGTTTTCTTGCTGATGTTTCTCCCTGTTGACCATGCCCTCTGTGCACTCTTTAGCATGGTCCAGACTCCTTTGGCCAATACATCAGCCAGCACTGACAATGCCCTTGACTATTGTTCTGCAATGCACTGTCCTGACCCTTCAGCGACCTTCTCCTATTCCTTATTCTGGATTCTGGTTCCTCATGAAGGCTCTCATTGTCTAAAGAACAGGAACCTCGCCTGGATGGAAGAAGAGAGAAAACAAAGTGTGCAGAGCTAAGGGAAGAGGGAGGGAGCCAAGGAGAAGACTGAAAAAGAGCAGAGCTTGGCAGGAGCTCGTTCCCCAGGGGCCATGGCTGACAAATTCCCTGAGCCGCAAGCAATGGTAGCCAAGGAAGTGGGTACAGCCAGCTGGCTACGCAGCTCTAGAAAGCCAGAAACTCCGGACTGGTGGGTCCTCAAGAGTGCACTTTGGGGTGCAGAAAAGTAAAATGAGATTCCATCAGCAAGACCTAATGAGAAGGCCACAGCCTCTGGTGAGCAGATGGAGCAGAGAGAAGGAGGAGCCCTGACATTCATCTCCAGGGTGTGGGTGAAGAGCACAGCCAGCCCCAGGGGCACAGAGCAGGTCAGAACCACAGGACCCCCTGTGCACAGCTTGGCAAACTGCCTTTTGGTGGAGAGGGGGCTGGAGAGACCCGGCCAGCCTTGTGGACTTCACAGAGGTAGCTGTTGGTGTAAATCTTTGCCCTGCAACATTTGTTCCTGACCATCCATGTTTTCCAGGTGGGGTAAGGAGGAGATCAGAGCAAAAACAGAAAAGGAGTTCCAAAGGGGGTCTTCTTTTTCTCTGTATCAGAGGCTCAAAATGAGTAATAACCATGGGTGGACTGAATCTAAAATTACCCTGGTTTGAGTTTTGTTCAGTCCAAGAGGAAATGATTGTAACACTTTCCATCAGGACATAGAATTGAAATTACTGCTCCCTCTTTCAAATTTCAAACCACCCACAGAATCGGTTCCAGGTTTAGCAGGGGAAGGAGAGAGGCAGGACAGCAATAATCTGGATCTAATGCAGGTTTTATCTTCGCAGAAAGAATAAACTTTTCTCTTACAGTGCCTTTCATTTAAAGTGGTCTTAAGATCTGATGAGAATCCAGGTCATCATAGAACCTCTTCTGTACTCAAGAAAAAGGAGAGGCAGGAATCTCACCATCCTCCAGCTGACATGTGAGGACCCAGCTGCAAATTGCCCAGAAGGACTGGGGCATGGGGAGAAAGGCTTGGTGACAAGAAGAACATTTAGAAGCACAGTTCTCAGAGGGGCTACCTTCCCAGGCTCTGCCCCTCAGACTTTCAGAGTTAGGCAAGTTCCGTTTTCCAATATTATAGAACCTTAAAATTTTCTCACTGATTCCAGGGCTCCTCAACACCCTGGAGAAGCCCCATGACACAAATCTGTGTCTTTGGGGATCAGAGATATTACCAGGTTTCCCAGAAGTCAAGATGGATCTCAAGACCGGGCACAGTGGCTCTCCCCTGTAATCCCAGCACTTTGAGAGGATGGATCACCCAGGCGGGTGGATCACTTAAGTTCAGGAGTTCAAGACCAGCCCGTCTCTATTAAAAATACAAAAATTAGCCAGGTGTGGTGTTGCACGCCTGTAGTCCCAACTACTAGGGAGCCTGAAGCAGGAGAATTGGTTGAACCCAGGAGGCGGAGGTTACAGTGAGCAGAGATTGCGCCACTGCACTCCAGCCTGGGCGACAGAGCGAGACTCCATTTTCAAAAAAAAGAAAGATGGATCTCAAGACATACAAGCAAATTCCACAATGAGCTTTCCTGCCTATACCCCCGCCTCTACCACAAACATTTTACAGGTGAAGCCAGACTAAAATTTAGTTTTAAATTGGCTGCCTTAAAGAAGAAACACTTTCCAAACGGAAAGTCCAACTATGTTATGTTTGGGGGAATCACAGATGAAGACGAGAAGTGGTCTTCCACGTGTGTGTCATGGGACGACAGCCGGGGAGGGGTTATGGGCTGACTGGATGTGAATTTTAAGCCTTTGGAGGAACTTGTAAACAGTATGAATTTAGTCCATAACTCTTGGGCACAAGAAACAACCCATTTCTTTGTTTCTCTAAATGAGCTTAAACCTGGCTCAGCCTCTTAAGTCACTTTTAATTCCTTTCAGGTCATAAAAAACATCCTGGGGTTTACGCAATCCAGGAAACTTGGGGAAGGGCCGCCTTTCTTCAGTGCCTTGTACTCATTACTTTGATGCTCAATGGGAAGACTCTGCGGCTTCAAATATCCTTCTTCCAAGCCAGGAAGGGAGGTAGTGTTCCTGTTCAAGCCACAGACATCTCCACACTCATCCTACCCAAGGTCCTGCAACCTCCAGCCCACTGTAGGGAGGCAGAGTACACGCAGGTCTCCACTCACAAAGAGCCTGGCACCACTTCAGCCTCCTGTGCAGGCATCTCACTCTTTCTCAGGATGGACCTCCCTTCTCCTTCAACCTGAAAGTCCTCCAGCTCTTGGATAAACCAGCTCCTCCCCAAAACAAGCCTATACTTGTTTCTCCCCTGGGGCGAGGGAAGTCCAGCTCTCGGAACACAGAGCCCTGGCTGTCCTTGAGAGGAGGTGAGAAATGCTGCTCATTCCTTCAGAAGGCTTAAAGCTTGGAAAACAAGAGAGAATGAATTCCTTAGTCAGGCTCTACTGTATGAGGGAGCCCACTCAGCCAACCCTCACCCCCACCAGTGATTTTGTAGCTGGACCAGACCAATCTGGTTCAACTTTTATGTAACAAAGTTGTGAGTTGTTGTTTTTCAGTTGCCATGGACCCTAACCTGAGCATGCCCAGTTGAACCAAGCAGGCAGCCATCCGGGGAACCTAAGTGCTGGGGTTGAGGAGTGGGGACTGAATTAAGGAGTGAATCCAACATGGCAGGATCCAGGATCCAATCAGATTGAGCTCTGGTGTCACCCCATGGCAGGATCCAGTCAGATCCCGCCTCCTGGCATCACCTCATTGCAAGATCCAATCAGATCACACCTCATTACCCTATGCTTATAAAACCTGACCCAGCCCCCAACTCAGAGAGACACTGCTTTGGGAACGATACCTGGTGTTCTCCTTACTTGTTACAAGTGATAACATCCCTTGCTAAATCTTCCTTGGTTGTGGTCATTGGGTTGACACCCACCAAGCAACTGAACACATCTGTTGTGTGGATGATAATTTCCCAGACTCCTGTGTAATGATCAGGGAGGAGGAAGCCCAGGATCCAGGCTCTATTCTCTTTCCTAGATTCTCTGCATAAAGATTCCTTGGTGGGTTCCTGACCAAGTGGGGCTGATCAGGCCCCCTCTCCCAAGTTCTGTGCGCTGCTGTGAACCTGTTGACTTAAAGGAGGCACCTTTTGCTAATTCATGCAAAGTCACCGCATGGCCTGGGGGTGGCCTTATACCTATAAATCTGCATGCCCCTCAGGTATCAGGACAACTTGGAAACACCACTCAGTGTCCTGTGAGGTTCACATTTAGCCTAGGAGTACCATGAGGAAAGGAGAAAATGGGAAGTGCCCTGCCAACACCGGGAACCATTGCCCAGCCATGTGACAGGGTGGAAGATCACCCAGCATGCTTGAGGGATGTGACCCAGCTCAGCTTACCCCTGTGGTAGGTCATGCCAGGCCAAAGCAGAAAAATTCTTCCTTGGGACAGGCTCTTCCTGGAAACCCTCTCCTCCAGCTGGGGAAACATGCTCAGCCTACTGGAAAAAAATGCAACAGGAATTGGGAAATATGGATTGTTATTCCTTTAAATCACCTTGGGAAAATGATTTATCTTCTCTGGTCCTCAGTTTCCCCATCACCAGGATACCAGATCCTGCATAGGGTGGTTAGGGGATCACATTAAATCAGAGGATAAAACTGATAGAAAAAGTACAAAGAACTCCACAAATATAAAATAGGACTCGGAGTACTGCCATATTCAGGGGACCTTTCCTTCTCTTCTAAATCAAATCTGTCCTTTTGTATCAGACCCTGAGCAAACATAGAGTATAGGAGTCCATAAGGAAGTCAGGACATCATAGAAACATTTTTTGATACAGAACCAAATGTCTCCTATGTCAGAAGAAGGCCACATGACCTTCCTCACTCTTTCCAAACTCCCAACCACAGTTTCCAGGAGCTGGAAAAGAATTTGCCTACCCTAGTTTGGGTCAGGTGATGTCCCACCCCTCTAAGCCATGCAGAGAGAGCAGCCCACCAGGGACTGATTCTCTCGAAACCTTCATCTCTTCCTAGTCACATCCAGCCACGTGCCCAGCTCTGGGGAAGAAAAGGGATGGGGGTGGCATTGGCACAAGAGGTCTGGAGGCAGGAGGAGGGGACAGTGAACCCTCAGTCCCCTTGCCAGAGCAGACTTGGACCCTAAAAATAGTTTCATGATGTCAACCAGAACAAAGCCTTCTTTGGCTCCAGGAGTAAAACTTCTCAGTCTGGAATTCAACCGAAGGCTTTGTTACAAATACTTTACATGACAGAACCTATTAATATCTCCAGCTAATTGCTCCCAGTTTTGTAATCTCTGTGGCAAAAATTCCAGCCAGGTCAATAAAGGGGAGTGGATTTGTTGATCGGGGGCCTCCCAAGTTCCTATATAAACTAAGTCACGTTGGCATTTTATCCACCTGAGAAGCCCCTTGCTGTGACTTGATCTTAAGTCTCCGTTCCCTCAGCACCCTAATGGATTCTCCAGGCTTATCATGTTAGGGTGTGACAAGAGCGAATTAAAGAGAGGACACAGAGAGAAATGCATTTTACCAAGGCTTAAAATGAGGCAGAATCTCAGCAAGCATGTTTTGGCGAGTTTGCTTTTGGCTGGATGCAAGAAGGAGCTGCTGAAAGCTCTAACCTTGTGTTTTATAAATCGGATCAATCAAAATCTCCCCTCTAGCTTGTATTAGTGAAGCTCCAGGCTCCCCTCGCTCCCCGGGTAGGAGTGCTAGTCAGGCTCTCTGTTCCCCTGTAAGAAGACCCAAGATTCTCCTGAGCAGAAATGATAGAAATTGAGAATTCAAAAATTAGTGGCAACAGTGCTTTTTCTATGGCTGTGGCCCAAGAGAAGACTGCAGAGAGAAAATAGCTTCAAACTGTATTTAAATGTAAACACATTATCAAAATAAATATAAGTCATTTTTTCCATGTACCACAGAAGGAGCTAGGTGACTGGGAATCATTTAATGCCTGTTTCCCCAGCAATCATGTGAAACAGCTCAGATCAGTGAAGGCAAATCACATTAAAATGTAGTAGTATTCCCAAACTCGACGGGGAACCAGACCATTCCCACCCATACACAGACTCAGTGGCAAGTTACATACACAAAGAGCAGAGTAAATACTCAACCTGGCCAAGAAGTGTTCTTTAAATTGAGTTGGAAATTCTCCCAGACCGTATTTCCTAATGCTTTTTACTTGGTTTCTCTTTTAACTAACGTATCTTTCATGATTTAATTTGCTCATCTATCAAGAAGGTTTCTAAAAGTTCTATCTTATTTTATTTTACTTTTTTGAGGCAGGGTCTCATTTTGCTGACCAGGCTGGAGGACAGTGGCACAAACATGACTCACTGCAGCCTTAACCTCCAGGGCTCAAGCAATCTTCCTGCCTCAGCCTCCCAAGCAGCTGGGACAACAGGCACAGGCCACCAGGCCTGGCTAATTTTTGTATTTTTTATAGAGATAGGGTTTTGCCATGTTTCCCAGGCTAGTCTGAAATTCCTGGGCTCAAGAGATCCACCCACCTCGGCCTCCCAAAGTGCTGGGATTACAGGAGTGAGCCACTGTACCTGTCAGTTTTCTCTTATTTTAAGTTGACAAATAATCATACATATTTATGGGGTGCAATGTGATTTTTGATGCATATATACGTTGTGGAAAGATCAAATAAGGCTAATTAACATATCTATCACCTTAAATAAGTATCTTTTTTGTTGTAAAGACATTTAAAATCTATTCTTTAAGTATTTTAAAATGTACAGTATGTTATTATTAACCATCGTCACCATGCTGTATAATAGGTCAGCAGAACATATGTCTCCTGTCTAACTAAACCTTTGTACCCACTGACCAACACTTCCCCTTTTCCCATCTACACCACCCTTCCTTACTCACATCCCCCAGCCTCTGGCAGCCTCTGGTAACCACCATTCTACTCTTCTATAAATCTGACGACTATTTTAGATTCCACATATAAGTGAGATCATGCAGTATTTGTCTCCCTGTGTCTGGCCTACTTCACTTAGCATAATGTCTTCTGGGTCCATCCATGTTGTTGCAAATGATAGAATGTTCTGCTTTCTAAAGGCTCATCCAGAAGTTTTTGAGAGACTATTATATTCCAGCTTCTATGCCAGGTACTTGGGATTCAATGAGTTGCAAAACTCATTGAATAATAATAATAACAATAATTCCTGCCCTGGTGGTGCTTACAGTCTGTGGGATTAGTGCCCTTACAAAAGAAGCCCAAGGAAGCTCGTTTGAGTCTTCCACCATGTGAGGACACAAGAAGATGCCATCATTGAGAAGGCTGGTCTCACCAGACATCGAGTCTGCCATTGCCTTGATCTTGGACTTCCCAGCCTCCAGAACTGTAAAAAATACATTTCTGTTGTTTATAAGCCACCCAGTATGATATTTTGTTACAGCAGCCAGAACAGACTAAGAGGTTGGAAAGGAGGACACGGCAGATCCTCAGGGAGTCCCAGGAGACTTGGAATTGGTGCGTGGTACTTTATTTTGTTTGAGGGTTTGACTTTTTATGTTATTTTGGAGGATTGGGATCTGAAGATAGGGTCTGGGGATTTAGTTCTTTAAAATGTGATTTTTACTTTTTTTGTCCTTAATAAATGACATCTTGGACTCTAACTAAAAGCTCCTTTTGGCTGAAACTACTCTAATGATCTATCCTGAATTGTTTGGAAATGTCAGGAAGACGATGAGCACACAAGCTGTTGTCACCCATTCAAGCCAGAGTGCAAGAGTAACCCGCAAATGACCTCTGATGCTGCACACCACATGCCTTGATCTTTTCTTACTTTCCAGGCTCTGCAGTGGTCCCTGTGGGGCGTTTACTTTTGGGTGACCATCCTGGAGAGATATCTCTTCTTGTGAGTGGTGACATTTTCCTGGGGTTGGAGCTGCATCCTAGCACCTCACACCCAGAGTTCAGATCTAGAACGGAAGCAACTGGGAGGGGAGGTCTGCATGGAGCCCCTTCCAAAATGCTGTAGTTAATAAAGTACAGTCAAGTCCTCATAAGTTGTGGCAACTGAAGCCCACATGAACACCCATCCCCAGGTTTTCTAACCAACCTGGCGAACAGCTGCTTGAGAGACAGCCCTGCCCTATGTAGGTTCTTGAGGTTACAGCTAAGAAGACCTCCCAATTAAAGCCACTGTTAGCAACAGCCCTCCTTCCCTTCACCCACCAGAAGTCTTTCCTCTGGACCTTCTAATATGCATCCCCCTTGAATCTCAGAACCCAACTTCAGGTGAGGCTGGAAAGGGTAGCTGCCTGGAGGAGCCAAGTGGGAGAATATGAATGTGGGGAGGGCAGGAGAGTCGACCAGATCCTCAGTTTCTAATCCACAATGCCGTCCACCCTCCACCTCCTAGACACCTGGACATGGCTTTCCTGTTTACCTTCTGGTGAACATCAGTTCCAAGCATAAAATTGGCAGGGTTCCTAAAAGCTGTTAATACTCATCCTTCACCAATTTATAAATCTTCTCTAACATGTCCCCTTTCTAAAGCCAAGCAGGAAAATGTCACATTCCTCTCTCCTTCCTTTTCTCCTTCCTTTCTTTCCTTCTTCTTTCTTGCCTCCCTCTCCCCACAGCAAGGGGGTGTGAAGGGGCACAGGGGTCCCAGACTTTGTTTATGCAGAGGAATTATTCTCAAGGCAACCATTTTCCCAGCAACAATGTAATTATAAAATATTACTCAAACACACTGGGTATTATTGAATGTGCCATTTCTGGATCCCAGCCAAGAGCTTTGGCAGAAAAGAGACTCAAAGGAGGAAAATAGGGAGAAAAATTATGAACATGTTTCCCCTTCAGTGCTGCTGTTGAAATAAACCACATGTAAGTTTTCTAGAAGAGCAGGGCAGAAAGAAACAGCTCTGAAGCACATGTTTCAGAGTAGAGGTCTTGTTTGGGGGATTTCAAAAATTAGCAGCTGAAACAATATAACATGAAGTCGAGGGGCATGTGGAAGTGATTAAGTACCCTTGCAATATACAGTAAGAGTTATTAACCAGCATCTTACTACTGGCTACTTGGAGACAGGATGTGAATAAACACAAAGCTGTGCTCAGTAACTACACCAGGGGTCGTGAGGACCCTGGTCGTCTGAGGTAACATGTATGTTTGGAAAGGAGTTGGAGTTAACAACATGACAGTTCTTTACTGAAACAAACCCTAGAGGGAAGAGGGTGCAGAAATCTCATCCACGAGGTTGTAATGACCTCTGCCTGACTCTAACACCAAGTCATCACAAAGAAGCACTCAAAGGTAGGATGTGTTCAGTCCTCTTGTGGTTCAGTCATTCACTTATTTTTTTAATTATTTATTTTGAGACAGAGTCTCACTCTATCACCCAGGCTGGAGTGCAATGGCGCCATCTCAGCTCACTGCAACCTCCGCTTCCCAGGTTCAAGCAATTCGCCTGCCTCAGCCTCCCACGTAGTTGGGATTACAGGCACCCACCACCATGCCCAGCTAATTTTTTTGTATTTTTAGTAGAGACAGAGTTTCACCATGTTGGCCAGGCTGGTCTCAAACTCCTGACCTCAGGTGTTCCACCCGCCTCGGCCTCCCAAAATGCTGGGAGTACAGGCATGAGCCACCATGCCCGGCCTCATTTGTTCATTTATAAATTTATTCACAAGTGTATTCAATCAGTATTAATTAAGCAACTACTATAAACACATACTTTGGACAATATAAAGACTATAAAAGGATCTGAAAAAAAGTACTATCTAATGAAAACAGAAAACCTACACTTATAACAAGTGCAATTAACAACACAAGACATGACACAGGCAGCATACATATTTACAGAAATGGTAAAGGAATAATGTAGACGAGAAACCTCGAAGCACTTTGGGAAGGAAGGTGAGATCACTGTGGTCCAGGGTAACCTGGAAAGGATGAGGTTTGAGTTGAGCTCTGGATGACTGGAAAAGAAGAGAAGAGGCATTCCAGGTGAGATAGAACAGTATCATAATGGTGGGAAAATCCTTTCTCTTTTGCTCCATTCATGTGTAAGAGCCATGCAAGAACTCTGCCATCAAGGACAGGCTCATTAGATGAGCTTCACATTGATGAAAGCTGCCAGAAAGGACAGGTGGGACTCAGTCCTCCTTCATATAGTCAGAAAACAAGTTCCAAACTGGCCATTTTGTCCCCTCCCCGAAGGGAGGTCCCTCCAGCCTCCAGCATGACCAAGGCCTTTACTTTTTTCTTTTTCTGTTTTTTGTTTGTGTTTGTTTGTTTGTTTTTGAGACACAGCTTTGCTTTTGTTGCCCAGGCTGGAGTGCAATGGTGCGATCTCAGCTCACTGTGACCTCCACCTCCCAGGTTCAAGTGATTCTCGTGCCTCAGCCTCCAAAGTAGCTGGGATTACAGGCACCTGCCACCACACCCAGCTAATTTTTTGTATTTTTAGTAGAGACGGGGTTTCACCATGTTGGCCAGGCTGGTGTCGAACTCCTGACCTCAGGTGATCCACCTGCTTTGGCTCCCAAAGTGCTGGGATTACAGGCGTGAGTCATCATGTCCAGCTTGACCAAGGCCTTTTCGTTTCTCCCAAACAAAAAGGGTAGGGTCCTAAGCCTCCCTCCAACCGAACTCAGCCACCAATAGCTCTGTAGCCCAAGACACAGACACATTGTCTGTTGGCCTGTGCCTGATCTTCAGACAAGGACAACAGTCAAGGGGACCCATCTCCTCTTTCTCCAGCTGGACTGGTCTGCAGCTGCATTTCTGGCCCACTCTGACAAGGTGTTGAGTGCCCTCCATGCACTTGGAAAATAAGGGGAACAGTACTATCCTTAAGCTGGCTACTGCATAGGCCAACTTCAGTGGGAAACCCATAACCACACAACTTGGGGCAGATGAAAAAATCTGGAGTTGTGCCCTCTAGTCTAGACAGCCCAGCTTCCAAGATTTCATTGCCACTGCCCACATGTCTGGGTTGCCCCATGGGTATATTCCCTCTTTTGCTCCCCCAAATGCCTTCTTCTTTTTTTTTTTTTTTTTTTTTTTTGAGATGGAGTCTCGCTCTATCACCTCACTGCAACCTCTGCCTCCCAGGTTCCAGCGATTCTCATGCCTCAGCCTCCCGAGTAGCTGGGATTATGGGATTACAGGCGCCTTCCACCATGCCCAGCTAATTTTTGTATTTTTAGTAGAGATGGGGTTTCGCCATGTTGGCCAGGCTGATCTCAAATTTCTGACCTCAAGTGATCCACCCCGCCTCCATCTCCCAAAGTTCTGGGATTACAGGTGTGAGCCACTGCACCTGGCCACATTCTTCTTTTCTCAATGTTCTTTTAAGTTCCTCTCCAGTTTCTCAGGCTACTCCTTCCTCAAAATTTAGTAAGCCCCAAGTTATTAGCTCCACCTGCCCAGTTCCACTCCTGCATAGAAAAGAGAGGTGAACTGATTCCTGAGTACAGCAGAGGCTGGATGGAGGAAGCACATTAGAAAAAACCTCACCTCTGTGTTACAATTGTATCTTTCTTTCTCTTTCTTTCTTTCTTTTTATTTCTTTCCTTCCTTCCTTCTTTCTTTCTCTTTCTTTCTTTTCCTCCTTTTTCTCTCTTTCCTTCCTTCCCACATTAGAAACAACCTCATCTCTGCGTTACAGTTAGATTCTTTCTTTCTTTTTTCTTTCTTTCTTTCCTTCTCGTTCTTTCCTTCCTTCCTTCCTTCTTTCTTTTTTCTTTCTTTCTTTCCTTCTCGTTCTTTCCTTCCTTCCTTCTTTCCTTCTTTCTTTTCTTTTCTTTTTTTTTTCACAAACTATCTAAAAACAATGAAAGCCATCTTTCATTGCAAGGCTTAGATTCCTACTAAAAGCTTTCATTAGGTCTGCACACAAATTCCAATCTTCCCTGTGACTTGGACATTGTTAAGCTGACAGTGCATCCATTTCCCTTCCTGATCTTGGATAATGTTACAAAGCCCTCTTCCACCAAAGGACTTCCTGTGCAATGCACCCGAAGCCAGGGTTTCTCCTGTTGGCTGCAGAGGGTGAGGAAGTGCAAACAGCGTAGGAGTTCTTCCCCACCAAAAGAGCTAGTGCACTCTTCGCACCACCTCACCCACACATTCCTTCATTCTTCACTCTTTCAAATGTGTAGGTAATTCTGAGTTCTATAAAGACAGGGACTCTGTTCCCTTCATCTCATCGGCACCTCAGCCTCTTGCACCTAGAAAGTCTCAAAGGGAGGGTTATTATTTACCTCATTTCTTTAGGAGCCCCATCAAAGGATTTGATATGTCAAAAATTTTTTCCATAAGAGTCTTGGCTATTTTTTGTTGGAATTATACCAAGGTACTTTATTTTGGCTCTGATTCTTAAATTAGTTGACTTTTTTTTTTTTTTTTTTTGAGACAGAGTCTCACTCTATCACCAGGCTGGAGTGCTGTGGCACGATCTCGGCTCACTGCAACCTCTGACTCCCTGGTTCAAGCGATTCTCCTGCCTCAGCCTCCTGAGTAGCCAGGACTGCAGGCACCCGCCACCACACCCAACTAATTTTTGTATTTTTAGTAGAGATGGGGTTTCACCATTTTGGACAGGATGGTCTCAATGTCCTGACCTCATGATCCGCCCGCTTCTGTCTCCCAAAGTGCTGGGATTACAGGTGTGAGCCACTGCGCCCAGCCAAATTAGTTGATTTTTTAATTGACAAATTACAAGCACATATAACATGTATTTATGGGGTACAAAATAATGCCTTTTTTTTTGAGACAGAGTTTCACTCTTGTCACCCAGGTTGGAGTGCAATGGCATGATCTTGGCTCCCTGCAACCTCCACTTCCTGGATTCAAGCAATTCTCCTGCCTCAGCCTCCTGAGTAGCTGGGATTACAGGTGCTCATCACCATGCCTGGCTAATTTTTGTATTTTTAGTAGCGGGGGGGTTTCACCATGTTGGCTAGGCTGGTCTCAAACTCCTGACCTCGTGATCTGCCCACCTCGGCCTCCCAGCCTGCTTTCTCTTTTTTTTTTTTTTAGAGATGAGGGTCTTTCTATGTTGCTTAGGTTGACCTTGAACTTCTAGGCTCAAGTGATCCTCCTACCTCAGCTTCCCGAGTAGCTGGGACTACAGGCAGACAGGCAGGTGCCATTGTATCCAGCTGAGGTGTTTTGATTTTTAATCAAACAAATGTTTCCTTATTTCTTTTTTTTAGAGGCAGGGTCTTGCTTTGTCACCCAAGCTGGAGTGCAATGGCAAAGTAATTGCACACTGCAGCCTCAAACTCCTGGGCTCAAGAGAGTATCCTATCTCAACCTCCCAACTAGCTGGAACTACAGGTGCACACCATCACCGTGCCTGGTTAATTTTAATTTTTAATTTTTTTGCAGAGATTGGATCTTACTGTCTAGCCCAGGCTGGTTTTGAACTCTTGGGCTCAAGCAGACTTCCCATCTTGGCCTCCCAAAGTGCTGAGAGTACAGGTGTGAGCCAATACACCCAGCCTCAAATAAATTTTTAATGATAATTTCCTACTGTTTGTTACTGATATACAGAGATGCAGTTGACTTTATATAGAACAATCTTCTCTTATTAATTCTGATAATCTGTAAATTCTGGGTTTCCTATCTAGAAAATCATATTTTTAGTGAAAAAGGACTATTTTTTCTTCCTTTGCTAGCCATATTTTTAAGAAAAATGTGTTTTTCTTGTCTTCTCAGCTGGCTCAGACCTGCAGTAAGCATAGACTAGTGATGAACAGAAGTGGCTATAGTTGGCATCCTTGTTTCATTTTAAAAGGCATTTTCCCAGTAAGTTTCTGGCAGATATCCTTTAACAGGTTAAGAAAGTTCATTCTGTTGCTAGTTTACATAATACTTTTATCTGTCTTTTAAATAATAATTAAGTATTGCATTTAACCAAAGTTTTTTTAATCTATTGAGGTATTCATATGCTGTTATGGACTGAATTGTGTTCCCCCAAAATTCCTAGAGTGAAGCCCTAACTCCCAATACTCCAGGATGTGGCTGTACATGGAGATAGGGCCTTTAAAGAGATGACTGAATTGAAAGCAGATCATTAGGATGGGTTTTAACCCACCCTAGATGGTATCGTTATAAGAAAAGATGATCAAGATTTGCAGGGGACAGTGGGGTTATATGTGCACACACGGATGCTCATGCGAAGAGGCAGTGAGAAGGCGGCCGTCTGCAAACCAAGAAGAGAGGCCTCGGGAGAAGACAAACCTGCCAACACCTTCCTCTTAAGCCTCCAGACTCCAGAACTGTGAGGAAATAAATTTCTGTTGCTGATGCCATCCAGTCTGTGGTCTTTTGTTGTGGCAGCCTGAGCACATAACTTTGCTTATTTCATCTGTTCATGTAAATTACACTAAGAGATTTGAAAATGTTCATCCCTCCCTGCATTCTAGGATAGACAAGATATTTAAGACATATTTTTAATACATTTTACTTAGAATTTTTACATCTATATTGCCAAGTGAGGTTGGCCACAATTTTCTTTCTTATATTGTGATCTTGTTTTGGTATTGTAGGGACTCAGAAAAGAAAAACACCTCACAGCTGTATGAGTTATGCAAGGCTGGCAAAACATATCAGGCCCAGAAAGACACAAATCCAGCAGCACTGTAGGCATACCCTAGCCCCCACTACTGCACTCATGCCCAGACAGAAGCAACTGTTCAAAGGCATTTTGTTCCTGACTGGCTCCTTATCCATCATCTTCATATTCCTGGAATTTGTGATACAGAGAACAATATGCAGCCAATCAATAGCTTATTTTATTTTAATGTAAATTCTTGGTAAATGACTTATGAACTGCCTCTTCTTTTCCTATAAGAACTACTTATAACTGCTGCTGATGGGAACATACATTCAGGGCAACTTGAATCTGCACTCATGGGTTGCAGTCCTCAAACCTCACCCAAATAAATTTTCTACACATACTAAGTTTGTCTGGATGTTTTCCTTTAGGTCAACGGGGTCAAGGGAAAACTTTCCCTTTGTGCTCTGAAGTTTTAATGAAAAATCAACTGACAAAAAGGAGATTAGTAAGAAAGAAAGCATATAATTTTTTTTTTTTTAAAGAGAGCTTGCTCTGCGAGTGAGATTAGAGCTCACTGCAGCTTCAAACTCCTGGGCTCAAGCAATCCTCCCACCTCAGCCTCCCGAGTAGCCAGAACCACAGGCATGTGCCACCACACCCAACTAATTTTTAAATTATTATCTGTAGAGACAGTGTGTTCCTGTGTTACTCAAGCTGGTCTCGAACTCTTGGGCTCAAGCAATCCCACCACCTCAGCCTCCCAATGTGCTGGGATTACAGGCACTGCACCCGGCTGGTATACAAATTTATCAATGTGCACAGGAGAGAAACACAGAGTAGTTACCTCCAACCTCTCAATGTGGTATAGAAGCTTCTAGTAAGTGATTATTAGGGAGAATGAATGAACTAGAGAAACAGAAACTAACCTGTAAAGGATTCCCTTTGGGATACATGCAGAACAAATGTCCCCTATCGATTCTGTTTCTCTGGAGAACCAAGACTAATACATAGACTTTACAGAATTAACATAAAGAGTCACTAAACAAACAACAATAACAAAAAACAGCAGCAGCAAAGTGTTAGAAGGGGAGTGAGTCTGATTTCCACAGTCACCACATTGTATTATCTAAAATACCCAGTTCTCAGTAACAAAGTACAAAAAATGCAAATAAATATGAAAATATGACCCATACACAAAGGAAAGAAAGCAGTCAATAGAAAACTGTTCCTGGCTGGGCACGGTGGCTCACATTTGTAATCCCAGCACTTTGGGAGGCCAAGGCGGGCAGATCACTTGAGGTCAGGAGTTCGAGACCAGCCTGGCCAACATGGTGAAACCCTGTCTCCACTAAAAATACAAAAATTAGCCAAGCATGGTGGCGTGCACCTATAATCCCACGTACTCGGGAGGCTGAGACAGGAGAATTGCTTGAACCCGGGAGGTGGAGGTTACAGTGAGCTGAGATTGCGCCACTGCACTCCAGCCTGGGCAACAAGAGCGAGACTCTGTCTCCAAAAAGAGAGAAAGAAAGAAACTGTTCTGTTCCTGAGGAACACCAGAAATGTCACTTAATAGTCAAAGACTTTAGGCTGGGTGCAGTGGCTCACGCCTGTAATCCCAGCATTTTGGGAAACCAAAGTGGGCAGATCACTTGAGGTCAGGAGTTCGAGACCAGTCTGGTCAACATGGTGAAACCTTGTCTCTACTAAAAATACAAAAAAAAATAGCCAGTCACGGTGGCACACACGGGTAAACCCAGGTACTCAGGAGGCTGAGGCATGAGAATAGCTTGAACCTGGAAGGCAGAAGTGCAGTGAGCTGAGATTATGCAACTGTACTCCTGTCTAGGCGACAGAGCAAGACTCCATCTCAAAAAAAAAAAAAAAAGTCCAAGTCTTTAAATCAGACATTATAAATATGTCCAAAGAACTAAAGGAAACAGTTTCTGAAGAATTAAAGGACCAGCACTTTGGGAAGCCAAGGTGGATCGATCACAAGGTCAGGAGTTTAAGACCATCCTGGCCAACATCGTGAAGCCTTGTTTCTACTAAAAATACAAAAATTAGCTGGCGTGGTGGCGTGTGCCTGTAGTCCCACCTACCCAGAAGGCTGAAGCAGGATAATTGCTTGAACCCGGGAGGCGGAGATTGCAGTGAGTGAGATCGCACCACTGCACTCCAGCCTGGACGACAGAGCGAGACTCCATCTCAAAAAAAAAAAAATTAAAAGAAAGTATGAGAATGATGTCTCACCAGAGATCATCAATAAAGACATGGAAATTTTTGAAAGAACCAAATAGAAGTTCTGATGTCAAAAAGTAAAATAACTGCATAACTGAAATGGAAAATTCATTACAGAGGTTCAACAGCAGATTTGACCTGGCAGAAGAAAGAATCAGCTAACTTGAAGATAAGTCAGCGGAGAGAATCCACTCTGAGAAATAAAAAGAGAAAAGAATGAAGACAAATTAACAGAGTCTCATACCTGTGGGACACCATCAAGTGTACCAACATACATATCATGGGATTCCCAGAAGGAGAAAGAGGAAGGGGTAGAAAACATACTTGAAGAAATAAATTCAAAAGAAGCCATTCATAAGTGATCAACATCAGCTATCTGGCTACAAAGGACTCTATGAAGAATCATGTTTATATTAAGAAGGCTTGGCTCTACTGTATGTAGCTTACCTCGGAATCCTTCACATGGAAGAGTTGGCTAGAAGCTCTGTCTGGTAGCTGGGAATTAAACCTGAAATCCAGAAGGAGGTGGAAGAGTGGAGCATATGCTAAGCTAGCCAAGGGGAGTGATCGATCGAGAAGCCTGTGAGCAATCACTAATTTCTCTGTCAGGGGTCATAGCTGGGGGAGAATGTCCTAGTTTTGTTCTGCTTCTTCTCCAGATGGCTCTGATCAGGGTTGATTGCAGCTTCTGCTGTGTCCATTAATTGCAAATCATTGATAACCAGACATCAGGGTTTCTCATGGTGAATGCGCATTTTTCTCATTCACGTATCTCTAAACTGTCACCACTGTTTCTTAAAAGTCTTACTCAAATAGTCTTACTTCAAAGGTATTGCAGCTATTCTTAAATGAATTGTTGAAAGAGATGAGCCAAGAAACCTTGACTGCTGTCTCATTTCAGATTCAACTGGAGTCACGCTTGTTCAATGACTGAAGAGGAAGCATCCCGAATCTTGCCTTTTATTTCCAGCCAGACTTTGCGGTGACCTTAAAACGTAATCAGGAATATATCCTCAGTGTTTCTTAGCGATGCCCTCTGCACTTACTTGATTCTTATTTTTACCACCAAAGATAGTGTTTTTGGAATCATGGGATCTGAATCAAAATATGGGCTCCTGCCACCAAAATTATGTCAGAGCAACATGCAAAATCCAGACTCAGGCAGACCAATGCAGCAGCGTCATAATAAAAAGTATTTATGAAGCACCTGAGCACACACTGTTTATTAGATACTTTAGATAATTTACCTCTAATCCACACATCACTGCAAGATAGTACCTTCATCCACATTTTTACAGGCAAAGAAATAAGCTCAGAAAAATTAAAGAAGTCACCCAAGGCCACACAGCTACAAAGTGAAAGAACTGTCATCCCCTAAAACCCATTGCATTAAGCAGATCATTTCTCAAATCTTCTATGTGCTGTCCTGCTTTGACCAGCGTGTTGGTGCCTCTGGCCAAGCTGGTTGGAGTTAGGGCGAGCTCCTGCCCCAAGGTTGACCAACTCTATAGGTTGGACCTATGAAGTACCTCATAACCAAAGAGCAGGAAGGCTAGTGATGATTCACTCCAACCAATCAAATTATCTTTCTATTGAACTTAAACAGAAGGTACAGGAAAAAAGAATCAACAGCTAATTGTGGGAGTGGGAGCCAAAGAGTACTGAAAATCACACAGAAGGAAGACAGGCCATGAAGGCCCAAAAGTAGGTAGACGCCATGAGTAAGCCAAAGATCAGAGCAACAGAAACAAACATATGCAAAGGGTGGAGAATCAGATCACCAGTGAGCTGTGTCCTGAGTGCTAGAAGTAGAAACTGAGACATTCTGAGTCACCATAATTGTAAGGGACCAATAAATGCAGAGGCTGGGACGGAGGGAGTCAGAGAACCTAGTGACTTGAGTTGTGTCTTTAAGTTCCCAAGCTATGCTCCCATGTCTCTGAGCCCAGCCCCATGGCTCGTTCTGGGGATACTGTGACATATTGTCTCCCTTCTTGGAAATGTATCCTTGACCTAAATCTCCATTCCTCCAAGTCACTGAGTGACAGCAGGCAAACTAACACATGCCCCCTCTCTCTCTTACCTCCTACTCCTCTCAGTGCAACAACTGCAAAAAAACAACTGCAAAGTTGTTTCTTTTTCTTTTTCTTTTTCTTTTTTTTCTCTTTTGAAATGGAGTCTCGCACTGTCATCCAGGCTGGAGTGCAGTGGTGTGATCTCTGCTTACTGAAACCTCCGCCTCCTGGCTTCAAGTGATTCTCCTGCCTCGGCCTCCCGAGTAGCTGGGATTACAGGCGCCCGCCACCAGGCCCAGGTAATTTTTTGTATTTTTAGTAGAGATGGGGTTTCACTATGATGGCCAGGCTGGTCTTGAACTCCTGACCTCCTGATCCTCCTGGCTCGGCTTCCCAAAGTGCTGGGATTACAGGCGTGAGCCACCATGCCCAGCCAAAGTTGTTTCTTGTTCCTGCTGTGTGGCTGGCAGGAAAAGCAGCTGAAGCAGCTTTCCTGAAGCCAGCTAGTCCTCAGTCCTCACCAGCACCCAAGAGAAGACCTCTGGTCATAACAGCTGAGATGCAGACTCCTGGCATTTCATACACACAGAGACAGCCTCAAAACTCATTAAAATATTTCACTAAGGGAAAAGGGAGAGGTGATTCCCTGATCTGCTTTTATTTCTTTCTGAGATTGAGGACCTCTGTTCCTCTCAGCTTCCCGAAGCTGTGAGCTGGAGACGTATGCTCAGCATGGCCTTGGGAGCTTGGCCCGAATGCATGCTGTTCTCGAAGTACTCTGTTTGCCCCCTAAGCATTCCTTGATACTCTTGTGTAGCCAAAATTACAGAAGGAATTTTCTGGTCAGAAAGAAGGTTGAGAGAATGGAGACGTGCAAGGGTCAAAAATTTCAGATGAGACCCAGAAAAATAAAAAGGAAATCTATTAAAGAACGTGCTCATCCAGCTCCTAACGACTGTGGGATCTGCCTCAGAAAGAGACGAGGAATCCTCCTCTGCCCCAACTTGATTCAGAAGAGCCTGCCAACAGCACGCTCAGGCTCAGAAGACCAGGCGAGGCTTTCAGACTTTCTTTGAACATCAAAAAGCCCACGTCCTTCTGGTGACCTTGAGGAGCGAAAGGGAAGCAGGGAAGCTCTGAGCTCCGTGTTGATGGTATAAAGATCAAACAGGACCCAATGGAACTAATGCTTCCCTTTATCTCTTGACTCCAGAAGTCTTCAAATGGCCCACCATGCCCTGAAGCTGGAGATTCAGAGGGAAATTGAGATGTCTTTCTTCATCTGGGAAGAGAGAACAACGTACAAATTGTAATTCATCCCAAGGAAAACCTCTTAGAGCTGTTCACTTTCACTGCTCTGCAGACAGCATTTTCTTCTGTGCAGCCTAGTTGGCCACACCCCACCTCACTCACATGGTACCCTTGGCACCCTTCTCCACCCCAGGCGCCCCAGCCTCTCTCACTGAAAGTCTCTTGAGATTCAACACCTAGCACAGCGCCTGCCTGGAAATGGCACTAAGTATTTATAGAATAAAAACGAAATAAAGGCCAGGTTTTGTGGCTCATGCCTGTAATCCCAGCACTTTGGGAGGCCGGGGTGGGAGGATCACTTGAGCCCAGGAGTTCAAGATCAGCCTGGGCAACACAGTGAAATCCCATCTATATTAGGCAGTTCTTGCATTGCTATCAACAAATACCTGAGAGTGGGTAATTTATAAGTAAAAAGGTCTAGTGGCTCAGGGTTCTGCAGGCTGCCCAGGAGACATAGTGCCAGCATCTGCTTCTCGAAGGCCTCAGGAAGCTTTTGCTAGTGGCAGAAGGTGAAGTGGGAGCAGGCATGTTACGTGACAAAAGCAGAAGCAGGCTGGGTGCGGTGGCTCACACCTGTAATCCCAGCACTTTGGGAGACCAAGGCAGGTGGATCACGAGGTCAGGAGTTCAAGACCAGCCTGGCCAATATGGTGAAACCCCATCTCTACTAAAAATGCAAAAATTAGCTGGGTGTGGTGGTAGGCGCCTGTAATCCCAGCTACTCGGGAGACTGAGGCAGGAGAATCGCTTGAACCTGGGAGGCAAAGGTTGCAGTAAGCAGAGATCACACCACTGCACCCCAGCCTGGGCAACAGAGCGAGACTCCATCTCGGAAAAAAAAAAAAAAAGCAGGAGCAAACGAGAAGAATGGCGTGAGGGGAGCTGCCATGCACTTTTAAATGACCAGATCTCACGAGAGCTTGCTATCATGAGGACAGCACCAAGCCAGGAGGGATCCACCCCCATGATCCAAACACCTCCCACCAGGCCCCACCTCCAGCACTGGAGATTACAATTCAACATGAGATTTGGGCAGGGACAAATATCCAAACTATATCACCATCTCTACAAAAAAAAAAAATTTTTTTGAGATGGAATCTCGCTTTGCCTCCCAGGCTGGAGAGAAATGGCACAATCTCAGCTCACTGCAACATCCACCTCCCGGGTTCAAGCAATTCTCCTGCCTTTGCCTCCTGTGTAGCTGGGATTACAGGCATGCACCACCATGCCCCGCTAATTTTTGTATTTTTAGTAGAGAAGGGGTTTCACCATGTTGGCCAGGCCGGTCTCCAACATCTGACCTCAGGTGACCTGCCTGCCTCGGCCTCCCACAGTGCTGGGATTACAGGCGTGAGCCACTGTGCCCAGCCCAAAAAATATTTTTAAATTAGCCAGACATGGTGGCATGCACCTATAGTCCCAGCTACCATGGAGGTTGATGTGGGAGGAGGGCTTGAACCCAGGAGGTTGAGGCTGCAGTGAGCTGTGATCACACCACTGCACTCCAGCCTGAGAGACAGAGTGAGACCCTGTCTCAAAAAAGCAATAAATAAATGAATAACTATCTAAATGTTTCACTGTTGGAAGGAGCAGTTTAAACCACAATCATTCTGTTTTCAGCATTTCCTCTTTCGCTCAGCTTCGATAAATAGACAGTGTATACCGACTGTGTGCTTGCACTTGTAGGAGAGATAAGAGGGGCTTTAGAGGCAGCACCTACACTCAGGAGCCTTCAGTTTGCCTAAAGAGATGACATATGGACCCAATTATTATAGAAATGTGTGTGGATTCTTCAACTACCACCTAGGGATCAGCAGTTAAAAATGCAAGTCTCCCTGCAGTGAGCTGAGATCGTGCCACTGCACTCCAGCCTGGGCGACAAAGAGAGACTCCACCTCAAAAAAAAAGTAAAAATAAATAAATAATGCAAGTCTCCCAAACCCACTCATCAGTGGTCCTGATTCAGATAGGTCTTAAAATTGAAATTTTGAGCCAGCTCTCATGTGACTCAGAGGCTGATATATACCAGTCCACGCTTGGAGAAACACTGGTTTACAGGGAAGAACAGACTCACTAGGCAGGCACTGAAGGCCTTGCCTGATCTGTTCCATGATCTTCCCTGTTACGCCCGTAAATCTTCCCACCTCCTCCCTGCCTCCATTCTATCTCCCATTGGTGACTCATAGCTCTGGGTCTCACCTTTGCATGGATGGCCCCCTTGGGTCTCAGGGCAGGTGTTTCCAGCAAATTAGTAGTGACCTTTGCCAGAAGCTAAGTAACATCCTGGGAGATGGCTAAATAACACCCTGGGATGAGGGCTAAGTAACATCCTGGGAGAGCCAAACCTGTCCCTCCCTCTTACCCCTGCTATGGGTCCCGCAGGCTGCCCTGAGGTTAGAAGGAACCAGCACGATGCGCTGGGCTGTCAGAAGTGAGGGGCACGGGCAACTAGACTTCCTCCCCACTGACTTCCTGATCTTGTGGAGTGTAGGGAGTCAATAAGGGACAACACAAAGAACCACTTTATGGCTGGTAAGCTTGGTAATCATTAGGGAACAAGCAGAACTCCTTCAGGACACTTAACAACAAAGAGAAGGAAGAGACTCTCACCCTCCACCCTGTCTCAGCCGCAGCACCACAGCTGGGGGTGGTAGAAACACCGGGCAGGACATGGGGGAAACAAGGTGGGAGGTGGGCACTCAGTCACAAGCTTTTTTTTTTTTTTTTTTGAGATGGAGTCTCGCTCTCTCGCCCAGGCTAGAATACACTGGCATGATCTCCGCTCACTGCAAGCTCCGCCTCCTGGGTTCACACCATTCTCCTGCCTCAGCCTCCCCAGTAGCTGGGACTACAGGCTCCCGCCACCACCCCCGGCTATTTTTTTGTATTTTTAGTAGAGACAGGGTTTCACCATGTTAGCCAGGATGGTCTCAATCTCCTGACCTCAGTCACGAGCATTTTCAAGACAACCCTGAGACTCCTGGGAACACTTGGGAGGGGGAGGTGTAAGGTTACAGATTGTATTAGTCAGGGTTCTCCAGAGAGACAGAACCAATAGGAGAGAGATAAATGATGCGTATGTAATAGATTGATAGATAGATAATACACAGATAGATGATAGACAACAGATAGATGATAGGTCAATAATAGATGATAGATTGATAGATCGATCAAGAGATGATAGAGATAGATGATAGATAGATAGATAGATACAAACATACATGCATACACACATAGATGAAAGGGGATTTATTAGGGGAATTGGCTCACGAATTTATGGAGGCTGAGAAGTCCCATGACAGACCATCCACAAGCTGGAGACCCTGAGATGCTGGGAGCATGGCTCAGTCCAAGTCTGAAAGCTTCAGAGCCAAGGGAAGCTGATGGTGTCGCTCTGTCTGAGATCAAAGGCCTGAGAGCCCACAAGACAGCTGGTGCAAGTCATGGAGAACCTGGAGTTCTGATCAAGAGCAGGAGGAGGAGAGTGTCCAGTTCCAGGAGAGAATGAGGAAATCTTTTTCTGTCTTTTTTTGTGCTATTGAGGCCCCCAGCTGATAAGCACTCAGTCCACCACCTCACACACCAGCCTCCTCTGGAAGCACCCCACAGATACACCCAGAAGTGCTGCTTTACCAGCTCTTTAGGTATTCCTTAATCCAGTCAAGCTGACACCTAAAATTAACCATCACACAGCACCAGAAGTAGAGCTACAGCCAGTAAATGTGCATCGTTACTTTTTGTAATTCCCAAATGAACAAAATTCTAAAATAACTCTCAAGTGCACCTACACCGCTGCCTTATAGGAGGGCTTCGTGGCTTCTTTTCATGACTATTGAAACAATGTCATATCTGGTCTCCCATTGTTTCATTCTCCATTTTATTCACTGTACTGCAGTCATCGGTATTTTTTTTAATTATAAGTCTGATCATTTTACTTCCCTCCTTAAAACTATTCAAGTTCTCCGTAACCCATACCTTAAAGTCTAGTTTCCTACAGACCCTTCAGAACTTGATTCAAGCATAAAATCCTCCAAGAAACTGCCCTGAATTCCTTGAGTAGAATGGGCAACTTCTTCCTCTGCCTCTGTTATGTTTAGTTATAGAACCCATTACAGTTTATGGCATTTATTCATTTACCTGATTATCTGATTCTTCTCCTAGACTGGAACTTCCTTGAGGGCAATCCTATACTCTTACCCATCTCTACCATTAGTACCTAGCCAAGTGCTGGTGTGCACTATGAGTTTAATCAATGTTCATTCATTCACTAATACCATCACATGGCCCCTATCTTGGACTATTTCCTTCTTGCCCCTTAACATGTTCTCATCCCCACCATTGACTTTTTATGTCTCTTCCTCTCTTTCCCTGAAATATCCTCTATCTTTTTCATTTTCCCTTTTACTTCTTTAAACATTTTTTGTAACAAAATCATTACAATGCCCACAATCCTTGAAAGAATAATTCTGCCATTTGTTGTTTCTGCTGACTCTTGCTCCCGGTGGCTTATTCCTTTGTGTGGCGTGTGATTTTGGATTATGAACTCATGTTTTCTAAGGTCCCTGAGGCACTACCACTTAAATAACCACTTTAAGTTAATTGCATAGCTTGAAGTTTCCTGTACAATGCAGTTAGTACAAATCCAAACCTCAAGCATGTGTGAGGGTAAGTGTCTTGGTCTGTCTGTGCTGCAACAACAAATACCTGAGACTGGGTGATGTATAATGAATAGATGATTATTCCTCACAGTTCTGGAGGCTGGAAAGTCTAAGATCCAGGTGCCAGCTGGTTTGATTGTCTGGTGAGGCTGCATCCTCCAGAAGGCTGGCACACTGTCCTCACGCGGCAGAAGAGCTGGAGGACTAGCCAACCAAATGTGGCATGAAGCTTTATTTTAAACAGGCTTAATCCCATTCACAAGGGAGGAGCCTGCATGGTCTAATTATCTAATCACCTCTCAAAGGTTCCATCTCTTAATAATATCACATTGACAACATTTGAATTTTGGAGGGGACACATTCAAACCATAGCAGTAGGCCTAACTATAGTAACAAATTCAAATTTCTTTTTTTCACCAGAGTCGCACTTCATAAAGCAAGTATCCCTATCTGTCTTCCCTTGCCAGGGGCCTCATTCATCTAGTCCACACTGCCCCAGGAATCCTGTTTTACACATGTGAGGGTTGTCTCAGTTCAATCTTCTCACCTTGTGTGGGCCCCAAAACAGAAGATCCACAGAAGGCATTAAAACCCAAGACCCTAGATCAGAGATCAGCAAAGCATAACTCATGGGCCAAACTGAGCTCACAGCTAGGCAAGTCTTCCCACGCCCTTTTGCTTATGTATTGTCTGTGGCTGCGTTTATGCCACAGAGGCAGAGATGAGTAGTTTGAACAGAGACCATCTGGGCTCGTAAAGCCAAAAATATTTACTATCTGGCCCTGTACAGAAAATGATTTCCAACCCTTGCTCTGGACAACCAGGACCACCAAAAGCACTAGCAACTCTCTTTGTTTTTAGCCCTTGGGAAATACTCTCACCTTTTTGCAAACTCAGTGATGCATTTCAAAGGAATTTTGTATCCTGCGAGTTTAGCCATATTGAGTGGGGAGTTTTTCTAGGACATCTAGTCCACCACATGGCCAGAAAGCAAAGCCAGCCTCTTCTTTCTTTTACCTCTCAAAATTCTAATCACCTTTTGAGGTCTAAAACAGAAATTCTCTCCTTCAGAAAGCCTTCCCCAATGATTTTGGCTTATTGTACCATGTGACTACATGTACTTTAAATGTCCTTATCATCTCTAATCTATGGTCTAGTAATTCATCATAGGAGTGTGTGTGTGTGTGTGTGTGTGTGTGTGTGTGTGTGTGTAACTGCTCTCCAGTTGCATTGAGCAGGTAATTATTCTCTTTCGTATAGTTGTCAGAATCTTAAGAACAATGTTGATCATTGAGATCAATACCTAGTATTATGGGATTTGAGAGTTGACACAATCCTGAGATGTTATGGAGCTCTACATCTGGTAGTTTAGAAAAGAAACCTTGGCCTCATCATGGCAATGGAGAATGTAGCAAGGGGAAGTAGCAAGTGTTCAGGCCTTGGGTTTACACAGAACTGGGTTCAAATCCCAGTTCTAGCTAATTGCATACTAGCCATATGACCTTAGGTAATTAACCCTTCTGAGTTAAGGTTGCTTCATCTATAAAAATATAAAGTAAAGAATGTCATACCTACCTTGGACAATCGAGAGACTTAGAAAGAACATATATGCACAGTTTATGGCATAAGGAGGCAATTAGTAAGCTACTATCATGTTATGGAAATGACTTGTTTGTTAATGATCTTGAGACCACACTTGAAGGTTTTGACTGTTCCAATACTCCATGCATCCAAGCTGGAATTCGATCTGTTATGTGTATCCAAGTTTGTGAAACCTGGACAAGAAGCCTAGGAAATACAGAAAGGAACTGGCAAGGATGCATGCCTAGACCTTACCAGAGAGCAGATTTCCAGCATTTTAGGTCTGGCCGCAGAAATTCTGCAGGGCTAGAACAGGTCAAATGGCCTAACCAATCTAATCAACAGAAAAGTGTATTACAATGTTAATAGCTATCAAAAATGGCTGGTTGACTGCAACTGCCATAGATAATGCATCTTGGTGCTGTCTTTGGCTTTGGCTTCCTTGATAACTCTGTCAGTATCTTATCCCACCATGCCCAGCAGGCCTGAGCTTCACCAGCTAGTCTTGTTCTTTAAGGGAAAACAAATTGTTTGGTTTGCTTTCCCCTTGTTTCTGGCATTTGTAACAGAAGGAACTGAAGAGGGAGATGGGGTGGCCTGAAGTTGCACCACCTCCCTCCAGGCTGACTTAGACCTATGTCTTTGGTGCTCATTCAGGGGTGCTAGAAGCCTCATTCAGGTGCCCTGAACAATGGGTTGGACATGGGATAGCAAGAGAAGCCACAGATGTATTTATGACCCTAGCCACAGAAGAGGCAATGGGAGTTTATTGGTGAGAAGGCCAGCTCATCTAGGCCTTGACTCCTTTAGTAGCACTGGGCTAGTACTTGCTGACATGACCTCTTTAAGCCCTTGCCTGGTGGCCTGCACACTTCCTAGGTCGCTGCACTGCCTCTTTTCTTTTTCCCCCATAGGACATCTGAACATGCCTGCTTTATGCAGCATTCTCCTGCAGGCAAAGGGGTTCCCATTCCCATCCTCACTCTGCCCAAACACATGTGCCCACACCCTGTCTCCACTTTCCAACATTTTATTGATCCATCACTTTTTTTTAAGACAATGTCTCACTCTGGCTCAGGCTAGAGTGCAGTGGTGTGATCACAGCTCACTGCAGCCTCAAATTCCTGGGCCCAAGCCATCCTTCCACTTCAGCCTCCCAAGTAGCTAGGACTACAGATGGGCACCACCACACCTCACTAATTTTCTTAAACTTATTTTTGTAGAGATGAGGTCTTGTTATTTTGCCCAGGCTAGTCTAGAACTCCTGATGTTAAGTGATCCTTCTGCCTCAGCCTCCCAAAGTGCTGGGATTATAGGCATGAGCCAGGCCTCCATCACTTCTGACTTACTCAATGATGGATTTTGAAATTTACTTGTTTGTGTTACTCACAGCACCAAAGGCTGTGTTCAGTGTTTCTTGACTATTTCAATTCTTATTCATTAGGATGCTCTGCATCTGAAGACAGAAGACTCAGTAATAGTAAACCTTTAATTTGCACAGCATTCTTTTTCAATATATGATTTTATACTTTTTAAGTAAACAAAGCATCTAAACTAGGTCAATACTATGTTGCACTAAGTTATTCAAAATGACCTATAAAAAACAATAAATTGATGAAAAAATGTGCAATTCAGATTTCCCTAACATACAAATAGCACTGCAAAATTAAAAGACCAAATTCCAACAGAAAAATGGGAAAGGACATAAACAAGACAGCTCACAGAAATGAAATTAAAAATGGATTACAACATCGGGCAGTGTACTCAACCTTATTCATAATAAGAGAAAAGCTAACTTAAAATTCTATTATCTACAGTTTTTCACCTTTAAGATAGGTAGAGATTAATTAGTGCAACCTCTCTAGAGTGTGATTTGGCAATATTCATACAAAATGCAACGGTACACACCTTTGACCCAGCAATCCTACTTGCAAGAAATTGCCAAACAAATGCATTCTCACATATATGTGGATAATATACATACAAGGTTGTTAACGGTAGCATTATTTATCATAGCAAGGTTTGGGGAAACACCTAAATGTTTATTAATAGAGGACACTGCTTAAACAAGTCATGGGACATCCATACAATGGAATACTATACAACTGCAAAAAATAAAGTGGTGGGCCGGGCACGGTGGCTCACGCCTGTAATCCCAGCACTTTGGGAGGCCGAGGTGGGCGGATCACGAGGTCAAGAGATCGAGATCTTCCTGGCCAACGTGGTGCAACCCCGGCTCTACTAAAAATACAAAAACCAGTTGGGCGTGGTGGCGCACTCCTGTAGTCCCAGCTACTCGGGAGGCTGAGGCTGGAAAATTGCTTGAACCAGAGAGGCACAGGTTGCGGTGAGCCGAGATCGCGTCACAGCACTCCAGCCTAGCGACACAGTGAGACTCTGTCTCAAAAAATAAATAAATAAATAAAAATTAAAAAATAAAGTGGAGGGGCAGGATAGCCTGGTATGGATGGATTTGATTCAGACTCTTAAGGATATATTGTAAAGTGAAAAAGTAAAGTGCAGGACAGCATGCATCCCATATTGATGTCATCTGTACTAAAAAGGTCGGGGGAGAAGAGAATCTCTAAATGAAAATACACTTTTTTTTGTCCTTAGAGACAGGTTCTTGCACTCTCACTCATGCTGGAGTGCAGTGGTATGATCATAGCTAACCGCAGCCTCGCCTTCCTAAGCTCAAGTGACTCTCCTGCCTCAGAGTAGCTGGGACTACAGGCACACACCACCATGCCCAACTAATTAAAAAACAAAATTTTTTTTTTTGTAGAGACAGACTCTCACTATGTTTCCCAGGCTGGTCTTGAACTCCTGGCCTCAAGCATTCCTCCCCACTCTACCTTCCAAAGCACTGGGATGACAAGTGTCAGCCACCACGCCCAGCCACATACATATACTTTTACATGGATAGAATATCTCTAAAGATACATAGAAAATGTAACCCTGATTGCCTCTAGGAAAGAAACAATGTCTAGAAAGGAGGGGATTAGGTGCAGACTTTTCACTATCTACCCTTTGTTCCATTTGAATTTTGATCATCAAAATAAATAAAACATTTTAATCGAGTGTCCCAATTACTGGCAGTAAGTGGTGTTTTTCTTGTGCCACTGAGCCTCATCAAATCCCTTTTGGAAATCAGATGGCACCCAGACATTTGCCAGCTCCACAGTTACCACCCGAGCAGAAGCAGAGGCTCTGTGCCCCAGCGTGGCCCTGCAAGTTCTGGGAGCTCTAAAAGGAGCTTCTCAGATGCCCACAACCCAGTCTGTATCTGTGCAACCTCTCCTTCTTCCTTGGGCTCCCATTCATGCCCCCACCTGCTCATGCTACCCTTGCGAAGGTCTCTTGGAATAGCCTCACTGCAGCCCTATCTGTTGCCTCTGCTACAGCGGTCTCTAAATGCTCCCAACATTTCCTTTCCCTGGAAGCCTGGTTCCTGGCAGGGCAGTAGAAGAGGCAGCAACCCTGCTCTGGGCTGCATTTATCTCCCCAGCCTTAAGCAACTCTGCCTGGACACAGAGTATCACAGTTTTCTGGAATATTTCCATTATCAATAGTACCAACCTCCAGTCCCCTATCTATAAAGATCATGATGACTCCATAGGCTCAAGGGAAGGAGACTCCTTAACACCCACTCATCTTCTGCTTTTTCTGGGACAGGGGAAAAGGGGAGGACAAGACTTGCTTCCCCCTCCACAACTTCCTCCCTCCTCTCAAAAACAAAACAAATATTGGTGGAGGTGGATAGAGGGGAACAGGTGTTACCTGTAATGCCTGCAGTCAATCAAGAATTCCTGATAACTGCTACAACTATAAAAACCCAATTCTAGACAATTCCTTTCTCTCGAGGGTTATTACGTTAAATTCTTCCTTGAGGTTTTCCATTGCAATGATTCTGACACTTAGCCCAAATCTATGGTGGCTACTGTCCTGCAATTATCGTCAGCCCATGCTGGCTCCAACCTGCACCCTGACGCTCTATTAGCCTTCCTGAAACACTCTTGAATGAGACCTTGGTGGCAGCATTGAGTTCCCAAGTTTCCCAAGTTTCCAAATAACCCTTGAAAGTTGGGCCCTATGCCAAGGAGGCTGGCTGGGCTGAGTGGCCTGGAAGGTGTGTTGTACACTCAGAAAAGCGTTGTTTCTCATGGAGACACCGAGCTAAGTAATGGGTGAGAGAGCGGGATCGGTAAGTTACAGTACTGAATTTCAAGGAGCCAACAGACCAGCAGAGAATATGAAACTCTCACACAAAGTGGCTGCCATATAGAACATAACATGACACATGACAGAATATGCACCAGCAACATACCAACATACCATGGAAGATACTGAGAGGTATCACCCCGCCGGAGGAATCAAGGAAGGCTTCATAAAAGCAGTAAGATATCAGTTGAGTGGTGACGGTGTTGACCTAAAAGGAAGAAATTGAGGGACAAAATGTGATTTAAAGCATTTTCTTGGCCAGGCACAGTGGCTTATGCCTGTAATCCCAACAGTTTGGGAAGCCGAGGTGGGGGGATCACTTCAGCCCAGTTCAAGATCAGCCTGGGAAACATAGTGATACCCTGTCTCTGTGAAAATTACAAAAATTAGCAAGGAGTGGTAGCACATGCCTGTAGTATCCCATTTACTCAGGACACTGAGGCCAGGAGGATCATCTGACCCTGGGAGGCAGAGGTTGCAGTGAGCTGAGATCACACCATTATACTCTAACTTGGATGACAGAGCGAGACTCTGTCTCAAAAAAAAAAAAAAAAAGTTTCCTGAGCTAAAGTTAGGACAACTGCCTGGAAGACTCAGACCCAAGTAACCTTGGATATGAGCTCTATTTGGCCTTTGGTACAAGCAGGTTTTTAAACACAAGGGACAGGGATTGGCTGGTAGAAAGTTGTCTGTCGAAAATTCTCATTGGTTAATAGAAGTAGCATTGGTTAATAGAAGTAGTGTTGATTAGTGATTGGCTGTACACTCTGAAGCTATCAGTGTGGGTTAGCGTGTCCCATGCAGTGTTACTGGTTAGTTTCTAGATACCTGTGGCAGCAGCAGGCAGCTTCAATAGATGAATGTGCAGCTGGGGGTGAAGGAGGATGCCAGGGCTGGCTCACTTCAATGTCTCTCTGGGTCTGATCATTTAACAGGACTTGCATTCCTCGGTTTTCTTGCTTTTCTCAAGGGAAAGGTAGAATTTGCCCAGGCCACGATGGTTCACGCCTGTAATCCCAGCACTTTGGGAGGCAGAGGTGGGCGGATCACCTGAGGTCGGGAGCTCGAGACCAGCCTGGCCAACATGGTGAAACCCTATCTCTACTAAAAATACAAAAATTAGCTGGGCGTGTTGCCGCATGCCTGTAATCCCAGCTACTCAGGAGACTGAGACAGGAGAATCGCTTGAACCCAAGACACAGAGGTTGCAGTGAGCCAAGACCAGGCCATTGCACTCCAGCCTGGGCAAGAAGAGTGAAACTCTGTCAAAAAAAGAAAGAAAGAGAGAAGGAGAGGGAGAGAGAAGGAGAGAGAGAGGGAGAGAGAAGGAGAGAGAGAGAGAGGGAGAAGAAGGAGAGAGAGAGAGAGGGAGAGAGAAGGAGAGAGAGAGAGAGGGAGAAGAAGGAGAGAGAGAGAAAGAGAGAAAGGAAGGCAGGGAGGGAGGGAGGGAAAGAAGAAGAGGAAGAAGAAGAAGAAGGAGGAGGAGGAGGGAGAAGGAAGGAAGGAAGGAGAAAGAGAGAGAGAAAGAAAGAAAGAAAAGAAGGAAGGAAGGAAGGAAGGAAAGAAAGAAAGAAAGAAAGAAAGAAAGAAAGAAAGAAGGAAGGAAGGAAGGAAGGAAGGAAGGAAGGAAGGAAAGAAAGAAAGAAAGAAAGAAAGAAAGAAAGAAAGAAAGAAAGAAAAGAAAGGAAAGAAAGAAAGAAAGAAAGAAAGAAAGAAAGAAAGAAAGAAAGAAAGAAAGAAAGAAAGAAAGAAAGAAAGAAAAGAGAAAGAAAGAAAGGAGAAAGAAAGAATTTGGACACAGAGCAGGAAGGGAACAGCTGAGCCAAGGCAAGAGGAATGTCAGCTGGTCTGGCTACCGCCATTTGCATGGCCCTTATAATTTACAGCACTCTTTCCAGTGCATTGCCATTTGACCTTCATGATGACCTCATGACTTACACATTTTTAGAGAAAAAACACTAGACCTCAAAGAGTTTGACGCAATTCACCCAAGGTTATTCAGTGGCAAACATCAGTTTTAACTTGGAAAAATACAGAGTCTTTTGCAGGAAAAGGCACTAACATACCATAGATATGTGTTAATGGGCCCCCAGTTGCCTGGGGCTAATTTTAAAAGTTTGTTCTCTTACATACTTTTAACATTTCCTCTGAGTAAATTATTTTCCAATATTAATTTGCATTGTAAGTAATGTCTTTGGGTTAAATTTCTTCAGGTAACTGCCAGGTTAAACACCAGCCTTGACCCTCTTCAAATTACCCAAATTCTGAGTTACTGGTGGGTGAGTGAATGAGGTTTCACTGTGTATTTCTTTACACTGGCTCAGCTGTGTCAGTGTTTTCAAGACTTGTAATTTGCACAGCTACTTTTTAACTGGTTCTGGGAAGCCCTTAGACTAGCGTACTAGAGTGAACAGGGACACCCTTTGTCTTTCTCTCTCTCTGTTTTTGCTGTTTTGTTTTCAATGAAGATTGGAAGGACAAAGGTAACACAGAAACACATTTATGAGATAAGTGAATGGACTGCTTTATTACTTCTTTTTTTTTCCTTGTCTAATCTATAATGCTTTATTACCTATATGCTGAGATTCCTCTCAAAATGTCCACTGGCATTGATGGCATTGAATTGGCCCAATAGCAAACTGTTGCTTCCTGTGAGATGCCCGTTATTAGGCAGTGGTTTGCTTTTATAGTTTTATGTTTCTTTGTTTGTGCTTTCATTTGTTTTATTTTGTTTTCACACTGTTCGGAGCCAGTGAATAAAACACTGCAGAAAAGGAGCTCATGGTCTCATAATTCTCAGGGAAGATCCTGCCCCACAATGGCATAGCCCTCCCTGATGTCATGGGTGTTCTAAAGATGTTTGCTAAAGGGGAGAAATAATCTTCACAGGTGTAGACCTAGAGTTTCCAGAGCTCCTCTCTACAGGACATCCTACATTTTGTGACATAGGGAGAGACAGGTGAGGGCAGGGACACCGATCACTTCATCACCATTCCCCTCACCGGGCCTGGGTGAAAAAATATAAGCAATTCTCATTATTGGATATAGTGATGTTCCATAAACTTTCTGGAATGCTGGAATGGCGAATACTGAACCATTGCTCCTAGGGGAAATAGAGGGTTATGCTCCTATGAGCCTCTGGTCACAACATCTTCATCAACTGATTGATTCATAACCTTGTTTTTTTACAAGAAAGAGGTCCCAATCCAGACCCCAAGAGAGAGTTCTTGGATCTCACGCAAGACAGAATTCGAGCGAGACCACAGAGTAAAACAAAAGCAAGTTTATTAGAGAAGTAAAGAAACAGAAGAATGTCTACTCCACAGCCACAGCAGTGGCAGAGGCTGCTCGACTAAGTAAACTTATGGTTATTTCTTGATTATATGCTAAACAAGGGGTGGATTATTCGTGGGTTTTCGAGGAAGGGGAGAGGAGTTCCCATAACTGAGGGTCCCTCACCCTTTTAGACCATATAGGGTAGCTTCCAGCCTTTGCCTTGGCATTTGTAAGCTGTCATGGCACTGGTGAGAGTGTCTTTTAGCATGCTAATGTATTATTATTATTATTATTATTATTATTATTATTATTATTATTATTATTATTATTTGAGATAGGGTCTCACTCTGTCACCCAGGTTAGAGTGCAGTGGTGCAGTTTTGGCTCACTGCAACCTCTGACCCCCAGGATCAAACGATCCTCTCATCTCAGCCTCCCTAGTAGCTGGGACAACAGGCATGTGCTACCACACCCAGCTAATTTTTGTAGTTTTTGTAGAGACAGGGTCTTGCCATGTTGCCCAAGCTAGTCTCAAACTCCTGGGCTCAAGCTATCCACCTGCCTCAACTTCCCAAAGTGCTGGGATTACAGGTGTGAGCCACTGCACCCAGCCTGCTAATGTATTACAATTAGCATATAATGAACAGTGAGGATGACCAGAGGTCGCTTTTGTCACCATCTTGGTTTTGATGGGTTTTGACTGGCTTCTTTACGGCCTCCTGTTTTATCGGCAGGGTCTTTGTGACCTGTATCTTGTGATATCAGTCCTGTTGACCTCCTGTTTCATCCTGTGACTAAGAATGCCTAAACACCTAGGAATGCAGCCCAGCAGGCATCGGCCTTATTTTACCAAGCCCCTATTCAAGATGGAGTCACTCTAGTTTGAACGCCTCTGACAGTTTTATTTCTCTTTCTGTTTAAGGACACTTCCTATGATATGTATTGCTGATTCATTAGTACATTGAACTCATGGCCACCTGCAGTGTGACACACCTGAGCAGAGCTTACCTAACGCACATATTTTCTCTGGAAGTTGCATTGCATCCTTCTCAGGCTATGCAACACTAGATAGCACTTCAGTGTTACCCTTGGGGACCATTTTAAATGGCAAAATCACCAACAAAAAGCACAAAAATGCGAAAAACATGGCACTACATAAACTATGAAAAGGACTCTTATTTAGAGTAAGAAAAAAAGAGAGCAGAGCATTTCCTTGTTTGATCTCAGATATAAACATGCACATCCAGAGACCCCAAATTTTTTGTCACTCTGCACATGTCTGCAAATGACCATGAGTGTGTCCTGAGTATGGATTTGGGGGGCAGACATAAATTTTAGCAAGTAGGCAAATTTGCAAATATGGAACCATTGAAAAATGAGGAGAGGCTGAATATTGAAAGCGTGTGTGTGGGTGGGGGAATGGGTGTGGGTGCCTGTGGAAGAAATGAGGGATTCTGTGGTTGGGCAATGTGAGTGAGGGCTGTGTGCAGCTGGATCAGGGCCGCTAGTCTTTATGGTACTGTCATGTGAATTTTTTTTTTTTTTGAGACGGAATCTCATTCTGTCACCCAGGCTGGAGTGCAGTGGCACAATGTCAGCTCACTGCAACCTCCGCCTCCCAGGTTCAAGTGATTCTCCTGCCTCAGCCTCCTGAGTAGCTGGGATTACAGGCACATGCCACCACGCCCGGCTAATTTTTGTATTTTTAGTGGAGACAGGGTTTCACCATGTTGGCCAGGCTGGTCTTGAACTCCTGACCTCAAGTGATCCACCCGCCTCGGCCTCCCAAAGTGCTAGGATTACAGGCATGAGCCACTGTGCCCGGCCCATCATGTTAATTAGATGGTGGTGGCCCCTCTGTACAGCCTCACTCCCCCAGCACACAGCTTAAGGAACAGGCAGGAGAGTTAGCACCTTCAAGCCAAGAAAAGGAAACCCTTTTCTCCAGGGGAATGAGGCTTTGTACCAGCACATTTGGCTCAGTGGAGAGAGATAGACAGGATTCCGGTCCCTTCTCTCCCCTTGGGGGTGCAAACTGCAGAGCCAATATGGTGGCCTAATAAAGAATGTGGCATGGACAGGCCCACATTATCTTGGAGCAGAAGTTCATCCTTCAAACAAGTCTCATCAGGGCATTTCCACGGGGACTTCTGTGTCCACATTTCCATTCTCTGACCCATGTTTTGCCTCAGGCCTTGGATTCCTTTAAGAGCCCCTGATTGGTTTCCTAGGGTTGTTGTAACAAATGAATACAAATGCTATGGCTTAAAGCAACAGCACTGTATTCCCTCACAGTTCTGGAGTCTACGACTCTGAAGTCGGTATCGGTATCGGCAGAACCAGGCTCTCCGCAGGCTCCAGGGAGACTTTGCTCTTGCTTTTCCAGCCTCTGGCGGCTTCTGGCCATCCTCAGTGCCCTTTGGCTTGTCGCTGCGTCACTCCGTTCTCTGCCTCCATCTTCACAGGCCCTCTTCCCCTGTGTGTGTGTGTCAAACCCGGGAGGTGGAGGTTGCAGCGAGCTGACATCTTGCCACTGCACTCCAGCCTGGGAGACAGAATGAGATTCCTCTCCTTTGGATTTAGGGCCCACCCTTAATCTAGCATGATCTCATCTTAACTAATATATCTGCAAAGACTCTATTTCCAAATGATGTCACATTCTGAGGTTCTAGGCAGATATGAATTCTGGGGGGGGGGGGGAATATTCAATCCGCCACCACTCCCACAAATGAAGCCTGGGGAAGCTTAATAACGGGGATCTGGACCATTGTCTGACCACCTTTGGCCAGAGCTCTGGCTTGCTCTCAACGCCTCCATTATTGCATGCCCCCCAGTTATGGGGTCCCCCTTTGCTCCTATGTCCTTTCCAGGCTTAAGGGGTTTGAATCAACTGTGGTAAGTGAAAAGATAGAGAAAGAAAAACAAATGCCAGCCACAAGAAAAACCCTGAAATATTTCACCTTGAAAGTTTATGCAAATATGCACAACCTCATTAACAATAACTTAAAGTTTGCTCTGACCCAAGGGCACATTCCAGGGGACACCAATGGTCTGGGCATTAGAACTGCACCCAGAATAACACAGGAGGTTAGACATCAATGACCCCTTCAGCCACATTTCCCGTGGTCTCAGGAAACCGGCACTGTGAAGCCTGCCTTCGTGACAGCCTGTCCTCTGACACGCTCTGGAAAAGAGCATGGGCTGCAGTCCACTCTGAGATTCCTCATCTTGACCATGAGGCTAAAACAAGCCAGCCACTGGAGGTAGGTATCTACCGACGACATACCTAAAGGAGGTCTTCAGCTTGAGTCCCTTTGAAGATAAAAAATTTTTTCAAGAATAATTAAATCTGCTGCACTGTGTAATAGAAACCAAATGCAATTTGCTCTCCAAGCTTTTTGGATTTCCAGATCTTTTTCCCTTTTCCATCAGTCCATGTGTTGCAGGTGGAGTTAACTCCACCCCGGACTTCAGGTGGCCATGGAGCCAGGCCTGACCAATCAGAGCGCTGGATTCTCCTGGCCACAGAGATTGGATGAAGGGTGAGTGTCGGCCACAATCAGAACCAATGAAAAGCAGTGAGACTCTTTATGGGACTTCTGGGAGAAGGATGTGGGCTGTTGCCTTTGGGTTTGTGTAGCTGCTGGCAGCTATATCACCACTGTGGAATGACTTTGGAATTAAGTTAAGATGAAGAACAGTGGAGCTGAGAGGATCATTCAAACTGAGACTTGATGACATCAGTTTAGCTCTGGATCTAGTTGTAGCTGGACCTGAAAAAATATATATATTATTGGACTTTCAGTTACATGAAGGAGTAAACTCTTTTTCTTGGTTTTTTTTTTTTTTTTTTTAACTAATTTGAGTTGGAGTTTCTGTCACTTTCAATAGAGAGACTCTTAGGGCACATACAAAACCACCCAAGAAAGATGTGGGGACTCATCCAGCAGGCCTGGCATTGAGCGCCACTTCTTCCTGACTAGGACACAGGAGATCAAGCTGTACCAGCAGCTGAGTTAAACCTCTTGTCTTTATAAATTACCCAGTCTATTTTGATCACCATGGGATCACCATGACCACCCAGCTGGGTCTGTTTCTCTGAGCACCCAAGAGATTTTTTGCTTTGCTCTTATTCTATTTTTTATTAATTTTTATTAGTATTATTATTTTTGTAAAGTTGGGGTCTGGCTCTGTTGCCCAGGCTGGTCTCAAACTCCTGGCCTCAAGCAATTCTCCCACCTCGGCCTTCTGAAATGTTGAGATTACAAGCATGAGCCAATGCATCCAGACTACTTTGTTCTCACTCTATGTGAGGCCTCTGTATGTCTCCCCCAGACTGCTCTTGCTTGTCCTGGTGATAATCTCGTGTCCACTTCAGACTGCCTTGGCCTCAACTGACTGCCACTAGCAACAGATGCTGAGTCTTCAACCACCCACCACCCAGTTCACTGCCCTGAAAGTTCTAGCCTCTGCAATGGGTCACCTCTAACATGCCATGATGGACACCATGGCAGGCCCCTGGCTGCTGGCTCAGTGTTCAACTAACATAGTGACCAAGGCAGCTGGAGAAGGCAAGACCCTGGCTTCCCAGGGCCACCTAGTGCCACAGGTTGATGTGGCCATTCCCAGGCTGGTGTGTGGCAGGCTCTGCTTTCTATGTGGCCTTCACCTTGCCTGCACCCATGCCCCTCACCAGCTGTATTAGTCTGTTCTCACGCTGCTATGAGGAAATACCTGAGACTGGGTAATTTATAAAGAAAAGAGGTTTAATTGACTCACAGTTCCACATGGCTAGGCAGGTCTCAGGAAACAGAAGGGCAGAAGGAGAAGCAAACATGTCCTTCTTCACAAGCTGGCAGGAGAGAAAAGTGCCAGCAGGAGAAATGACAGATGCTTATAAAACCGTCAGATTTTGTGAGAACTCACTCACCATCACGAGAAAAGCATGGGGGAAACTGCCCCCAGGATCCCATCACTTCCTGTCGGGTCCCTCCTGTGACACATGGGATTATGAGAACTATAATTCAAGATGATATTTGGGTGGGGGCACAGCCAAACCATATCACCAGCCTAAGCCTGGAAGGAACAATACAGCAGACCCAGGCCCAGCCGCTTGCCAGCCGAGCCCCTCTCCTTCCTGGTCCTTATGTTTCCCAGGCTGAAAGGGGCTCCAACTTGTCCTTTGCTTCTCTTGCCTCACTCCCTCTTTCTCCCGGGCTCCAGCCAAGCCAAGAGACTCTCCTCTATGCTATGGAAGAAGTCTTTGAGAAGAGTCACCCAGGCTCCATTGCTGAAATGTTAAAGGGGGAGCGACAGAGATGTGGAAATGGGTTTTGAAGACAATAGCCTGGCACGCATAGCTCTCTTATTGCTGAAGGATCAGATTCTGAATGTCAAGGGCTGCATACGAAGCTTTTCTCTCTCTTTGCATTTCTTAAATAACTTTTCTCATTCCCTCCCACTCGCAAACAAGAATGTTTGGGGCACATGAAAGCATTGCTGTCCAAAAGAACTTTCTGCAATGGTGGAAATACCCTCTGTGCCATCCCCACGCTAGCTGTATGTGGCCACTGAGGACTTGAAACATGGCTTGTCGGCTAGAGGAATGGACTTTTTCATGTATTTCATTTCAGGTAACTTACATGAAATTAGCCACATGTGCTAGTGGCTACTACTCTGGGTAGCACAGAACTAGTGTACAGGTCTCTTCAGCAAAGCAAAAGAGAAACGCACAATCGTTTTTTTAAAATCTACCCATCCCCCTTCACTGCAGGTGGGAAGAGCTGTGCAATTCTGCATCCTCCTGCTAGGACACATGCTCTGGTGGGTCAATTATTTCACACTCAAGATTTCTCCATCATCACCCACAGACACAACAGCAACAGGTGTTTTTACAGCACCGCATACCTCCCTGTCTCTGAACATCGCCTGCCAGAGGTTCACATCGTTTCCAAGAGACAGATCCGTAATCTAGACCACTGGCTTTCTCATATTTCTCATGTTCCTTGTTTTCTTTTGAGAGTTTCCTCCTTAGCATCAGGGGCCTTCAGGAAAAATGTCAGTGAACAGCAGGAAACAGTTCCATAGCAGCTCACTCTCTCAGGCCCCAGGAGGTCGCAGAAGGGCAACCTCCCGGTTTGGCTTATTTTCCCTGGGAAGTGTCTGTCGTTCAGGCCTCTTTAAGGAGTCAGTCCGCTGAGCCCTGCTGAGCACTGGGGCTCCTGTGCGTACTGTGGAGGCTGCATTGCAAGATAATCCCGAGAAGCTGGAGGGCCCCAGAAACCAGGGGAAACCCTCTACCTCATCCCCTAACTCTGAGTTCTAAAACCACGAGGTCCTCATACTGTGCCCCTGGGCTCACCTAGGATAAAAGGAAAGGAACACGATAGATAGATGCGGAGAGAAAATCACCTTCCACCACAGTCTGGAGTGGGGTTCAAAGAAGTGATCACACTGCCAATCCCACGCTGGCTTTGAAGATGAGTAATTGGCAAGAGCAGTGATTAAAAACTTACCTTTGTATGGTAAGTTTCTCATATAGCATCTCACTTAAATCCTCTCAAGCCCAAGCTGGCAGCATTATAAATGTCCTCAACCGTGAGAAGAGAAAGCCAAGCCAGCAGGGGTCAGTGCACTCTGAAGTCACACACCAGGAATTGGTGGGGCAGGTCGACTGTCTCTGGAGCCCAGAGTGGCATGGGGTTCAGGGGAGAGCTGCAGCCACAGAGATGAGAGTGTTGGGTGTGACATATGGGAAGGAGGAAGGAGGTGATCACCAAGAAACACTCTTAAGAGGACATAAGACATATTCTAGGCCCCAGATAGCACTGACCTTGACTGTACTAAAGCAATCAATACCCCTGGCCCGCACACTGCCTGCCAGCCTTGGGTAGAAGCACTTAGGGTCACACCACATTTTTCAGTTTGTCAGGTTCTTTGTACTTGCACAATCGCATTTGATCCTCACAGCCAAAGGACCGCGAAGTAGGAAGTCACGGTAGTTCTTGAAGCCTCCACGTGGGTGGGAGAGCTGCAGTACAGAGGGATTCAGAAAGCTGCTTCATGTTAAACAGCCCAAGAGTGACAAGACAAATATTTCATTTATTTTTAATGCTATGTTTTTAGAGAGGGGGGTCTCACTCTGTCACCCAAGATGGAGTGCAATGGTGTGATCATAGCTTACTGCAGCCTTGAACTCCTGGCAGCAAGCAATCCTCCAGCCTCAGCCTCCTGAGTAGCTAAGACTACAGGTATGCACCACCATGCCTGGCTAAAGAGTAAGGATTCTGCCAGGCACAGTGGCTCACATCTATAATCCTAGCACTTTGAGAGCCGAAACTGGAGAATTCCTGGAGGCTGGAAGTTTAAGACCAGCCTCAGCAACATAGCAAGACCCCAACTCTATTCAAAAATATTTAAAAATTTTAAAATTAGCCAGGTGGGGTGGCAGGCACCTGTGGTCCCAGCTACTCAGGAGGTTGAGATAGGATTGGTTGAGCCTGGGAGGTTTAGGCTGCAGTGAGCTGTGATTGCGCCCTGCACTCCAGCCTGGGTGACACAGCAAGACCCTGTCTCCAAAATAAATAGTAAGTGAGGATTCTAACCTCTGCCTCTGCCTCCCGGTCCATGGCTCTTTTCTGTGTAGGTGAGGCCCACTGTAGCCCCTCCAGGGACTGGCTGTCTGTTCCACAGCTCAGCATGTCCATCACTCTGCTCTGTCTGTCCTCTCTTCTCCAGCCATCCCAGCAGGAGGGGGTGAGTGCCTGGACCCTTCTTTAATTGCCACTCCCTGTCTCATCAGTCCTCACCTGGACATTACTCCTGGAGTGAGTCAAGAGGAGCCTCAAGAACTCCCTCCTTAGAGGAGCCCACGCCGCGCTCCTCTGCGGGGCGGGAGCCAGCCCACACTTCCAGCCTGGGTTGTGTCATCAAGGACCCCGGCCGGGGCCAGGCCCACCACCCATCTGCTGGCACATCTCCATTAGTCTCCACAGTCTTTCCCTGCAAGACTGCTCTGCAGAGCTTCACACAGACAGCCTGCTGGGCCCCGCAGCTCTGCAGCCAGCCCCGGGGCCAAGAGCCTACACAAAGATGTCCATGGGAAAGAGCTCCATGCCTGGTCAATTTATGGTCCCATGATGATGCCCGCCTTCCGAAATGCTTCCTCTCTTCTCTCCTGAGTGGCTCCCGAGCCTGGGAGCCAGTAGGGTGGACAGCGCAGCCCCTTCCCCACCCCTACTGAGGCTGCTTTATCAGGGGAAAGCAAGCCCAGGTGGCTCTGGGCCAACCAAACAGCTACTACCCCCGGGAAGCCCCAGCCTGGATGTGCTCCCTCAGCCAGGGTGGTCCAGGAAGAGGCTCAGAGTTCCCAGAAGCCACCTGAGCACATTCTGCATTGGCCCCTGCACACACCAGCCTCTGCCCCGCTGCCCTGGAGCTGCTCCCAGGAGACAGTGGTGCTTCCTGCAGCCACGCCACCCAGGCTCATCCTTCTGAGGGGCTGCCAGCAGGAGGAGAGGGGAGGGACTGGGGCGTGGAGGCAGGAAGGACTGGGCCCCCTGCCCTGGCTGCCCACAAGCAAGACCCTCAAGCCTGCATCCCCAGGAATACCTCTGTCCTTGGGTCCTCATCTGAACAAGGAAAACAAAAACACTTGCCTGGCCGATCTCCTTCCTTCATGCATTCATTGAGCACCTACTGTATGCCAGGCACTCTGCTGGGCACTGTGCAGATACTCAAGAACAAACCATCAGGGCCTGCTCTCCTCGAGCTTACTGCCTTGTTCCCAAAGGAAATCACTCATCGTGCTGTCTTGGGGGGCGGCACCTGGCACACACGCAACCACATCTCCATAAACGTTTGAGGACTCAGCTTAATTAACACATGCCTTTTTGCTCAGGGCTGCTATGAGATGCTTAAGAGACAGTGCAGGATCAGCACTTTGTAAATTATAAAGGGATTATACAAACGTCAGGGACGATTTGATTGAGGCCATGACAGAGCCAGAGCTCTGCCAGGCAGCTCCGAAACGGAAGGGAGAGGTGTGGCCCGTGCCTGCAGGGAGAATTTCGCAGGTCTGATGGGGAGAAGGCACTTCAGCTCCGAAGCAGGGCAAGACCACCCATAGAGGAACCCTGTGACCTTGGGCCAGAGGACTTGCCTGTGGCCAGATTTGTAAGGCTCACCGCATGGTGTCCTTGCAAAGGGGTTCCCCAGACTCTCAGTGGGACTTTGGGCCTTTCAGAAAGACACTAAACTAATTAGGCACATAGGGAGGTAGTTAATTCAGGCAGCCGCAATTTTTTCTATTTTAGAAATCATAATTATTTACAATTCTTAAAAATTCAATTTATTGAATTAAAAATGCAATTAATTACAATTCTTAAAAAGAAGACAATTTTCTTCTTCAGCTCTCAGTCTCCCTTTTGCCTAAACTTTTTAACCCCAGATATAGACATGAGGTCCGCTGGAACTTGGTTCTCACTCCTCTGTACTCAAAGTTCATGTCAGCCCTCCTTCCACTGCCCTGAGCCCAAGGCGTTTATCATTTTCACTAAAGTTCCTTAACATTTCTGAGCTCAGCTATTGTGAAGGCTGGATGTGCTCCTTACCTCCCTTCTAAGCCACACTAACCCAGGGGCTTGCATTCTTTCGTGATGAATTCCTTCCATTTCAGTGAGTCAACTATCTGAGAACTTAAGTACTTTCTTGTTTTCTCTGCCTCAAGCAAATATGAGTGAGACACCTCCGATGAATTGACTGATTTATCAGTTGATTGATTTCTGGCCACTGTCACCTTCTTGTTCCACAGAGCGATTCATTTCCAATGATGAGATCACCACTCTGAAAATACTAATCAGCAGTAAAAGGCCAAAAAAAGGGAATGAGAGTTCCAAGACTGCTTAAGATACTACTTTGCCAAACACACACACACACACATACACATGCGCGCACGCATGCACCCACATCAGACCTACAAGAAGGTTTCCTTCCTAAGAAAGCCATTTGAGGAGCAGCTAAGACTTAGGTTTGCTTTTGTCACATTTTGGGAGCTGATTCTCTAATCTTCCTCAGCCCTGGCTGTATAAGACCTTTTTCTTTCCAAAGTTGGGGGATTTGAGCCAGGGCTCTCAGCTCCCCTGAGTGGGGCATGGGCCTGGACACCTGTACTGCATTTGGCAGAGGCTCCACGGGCATCAATTGAATTCATCTCAATCAACTGGGATTGAATGGGAATCATCCATAAAGCCGGCTGAAGAGCAGGCACAGCTCCAGCACCACCATGTATTCATTCAATCAGTCAATAAATAATCACAGATGCTGAGAGGCTGAGGCAAGAGGATCGCTTGAGCCCTAGGAGGTTGTGGCTGCAGTGATCATACCACTGTGCTCCAGCCTGGCAACAGAGCGAGACCCTGTCTCAAAAAAATAAATTGAATAAATAAATAAATAGTCACAGAGGCTGAGAATACACTGGGCCTAGAGGGACTTCTGGTCCTCAAAGAGCTTGCATCCTCATGGCATCTGGTCTGGCCTACTCCCACCTGCTCTTTCCCTGTTATCAGCTGTCCCCCTACAAAAGAATTGGAAAGCAGACACTTTCCTCTTGAGCCACCCTGTAAAAGCCACCATTGCCCCTTTCCCTCACCAGATCAATACTGCAGTCTGTGTAGCCTTCGGAGAGCCTTCCCGGAAACGTGGTCTCCAGGCTGGCTGCACTTTAGAATCACCAGTGCTGCTTTTAAAGCATACATACAACCAGGCCCTACCGGGAGATGTTCTGGTTTAATAGGCCAGGGCTGGAGCCGGGTTTCTGCCAGAGAATTTCTGTTTTCATTTCTACCTCCCATCAAAATTAGCTGTGTGTGTGATTGTGTGTGCGCAAATGTGTGTGTGTGTGATTGTGTGTGCGTGTGTGTGTGTGTGTGTGTGAGTACAGGGGAGGTCTTTGCCAGTGCCAGAGGTGGAATCCCCACCTCTCTACCAGCCCTGATTGAGACTGAAACATCCAGACAGTGAAAGGCAGTTGGTGGAGTGGAGAGAAGGCTGGACCGGTAGTTGGGAGATCAGGCTCCTAAGTTTAGCTGCACATTCACCAGTGACATGACTTTGAACGCATCTCTCCACCCCCTGGGCCTCAGTGACTTCAGGTAAGGGCCCTGGGGGTAAGTCACCAGGTGATCCAAGATTCATTCCAGCTCTGACAGTCCATGACTCTGATACAATGACTCAACCCCTTGGGTGAAAAAAAGGAGATTTGCTAATTGCCCCATGATCTGGTTGGGTTTTATCAAGGGAGAAATTTAAATACCATTCTCCAGGGAACATAAAAGGTTAGAGGTTCCTAAGCCAAGGAGACTAGAGAACTCCCTTTTAGAACCTTCTGCACACAACAGAGGCTCAGTCACTCTCACACATGATAGATGGCAGCTTGGAGCTCCCTTCCTCGCTCTGAAATGGCACTGCATCTCAGCTTCACCAAGGACCCCTGCTGCATGCAAAGGCACATGAAACAATGTGATTGGCACTGCTTGCCTGCCTCTCTATTATTCTGATCCTCGTCAAGTTTAAGAGACAAGGCTGGAGTACACTGGTGTGATCATAGCTCACTGCAGCCTCAAACTCTTGGGCTCAAGTGATTCTCCCGCCTCAGCCTCCCAAGTAGCAGGGACTAAAGGTGTGCACCACCATGCCCATCTAATTTATTTTATTTTATTTTTTGTAGAGACAGGGTTTTTCTATGTTGCCCTGGCTGGTCTGGAACTCCTGGCCTGATATGGTTTGGCTCTGTGTCTCCACCCAAATCACGTAATAGAGTTCTCATGAAATCTGCTTATTTGGAAGTGTGTAGCACCTCCCGCTTCTCTCTCTCTCTCTCTCTCTCTCTCTCCTGCTGGCCATGTAAATATATGTGCTTGCTTACCCTTCACCTTCCATCATGATTGTAAGTTTCCTGAGGCTTCCCTAGGTAGGCCTGCAAAACTATGAGCCGATCAAACCTGTTTTCTTTATAAATTATCCAGTCTCAGGTATGTCTTTAAAGAAGTATGAGAATGGACTAATACATGGCTTCAAGTCATCTTCCCACCTTGGCCTCCCAAATTATTGGGATTATAGCTGTGAGCCATGGCACCAGGCCTGTATTAGCTTTAGAATGAGCCTGCCAAGTCAGAACTTGGAGCTGCTGGAGTAGAAACAGGTTTTCTGCTCTGGTTTTGCAGACTCTGGGTCCACCAGATGACAGTCACTACCCAAGATCAGTAGGGGCTGAAGAGCTCTCCAGGCTGATCAGGTGATGAGTGATTGTTTCCAGGAAAGTTACAAATCAATGGAGTTTTCCCATTGGCTTAGAAAGTCAGCCTGTCAATCTGCTGCTCAGCCTCCAGAGCCCTAACAGAGAGCAGATGGCTTTGCTCCTTGACAGGCTGATAGGAGCAGCTCATCGTGCTTGTCCATCATCAGTCTGCTCTCAGATTGAGAATCAGAGCTTGACAGCAAGGCTCAAAGCAGAAGGCAGCCCTGGGGTCAGTCAGTTCCCAGAAGAGCCCTGAAAAACTAGCAGAGGTCTTTGGGGCTGAAGTGACACATGTCTGCAGCCATCTCATGTAACATCACCTCTAATACTTAATTTCTCTGGTCCATGTGTCTCAAATGGCAACTTCTGAACATGCCCCTGGACACTGACACCCCAAGGGATGGCAGTGTGGCAGCAGCCCTTGTTTACCTGGGCTCTTCCTCCTGGAGTTCATTTAGGTTCTTCCTACCTGGGTTCCCCACCTTGCAGTGGTCAGGGAAGGCCTTTGCAGAGCACAGGAAAGGCCAGGATTTGCCAGCCATTCTGAAGCAGCCAGCTAGCAGCAACGAGAGGTGGCAGAAGTCATTTTTCCTCTTTCACCTCTAGCACTGGTCATTGTTGGAGACTTGGATGTGCCCCCAGAAGGCTATAGCCACCTCTGTCCTTGTAGATGGAGCTATCCTGGTCCAAAAGGAAAAGAGCTTGGTAGAGGAAAGAGCAGATATGGGGGCCCAAGCAAAGAATTGCTGACTCTCCTCTGCAACTCCCTTCTCAGTTCATAACTGCATCTCACTCAGAAGGGCCAGGCAACACAGCTCATGTTCCCAGCACTTTGGGAGACAGAGGCAAGAGGATTGCTTGAGAACAGGAGATCGAGAACAGCCTGGACAATATAGTGAGACTTCGCCTCTACAAAAAATAAAAAATTAGCCAGGCACGGTGGTATGTGTCTGTAGTCCCAACTACTCGGGAGGCTAAGGCTGGAGAATCGCTTGAGCCCTGAGTTCAAGGCTGCAGTAAGCTATGATTGCACCACTGCCTCCAGTCTGAGCACAAATCTTTACTAAGACCCTGTCTCTGAAAATAAAGGCTTCTGTGGCTTTTCAGCAGAATAGATTCCAACTCCCCCAAGCCCAGTCAAAGCTTCTCAAATCTGGCCCCACTGGACTACCCCAATGTGTCTCCCATCCCTTGGTGTGGACACAGCCTTGGTGAGCACGCTTCCTCAGCCCTGTCCACTTCCCAGTCTAGGCCAGTGCTCACATCTCCCTGTCCTTCTGGCCCTCACCCCCATCCATCACATGCACAAATGCTGCTCCCCTCTCCCCTACACCCATCGAATCCAAGCCATTCTCCAAGCAGCACCTAAAGACCCAGCTCTTCCAAGAGTGCTCCCTAAACACTCCAGCAGACATTGTTCCCCCTTTGCTCTGAAATACTCTATTCTTGCCATTTGCTATCCTTATTAGAGGAACTTCAAGTCCTGATGAAGCCATGATTCATGGTTTTATGACTTCCACTAGATCGTTTGCACTGAAGGGGAGAAAGCCCTGAATAACAGACTCCAGACTTAGTGCTCCAAGAGTCTAAGCCACTTTCCACTCCAGAATTGCTGCACTGGGGCAGGATGGAGTGGAGCAGGGTGGGAGCTGGTATAGTGTGAATGTTCCTGCTTGAAAGCTCATGACCTTTGTATATATTGCCTTCAGCCTTGCCCTGGTTCTATGACACTGAGTCACCCAACTTGTTTCTGGGTCTATTTCTAATCTGTGTCCCCGGACAACTCAGGAGAGTGTCATTCACTTAGACTGTAAATGACTGTTACCCCCTAGATTGCTCAGTACACAACCTGCAACAACCACACGTAGCAGTCCTGTCCAACACCTGGAAGTCCGTCTTTGTGTAGCTGTCTATCTATGGCCCCCAGCAACAAAAGGAGATCACACAGAGGATGAGTTCAGTTGAAAATGCAGCCTGTGGCCTGGAGAGGGACAGCCTATGTTCCCTGGCATTCTCTGGTTCAAGTGCCAGGAACCAGGCTGAACCACCACCTGGCATCTTGTCATGCCCTCGCTCCCTCTCCATGATGAGGAAGCCCTGGGCAAGACCTTGGGCCAAGCCAAGGGTTGACCCACATTGCTGTTGCCTGGGATTCTGACAGTCATCACCATTCATTTGAAACTTTTGGCTAAAATTCTTAGAAGCTCCTGAATTTCAAGTGACTTCCCAACATACAGTCCCTCTCCATTTTCTTCATTTTCTATTCCCCAGGGAGCACACTGACCTCATGGGCTGCCCACATGCTTGTGGGGAGCCCATCATGGAGGGGACTGAGCCTGAGTCATTCTATTAAGAGTTTCCAAACCGTGCGTCAGCATGGGCCACTCTGCAGCAAGCAGGAAATTATCAGTAGAAGTGGAAGTGACAGGGCGTTTAGTAAACATTCAACCAAGGGAGCTTAAAAGGTCTTGGAGCATTGTTAAATAAACATTTAGGATGACTGAGAGGGCAGAATATGAAATGGAAAAGAAAGTGTAAACACGTTCTGTGGGTGGGAGAGGATTTGTCGTTCTTCCATCTTCTGGTCACAGGGCTATGAGGATGCTAGGCATCATCTGAATGAAGCTGTTACTTGAAATAAAAGTACGCTTTCCAAGATGGAGAACCAATCAACAGACATTCAGAGGAAAGGAACTGGGTCTATTTGTTCATCTCGATAGTCAGGTTTGACTCTGATACTCATGTCCTGAGATGCTAGGCCAGGTCTAAGAGGGTCCCAGGGCACACCTGGCTCAGGACCTCACCCTCCGAGATGCCCAACAGGCAAACCAGCGCTGGGACCGAACAGCCTCACCTGAGTTCCAAGTAGCTCATGTGAGCCTCAGAACAACCCCAGGAGGCAGGCATTCTCACCAGGGGTAGACTGATGCTGAGAGAGATGAAGGGCACAGAGGGAGTGGCAGAACCACAGTGGGGACTTGGGGACTCCAATCTGTGTGCTCCAGAGTCCCCACCTTCAGCAGCACCCTGCATTTCCATGAAGCGCCATGAGGTGCCCCCGCCAAGCCCCTCCCAGGGCATCACAAAGAGGAGCAAAAGGGAGAGACAGAGGCAGTGGAGGGCCAGGCCCACAGCAATGGAGTGATGACCAGAGTGACGAGAATGTGGGTGGTGGAGATCCAGACCTTGGCAGCATCACAGCGCACAGCATTTGCTGGCCCTTCTTTGCTCTAGAAGGTTCTCTGCTGCTAATTTGTAGGAGGTTAATTTCTTACATGTCTCCAATCAGTCCAGGGAAAGGGCAGAGAGGAATCAGCCTGGGAGCAGGCCTGGGTCAAACAGGGGGCTTTTGGGGGAAGCCAGCCTACCCATTCTGGCAGTGTCACACTTAACAAAGAATCTGGAAGCCTTTCTCCTGTTCTGCCACAGTGGCTCAAGTTGGCTAGTAATCTTCTCAGGGCTTTATTTATTCCCGATTTCCTACAAATGCAGAAGACATGAACATAAGGTTAGTGGGCATGTCTTCTAAGGATGATCCCCCACCCAAAACACACACATACACACACAAACACACATACGGACACACACAGACACACGGACACACAAACACATTTGCATACATGCACACATGCAAGCCCACACATGCACACATGCACAGAATGCACACATATGCACACACACTAACACACACAGACACATGGGCACACAATACATGCAAACACAATGCACACACATATGTGTAAACAGACATCCACACATACATGTAAACACACATGCACACACAAGCATGCACGTGCACACACATGTACATGCAAGCACACACATAGACACATGGACATGCAAACATGTGCATACATAAACACATGCAAGTACACACGTGCACACATGCACAGAATGCGCACACACAGACATGGGTACACAAACACATGTGCATGAACACACAAGCAAACACACATGCACACACAAACATGCATATACACATGTACACAATGCACACGTGCACACACGAGCATGCACACATGAAAACACACGCATATGCATACACACATACATGTACCACCCCCTTCCCGAAATAACTAGGACGACCAAACACCAGGGATTGCCACAGTCCACCTCCCCACAAGGGAGCCTCAGCTGGGCTGTGCCTTCTACTCTGGCACCTGGAGTTCGTAAGAACTTAACAAAGCGAAGCAAAGCCAGGCAAGGCAAGTAAATAAATAATGATTCAAGAAGTGCAAGAAAACAGCAGCAGAGCCAGATGCATCTAGCATCTTTTCCAGAGCTTCCACAACAGGCTATGACCTTGCCTGTGTTTGCAGGCTTATTCCATATCTCTGGTTCTTTAACTACCTCCATCCTCGAAGCTGCCCCAAGGCTCCCCATTATGCAAGCTGGAAGTAGGGGCCAACACCCCAACTGCTCTCCGTTAGACTTGCACAGTCTGCCAGTATCTCGCTTGTTGCTCCCTCTCAGTTTTCTCTCTCCTGACCCCAGGTTTCTCTGGCATCTCAGGGTCTGTGTCACCCTGGCTTTCCTAAGTGCTCCCATCCTTCCAGGACCTGCTCCACCTTCCTCTTTAGGAAGACTCCCTCGCCCACTCCAGGCCAAAAAGACTCCTTCTTCCCCTGAATCCCTCCAGCATTTTCAAGCCTAGAGCTTGGCTTCCTCCCTTTATGCCAAGCCAATTAGTCCTGACTCGTCACTTAGGCCCTAAATCCTTGGGATCAGAGACCACAGTGCTGTTTCTTTGCCACCTGGCACATCACGAGGGCTTGTTAGCTGGCCGGGAGGGGAACATCTGTCCTTTTTGTGATCCATCCAGGCCAGCAGTAATCACGGCAACTGGGCTGGCAGCTGCTGGCTCTGGCTGGACAGGCTGGTCCAAGGCCCAAGTGAACATACTCCAGAGACCTGGGAACTTCAGCAAAGCCTCGGCACCTGCCCAGATCTGCAACAGGCTCAATCTGTACCTCCAACATCAAACTTGGACCTCACTTCTGCTGTGTTGAACTAGATCAGTGACACAAAGAAAGGGGAAAGAAAGAATATTAAAATAGCCTTCACAATTCCATATTCAATCAGTTATGAACTTCCACAAACAAGGTTCAATCTTCTCCAAATGGAAGTTACTTTGATACTATAGTACAGTGACTCAAAAGAACATTTACTGTTTGTATGGTTGCAACTGCTGGCAGGGCCTCTCTGAAGCCTCACACATGTATATTTCCTTACATGGGCTAGGATTTTTAGCTCTCTTTTTGTTGTAACATAATTATACATTTTATATGTGAGGCTCTTTCCATGTGGGTATTTTTCAAAATGCTGTAGGAGTTCCCATGTTGGATGGAGTTCCCAAAAACATTGACAGGGAGAAGTGAGAGGAAGCAGAAGGTCCGCAGTGAGGCCATTTGTGCACATGTAAGACTGTGGTGTCCCTGTTCTGGTCTGCAAGAGAGACTCCAGGCTTTAGAACAAGATGTGGGTGTCAACTCCAGGTCTGCCACCTAGATCTATGTGCCCTTAGACCAGTGACTGACTGTCTGAGAGAGATCCTCTTTTTTTATATCTGTAATAAAAGGAGTATACAGATATTCCTTGCCTCACAATAAGGTTATGTCCTGATAAACTCATCATAAATTGAAAATATCCCAAGTTGAAAATTCATTTAATACATCCAACCTACTGAACATAACTCAGCCTAGCCTACTTTAAATGTGCCTGAGCACTTACCTTAGCCTACAGTTGGGCAAAATCATCTAACACAAGTCTTTTTTTTTTGAGACAGAGTTTCGTTCTTGTTGCCCAGGCTGGAATGCAATGGCATGATCTCGGCTCACCGCAACCTCCGCCTCCCGGGTTCAAGCGATTCTCCTGCCTCAGCCTCCCAAGTAGCTGGTATTACAGGCAGGCGCCACCAAGCCCGGCTAATTTTTGTATTTTTAGTAGAGACGGGGTTTCTCCATGTTGGTCAGGCTGGTCTTGAACTCCCGACCTCTGGTGATCCAGCTGCCTCAGCCTCCCAAAGTGATGAGATTGCAGGGATGAGCCACCGTGCCCGGCCACAAAGCCTATTTTATAATCAAATGTTGAGTTCTGTACACACATGGGCATTTTGCAGACACGATGGAATGAGAAACAAAACACAACATCCAATAAACACTGGCAACACAGTACATCAGAAAGTGCAGGTCCCAGGACCCCCAACCTGTACCAAAATTCACCATACTCAAGTCTCTGATATAAAATTGTATAGTCTTTGCATGTCACCTGCCCATACCCTCCCATATACTCTAAATCAGGAGTGTCCAATCTTTTAGCTTCCCTGGGCCACAGTGAAAGAAAAAGAATTGTCATGGGCCACAAATAAAATATACTAACACTAAAGATAGCTGATGAGCTAAAACAAAAATCACAAAAAAAACTCATAATGTTTTAAGAAAGTTTCTGAATCTGTGTTGGGCTGCATTCAAAGCCATCCTGGGCCACATGTGGCCCACAGGCCACAGGTTGAACAAGCTTGCTCTAAATCATCTCTAGATTACTTACAATACCTAATATTTAATGCAATCTAACTGCTATGTAAATAGTTGTTATACTGTATTGTTTAGGGAATAATAACAAGAGAAAAGTCTGTGCATGTTCAGTACAAATGCCACCATCTGTTGTTGTTGATTTTCCAAGAATATTTTCAAGTTGCAGTTGGTTGAGTCCACAGATGTGGAACCCCGGGATACAGAGGTTGATTCTATCGGCCGTTCACCCTTGTGATTGCAGGGCTGACTAGGAGCTGCGGCTCGCTGCTCTCTAGCATCAAGAGACAGCATCAAATGCATATTGCTAGCCTGGGAAAAGGTTATAATTCAAAATTCGAAGTGCAGGTCCATCTGTGTTAGTCTCTTATGGATGCCATAACGAAATACTACTATCCAGGAGGCTTAAAGCAACAGAAACATATTCTCTCAGAGCTCTGGAGGCCAGAAGTTTAAATTCAAGGTGTCGGCAGGGCTACACTGCCTCTGTAGGTGATGAGGAAAAACCTCCTTGCCTCTCCAGCTTCTGGAAGCTGCCAGCAAAGTTTGGCTTACAGACACATGGCTCCAATCTTTGCCTTGGTCATACAAATCTCCCTCTCCTTTCTCATATAAAAACAGCAATCATTGTGTTTAGGGCCCATCTTAATCCAGTATGACCTCATTTTAATTTGATTACATCTACAAAGACCTTATTTCCAAATACAGTCTCCTCAGGTACCAGGGATTAGGACTTGAACACATCTTTTGGGGGACACAATTCAATTGGCTATAAGCAGATTGTTTTTTGGGAAAAACAAAATCACAGAACACGCAATGATTGGTCCATAGAGTGCAATAACTGAGGACCCACTGCGTCATGGTGAACTTGGTCTGCACAAGGATGGGGCCTGAAAAGCCCAGGATGGTGGGTTTGGCCCCATAGCTGGCCCCAGGAAGCAATGTGCAAAGGTTAACAGCAGTAGCATGCTTCCTACCAGCCCCTCTGGTTGAAAAAAGGTGCCCACCAGCTTCAATTATAGATAACAGGGCTAAGCTCCCAGAGAAAGAGGTTGACTGGTATTTGGGTCCTTAGGGGATGAGTTAGATCACATATTGGAGAAATAAAGCAGCAATCTAGTCACACACACTGACCAAACACGGCAGGATGAGACAGAAGAAACATGCTGAGCACAGAAGTCTCCCTGGCCTAAGGACAGAAAGACCACCTGCTAGAAGGAAAAGGGTTAAGATGTGGCTGCTCTGGTAAGGACTGGCCCAGGGGTGAAATGGGCCTGTTGCTTGGGGAAAAGCCAGAAACGAGAGGAGATTCCCCAGCAACCATGACAGACTTACGTCATTTCCCTCTTTGCAGTGGTGACCTACTGCTGACCCCAGCCAACTCGGAAGGCTGCTTCTCTCTCTCAGTCTCTCTCTGGGGTTTGCATGGAAATCCTACCCTGTTCAAGGGCCTAGTTCAACATCTACTTGCCCTAGAAACCTTCCCTGACCACCCCACACTCCCTAGCCACCTTATAACTTGACTACACCATTTACTCCTGGCATTAGTCCATTCTCATACTGCTAGAAAGAACTGCCCAAGACTGGATAATTTATAAAGGAAAGAGGTTTAATTGACTCACAGTTCAACATGGCTGGGGAGGCCTCAGGAAACTTACAATCATGGCTAAAGGCGAAGTGGAAGCAAGGCACCTTTTCACAGGGTGGCAGGAAGGAGAAATGCTGAGTGAAGGAGGAAGAGCCCCTTATAAAACCATCAGATCTCATGAGAACTCACTCCTCTCAGGAGAACAGCATGGGGGAACCACCCTCATGATTCAATCACCCCCATCCAGTCTCTCCCTTGACACATGGGGATTATGGGGATTACAATTCAAGATGAGATTTAAGTGGGGACACAAAGCCTAACCATATCACTTCTATGAAAGGTTCTATACATTAATCTCTCCTTGTTCCCAAAGGAAACAGGAGTTCCTTGCAGTCATAGACCATGGCTTACTCTCAATTCTTTCATGGCCTCAAGTGTGCTACTCAGGATACAGCAGGAACTCAATAAACACTTGCTTGTCCATTTCTTATTTCTCACCTATCCTCCTTTTTAAAATTTTGTAGATTCTAAAAGAAGGTAAAAAATGTATGTCCATAGCCCAAGACACAAGCATTAACTCTTGGAAGACTTGCTGTTTTTCAGAAATTGATTCTATTCAAGTGACATCACGTTCCAATAACTAACTGTATCACGCTATTCTCTGATTGGTCCAGGAATCCTCCTGTCTCCTTCTTCATCCTCAACCACAACTACTTATTGAGCACCATATGCTAGACACTCCATTAATCATAGGAAAAGCCAATAGGAAAAGTCACAGCATTTAGGAAACCAGAGTGTCTATTTGTCTTGTTATAACATAACGTCGTCCAACTATAGACATTCTGCATGCTTCTGACACACTTGGCAGGGGTTGGCCGTAAAAAACTAGCTGAGTCCCTCTGCTTGGAAAATGAATGAACCAATGGCGAAAAAAAAAAGTGTTTCTGAATTCAAAAGAGAACATGGTGATGATGTGTATAAACACTGCATTTCTCCTCCAAGATGTGGAATTCGAAAGCCATTTTATTTTAGTGTTTGATTTGGGAGATTGGCTTAGTTGCATGGCATGTTATCAATGCAAAAAAATGGAGTTGATATGGGTCTTGGCAGAAGAGGAAGAAATCCAACAGACTTGGCCGCTTTACCTCTCATCTTCCCGTGTGCCCATGATGCAAGCACATCCTCAGCATTTCAAACATAGAAATATCTGTACCCTGGGGAAGATCAAAGTTGTTGCTTGAGGAGGACTTACTAACCTTACTATAACATGATCAAAAGTGCAATATTCCCCTGGTAGAAGGAAAAGAGGAGCTGGTGTGTGCAGAGATCACATGGAGAGAGAGGAAGAAGGAGAGCAAGGGAGGTGCCAGGCTCTAGTTAAAAACCAGTTATCATAGGAACTCAATGAGAACTCCCTCACCCCCGAGGGAGGGCATTAATCTATTCATGAGGGAGCCACCTTCATGACCAAAACACTGGTTGATATGTGGACATAGTTTGGTTGTAACAGAGTCCAATAGGATATTTCCTATAAGTTATAAGAACCTAGATATACTATTTCCTGAATTAAAGTCAACATTTGATTGAACTCTATTTGTAAAGTGTTTAACTTTACACTCATATGTTATTTGCATATTTGCACATTATTATAAATACATAGATATATTATCTAGGCGAAGGTGATTATTAGAATAGTCCCGGGCCGGGCATGGTGGCTCACACTTGTAATCTCAGTGCTTTTGAAAGCTGAGGTGGGAAGATCACTTCAGGGCAGAAATTCAAGACCAGCCTGGGCAACATAGTGAGACACTGTCTCTACAAAAATTGAAAATTAGTCAGGTGAGGTGGCATGCACCTGTGATCCTACTACTCTGGAGACTGAGGCAGTAAGATCACTTGAGCCCAGGAGTTTGAGGCTGCAGTCTGCACCACCACACTCCAGCCTGGGCAACAGAGTGAGACCTTGTCTCTAAAAAAAAAAAAAAAAAAAAAAAAAGAAGAAGAAAGAATAGTAATCTCCTGGAATTACATTCAATGTGAAGAATAGAACAGTCACTCTCAACTGGAAGGAATGAGTATCAGAAACTCACATACTACCCTACGCCTTTCCACCCTGCCATGGTTTAGGTATGGTTTGTTTGTCTCCTCCAAACCTTATACTGAAATTTGATTCTCAGTGTTGGAGGTGGGACTATTGGGAGGTGTTTGGGTCATGAAGGTGGCTCCCTCATGAATAGATTAATGCCTTTCCTTGGGAGTGAGGGAGTTCTCATTGAGTTCCCATGATAACTGGTTGTTAACTAGAGCCTGGAACCTCCCCACTTGCTCTCCTGCTTCCTCTCTGTCCGTGTGATCTCTGCACACACCAGCTCCCCTTTGCCTTCTGCCATGAGTGGAAGCAGCCTGAGGCCCTCCTCAGATGCACGCACCCAATCTCGAACTTTGCAGCCACCAGAATTGTGAGCTAAATAAACCTTTTTTTCTTTATAAATTGCCAGGCTTAGGTATTCCTTCACAGCAACACAAAATAGATTAAGACACACCTCAAACATGCCTCTGAAAGTAGGGTAGTCCCCCTACCATATGTATTTTCAAAGCTCCTCATGGGACCCAACCAGTCACTGAGGGCATTGAGAGAACCCTGGATTTGGGTGAAAACGTGATTGGTTTCTAAGCAGCTGAGGTGATAAGTAATTAACATGATTACTTTCTGGTTCTGCAAATTCCTGTTCAAGCTGCCAAGGAGATCATTAATAACAGCATAATGTCTCTTAGCCCTGACAAGAACTTTCTATGCAAGCCAACTTTCTTGTCAGGGCTAAGGAGGTAAAAGTGATCCTGAATCCCTGACTTGAGACTCTCATGCTACCTCACCTATTTTGGAGATGACTTAGATGAGTCAAATCTCTCTTGGCTTGCATTTCTGTAAGAACTTAATGAGAAAATATGTGTTAAAACACTTTTAAAAGTTTAAACAATATCAGGGATTCTTGCATGGGCAATAAGAATCATAGAATGAAGTACTACAAGGACGTAGAAGTGGAAAAACATATAAGAGAACAGGCCTGTGACCATTTCAAGCCCTGGACCCACAGCTCTCTCTCCAACAGGAGTGACATCTTATTGCTTGATACCCAAATGTCAGCATCAGGGCAGGGCAAAACAACATGGTTTTAGTCTCAGAGACACAGTGGTGATGTTTCTTGGGATCCTCTGTGTCTCATGCAGGTTTGTTTGTTTGTTTGTTTGACAGAGTTTCACTCTTGTCACCCAGGCTGGAGTGCAATGGCGTGATCTCAGCTCACTGCAACCTCTGTCTCCCAGGTTCAAGTGATTCTCCTGCCTCAGCCTCCTGAGTAGCTGGGATTACAGGTGCCCGCCACCACACCCAGCTAATTTTTTTGTGTTTTTAGTAGAGACAGGGTTTCATCATGTTGGCCAGGCTGGTCTTGAACTCCTGACCTCAGGTGATGCATCTGCCTCGGCCTCCCAAAGGGCTGGGATTACAGGCGTGAGCCACTGTGCCTGGCCATGGTGTCAGTTTGTAAAAGAACCATGGAGCCTTGAGAAGAATGTTTTCCCAAGATTTGTGATAAGTGGAATTTTGTGGCATCAACTTCGCTAAAGTGAACTTGGTTTCTCAAATCCCCTTGCATCGTCCCAGGTTAGTGTGGCTGACCAGAAGCATCGTACATCATATTTTGAATCAGAAGTCAGATTCTTTGGACCCTCAGGAGGTCAGGCCAATGTACCACATGCTGTAACATCTCATGCACAGCACCACTTACCTGTGCCTCACCTTGCTGGGGTGGGGACACAACCAGGCCCTCAGCAACCCCAGATCCTGCCAGATCCTCCCCTTCAGCATATTCAACTCCTAGGCCAGGTATGTTTATTTTATTTATTTATTTGTTTATTTATTTATTTATAGAGGCTTAGTCCAGGCTGGAGTGCAGCCCAGGCTGGAGTACAGTGAAGCGATCATAGCTCACTGTGACCTCAAACACCTAGGCTCAAGCAATCTTCCCACCTCAGCCTCCCCAGTGGGTGGGACTACAGGTGTGCACCACCACGACTGGCTATTTTTATTTTTGAGAGACGAGGTCTCGCTATGTTGCCTAGTCTGGTCTTGAACTCCTGGCCTCAAGCAATCCTCCTGCCTTGGCTTCCCTTGTAACTCCAAGTGCTGCAATTACAGCACTTTGGGAAGCCACATCCAGCCACCATTAACATTTTGGTAAAAATTAAAATTATAGCAGGGCTGATTGATTGTTTCTAAATGTACTGGAGAACCTGGAGAAACAAAATAATGAGAGCAGGGCTTAAAATCCCCAAGCTTCCTAAAAGGAACTTGAAAGCTTCTATTCTGGCCCTAAAATAAACCTTTCTCCTGTAGTCACCAGGTTGGGATTTCTGAAAACCAGAACTTAACCTAAAGTCTAGTTCTAGGGTAGCTGAATTGTAAGACAAAGTGAATTCTCAACTTTACAGGGTCTCTAATGTAGTTACGGCACAGATTCTGAAGGAGTGGGACCCTGAAAATTGGGAAAGAGACACAGGGATAGATTCCAACCTGTGAATTTTGCCAATCTCCCTGCCAGTGCCCTGAATGAGGCGGTTAGTGTCCTCTTGGCTGAAGAATCTATGATGCCTTGCCCCAATGTGGAGTCTTTGCAAGGAAGGGATTGTGCCTCTTCAGCCCTACTTTTGTCACCTCTCTTTGCTACAAGAACTACAGCCAGACTCCAGTCCAACAGGCCCCAGAGGACAAAGTATAAAGTGCAATCCAGGAGGAAGTATAATAATACACACCAAAATAATTGCATAATTTTACCAATTTATGTGAACACGAACATGGAGAACATGTGTGGAATGGCTCCTACTGGTGTGGGACCACTGGGAGGAAAATAAAGTTGCAGCAAGCCAAATGTATTGATATGGGCCTACTAGGCAGAGATGCTGGAATCAGTGAGTTATCTCAAGGGGCTGGTAGTGGCACTAACAGTTTACTTGGTTGGTTGACAGAAACCATGACAAAGAGTTGGCCTACACAACGTGGTTAAAATGCCAGATTCTTCGGCATATTGTAGATAATTGTATCAAAAACCTTAGAAGTCAAGAAAATAAATAGACAAGCCACAAACTAGTACAAAATATTTGCAAATCGCATACCTGAAAAAAGGTGCGTATCCAGAATGTGTAAATAACTATCTGAATTCCAAAATATGTAAATAACTATCTGAATTTTAATATATGAATAACTACCTAAGAAGGCATTAGAAACTGTGCAAAAGCCTTGGACAGACATGTCACTAAAGTGGATACATGGATGACAATAGGCACATGAAAAGAGACGGAACTTCATCAGCCATTAGGAAAGTGCAAATTAAACCTAGGCAATGCCATTCAGGACATAGGGCAAAGACTTCATGATGAAAACACCAAAAGCAATTGCAATAAAAGCCAAAATTGACAAATGGGATCTGATTAAACTAAAGATCTTCTGCACAGCAAAAGAAACTAGCATCAGAGTAAACAGATAACCTACAGAATGGGAGGAAATTTTTGCAATCTACCCACCTGACAAAGGTCTAATATCCAGAATCTACAAGGAACTTAAACAAATTTACAAGAAAAAAAACCCCATCAAAAACTGGGCAAAACATATGAAAAGACACTTCTCAAAGGAAGACATTTATGCGGCCCACAAACATATGAAAAAAAGCTCATCACTGGTCATTACAGAAATGCAAATCAAAACCACAATGAGATACCATCTCACATCATTAAAAAGTCAAGAAACTGGTGAGGCTGTCACCAGTCAAGATGCTGGTGAGGCTGTGGAGAAATAGGGACACTTTTACACTGTTGGTAGGAATGTAAATTAGTTCAACCATTGTGACAGACAGTGTAGTGATTCCTCAATGATCTAGAACCAGAAATACCATTTGACCCTGCAATCCCATTACTGGGTATATGTCCAAATGAATATAAATCATTCTATTATAAAGACACATGCACACTTATGTTTATTGCAGCACTATTTACAATAGCAAACACATGGAACCAACCCAAATGCCCATCAATAATAAACTGGATAAAGAAAATGTGGTACATATACACCATGGAATACTATGCAGCCATAAAAAAGAATGAGTTCATGTCCTTTGCAGGGACATGGATGAAGCTGGAAGCCATCATTCTCAGCAAGCTAACACAGGAGCAGAAAACCACACACTGCATGTTCTCACTCATAAGTGGGAGTTGAACAATGAAAACACATGGACACAGGGAGGGGAACATCACCCCCCCGGGCCTGTCGGGGGATGGGGGGCAAGGGGAGGGATAGCATTAGGAGAAATACCTAGTGCATGTGGGGCTTAAAACCTAGATGACAGGTTGATGGGTGCAGCAAACCACCATGGCACATGTATAACTATGTAACAAACCTGCACATTCTGCACATGTATCCCGGAACTTTAAAGAAAAAAAGTGCAAACTAAAGCCATGAAGAGGTAGCACCAAGAGAGATAGAACTACTGGAATGGTTAAAATTTAGAAATATATACTAAGTGTTGGAGAGGATGCAGAGAAACTGAATCTCTCATATAGCCACCCTGAAAAATAGATTGGTTGTTCCTTTTAAAGTTAAATATACACTCCCAATTATTTGCCTTAGAGAAATGGAAACATATTCTCACGAAAACCTGTACACAAATGTTCATAACAGCTTTATTTGTGATAGCTAAAAGCTGGGAATAACCCAAATGCCCCTCAATGGGTGAGTGGATAAACAAAAACAAACAAAATATATATATATATATATATATAATGGAATTTTTGTCATGTGTATTCTTTTCTAACTGACAGAATTTGTAAATACTTGTTGTATATACGATGAGTACATGTCAATTGGGAATGCATACATATATATTGCGGAGTGACCAAGTCAAGCTATTTAACATATGTTTTACCTCACATGCATATTTTTTGTTATTAGAACACTTAAAATCTACTCTCAGCAACTTTCAAGAATACAATACATTGTTATTAACTATAGTCACCATGGTGTATAGTAGATCTCTTGAGCTTATTTCTTCTTTCTAACTGTTCAGCGGTTAAAAAGAAGGAAATCTGATAATTTGCAACAACATGGATGAAACTGGAGGAAATTGCAAGATTTCCCTCTTTCTAAAGGCTGAACAGTATTCCTTTGTGTCTGTGTACCACATTTTCTGTATTCACTCACCTGTTGAAGGATAGTTAGATTGGTTCCATATCTTGGCTCTAGTGAATAATTCTGCAATGAACATGGGAGTGCAGAGAATCCTCTTTTTTTGTTTTGTTTTGTTTTGTTTTGTTTTGTTTTGTTTTTTGAGACAAGGTCTCACTGTTGTCCAAGCTGAAGTGCAGTGGCTCAATCATGGCTCACTACAGCCTCAAACTTGGAAGCTCAAGTGATCTTCCCACCTCAGCCTTCTGAGTAGCTGAGACTACGGGCACTACCATGCCCAGTTATTTTTTTATTTTATTTTATTTTATTTTATTTTATTTTTTAGTTTTTGTAGAGACAGAGTCTTGCTATGTTGCTCAGACTGGTCTAAAACTCCTGGGCTCAAAAAGATCCTTTCACCTCAGCCTCCCAAAGTGTTGGAATTACAGGCATGAGCCACCATGCTCAGCCCAGCTAGTTCTTTAACATATTGACTTCATTTCCTTTGGATAAATACCCAGAGGTGGAATTGCGGGAGCTATACAATAAAATATTACTCAGCAATAAAAAGGAAAAAACTATTGATATACATAATACATTAGATGGGTCTCAAGGTCATTCATTATACTTTAGATGGGTCTCAAGGTCAAAGAGCCCATTTTGAGAGGTCACATGTTACACTATTCAACTTACGTAACAGTCTCAAAATGACAAAATAACAGCGATGGAGAACAGGTCAGTGATTGTGGGGGTTAGGTTTGGAGGAGGGTGACTGTGCAGGGCAGCACGTGGGATTTTCTTTGAGGTATGGAACAGTTCTATATCCTGACTGTAGTGGCCATTATGCAAATCTACACATGTAATAAAATTTTTTGGAACTATACAGCAACAACAAAATCACCATGTAGAGAAGATTTAACAGGATAATTAAATCAATGGGATTTTGGCTCAGGTCTAAGTGTGTCCTTAAAGCCCCAAAATACTCGGTTGCTATTCCCTCTGGGAACTTGAATACATAAACTCAGCAAGGGGAGAATCCTTACATTCCATCCTGACCCACAGAGTGAGGGCTGTAATGGCAGGAAGGCCAAGGAGAAGCCAGGACACCTGCCTCCACCTCCTGAAATACGACACCGAAGGCAACATCCCATTTCTAGAGGGACTGAGAGATTCATACCACAACTAAGACCTTGACAGAGGTAAGAGTGGTGATTCCCACTGCATCGTTGTCAGCTCACATGTTTGACCTGTGCAGAAGGCAGATCTTCAAAATGACAGTGGATTATCATCAACTCAATTAGATGTTGGTTCCAATTTCAGCAGCTATTCCTGATATGTTTTCATTGATGAAGAAAATCAATTGTCCCATAGGATCCACATGCAGCCACCGGTTGAGTGAATGCTTTTTTCTGTATTTCTGTGCTAGCTTCCTAAGGCTGCTGTTACAGAGCACCACAGATTGAGTGTCTTAAACAACAGAAACTTGGCCTGGTGCAGTGGCTCATGCCTGTAATCCCAGCACTTTGGGAGGCCAAGGCGGGTGGATCATCTGAGATCAGGAGTTCGAGACCAGCCTGACCAACATGGAGAAACCCTGTCTATACTAAAAATACAAAATTAGCTGATTGTGGTGCCACACACCTGTAATCCCAGCTACTTGAGAGGCTGAGGCAGGAGAATGGCTTGAACCCAGGAGGCGGGGGTTGCGGTGAGCCGAGATCACGCCATTGCACTCCAGCCTGGGCAACAAGAATGAAACTCCATCTCAAAAAAAAAAAAAAAAAAAAAAAAACACCAGCAACAGAAATTTATCACCTCATGGTTCCCGGACTGGATCTTCACCATCAAGGCATCAGCAAGGCCCTGCTCCCCATGAAGGCTCCAGGGAAGAACGCCCTCGCCTCTTCTAGCCCCTGGTGGCTGCCATCAGTCTCAGGATTCCTTGGCCTGTAGATGGGTCTCCAATGTCTTCCTCCATCTTCACCTGGTGTTCTCCCCCATGTGTCTCTTCTCTTCTTTTTGCAATCTTTAGAAATATTTTATTTTATTTTATTTTAGACACAGGGTCTCACTCTGTCACCCAGGCTGGAGTGTAGTGGTGCAATCATAGCTCACTGCAGCCTCAAACTCCTGGGCTCAAGCAGTCCTCCTGCCTCGGCCTCCTGAGTAGCTGGGGCTGTAGGGAGGCATGTGCCACCACACCCAGCTAATTTTATTCATTTATTTTGTAGAGACAGGGTCTCTCTGCTTTTCTTGGGCTGGTCTTGAACACCTGGCCTTAAACAATGCTTCTGCCTCAGCCTCCCAAAGTGCTGGAATTATAGGTGTGAGCCATCAGGCCTGGCCTCTTTTTTCCTTTTGTAAAGACACCGGTCATATTAAAGATAAGGCCTTACATACTGCAAAGACCCAATTTGCAAATAAGTTTACGTTCTGAAGTTTAGATAGACATAAACTTGGCAGAGGGTGAGGGAGAAGGAGGCAATATTCAGCCCAGCATAATACCTGTTGCTAAGGGCATCAGGATTGGGTTGCTTTTAGCTCATAGGACCAGAAATACACCTTCACTGTCCTATCTCAGAGCTAATCCACCCTCCAGCCCTATGTCATCATCTACTCCATAAGGACCTTGGTAAGTCTCTCCATCCTGCAGGATAGCATACTGACTATTACATGGATAATATATTAATTGGTCCTGGTGAAAAGGAAGTAGCAACTACATTAGACACATTGGTAAGACACACAAATGCCAGACTGTGAGAGATTAATTTCCCACAAAAATTCAGAGGCCTTCCAACTGGGTGAACTGTCTTGGGATCCAGTGGTCTTGGACATGTTGAAATATCCCTTCCAAATTGAAGGGCAAGTTGCTGTATCTGATTCTTCCTACCACTAAGAAAGAGACACAGTGCCTAGCAGGCTTCTTTGGATTTTAGGGCAGCATACACCTCATCTGAGTACTCTGACATATTTACTGAGAAGCCCAAAAAGCTACCAGCAAAACAAGAGAAGGCCTGGCAACAGGTCCAGGCTATGTGGGCTACACGGCTGAGGACATGAATGGTGCTTGAAGCACTTGTGGCAGATATAAATGCCATATGATGGAAACTTTCACAGGTCCCTCTGGAGAAATCATGGCACAGACTGCTGGCATCTGGGAGCAAAGCAATGCCATCCTCTGTGGTGAGCCATTGTCTCTTTGAGGAGCAGCTCCTGGGGTGCTACATGGCCTTCATAGATTGGATGCTTGACCATGCACCACTAAGTTATTGTGGAACTTGAACTGTCTGTCATGAACTGTGTGTTGTCTGATCCACCAAGCCCCATAAATCTGGGTGTGCACAGAGGCACTCCATCATCAGCTGGCAGTTACAGTCATGCTATTGGACTTGAGCATATCCTGAAGGCACAGCAAGTGGCATGAGCAGTGGGGCAGAGGCCCACAGCCCCTTCTGCTCCATTGCCTCCTTCCTCTTATCCTGCACTGAGAATCTCATCCAGAGATCCCTAAGACATGCTGTCTGAGAAACAAAACCTTTGGGCCTCATTCAGGGGTGCTCCTCTAAAAAATTCCAGCACTACCTGCAAATGAATGGCTGTAGCACTATAGCCCAACTAGGGATGGCTGAAAGAACAGTCATGAAGCAGCATCTTCACAGAGGGCAGAACCGTAAAGAGAGCACGTGTTGTTCACTTTGCCTGTAAGAGGATTAACCAGAGATAGGAACACATGCTCATGATTTGGCGGGGTAGCTGGGGATTTGTCAGTAACATGATTGGAAAATTGGTAGCAATGTAATCTAGAGAAGATGCAGGTGATAGATCTCCTGAATGGGCACCACGTGTGAAGGTATGCGGCCCTTGTGAAAGCTCTTAGAAGAGCAAGCTCAGCAGAGAAGGAATGGAACAATCATATGGATAAAATGACCTGTCCTATGAAAAATATGAGTCAATGTCATTTCCCACCACAGCTGTCCTTGCTTACTGGGCTAGGGCAACATGGATGGAAGTCTTGCATGGGCTTAGCATAGACTTCTCACCATGGCTGATCTGACTGCAGCCACAGCTGAGAGCCCAATCTGCCAACAGTGGACACCAACATGGGATGCTTGTTACGGTGCCATTCCCTGGGAGAATCAGCCAATCATCACTTTAGTCATGGAAGGGGCAGCAATTTGATCTCACCAAAATAATCCCTTACTCTGGACATGATTTGCATTTCTTGCCCACAGCTCTGTCAGCACCACCAATGAACTTTGCCATATTCATGCCATGCAGCATTGTTTCTTACTGAGGAACTCATTTTACAGCAAATGAAGTATGGCAGTGAGCTCGTGCCCACGAAACTTGCTGGTCTCACCATGATCCTATAGTCCTGAAGCAGCTGGCCTGATATAACAATGGAGTGGCTTTTTGAATCTTCCATCATGGCACCAGCTGGAGGGCAACACCTTGTAGGGCTGGAGCAATGTCCTCCAAAGTAAAAGGTATCCCCTCCATACATGGTATTGTTTCTCCAGAGTCTGTAGGCAAAGGCTTAGAAACGAAGGAGTGGAAATAAAAGCAGATCCTCTCTCTGTTACAATCGATGACCCACTAAGAAAATTTTTGCAGTCTGTCACTGCAAATTTGGGCTCTGCTGCTGGTCTAGAAGGCTTAATCCCCATAGGAGGAATATTTCCACCAGAGGACAAAGTGTTGGTACCATTAAGATGCAAGTTAACACTGCCACACACACACTTTGGGCTCCTCATGTCAGTAAATCAAGAGGCCAAGGAGTGGGTAACTGTACTGGCTGGGGTGACTGATCCTGATTCTCAAGGGAAAGTTGGGTTATTATTACACAATGAAGGTAAGAACTGTTGTAATGGAATAAAGATTATAAAATATGAGGATTATAGTGGATCTCCTACAAGAGATCCCTTGGGTTGTGCATTTGCCCCCTAGTGCTGCTCTAGCAAATCACCATAAACTGAGTGGCTTGAAACAGCAGAAATGTATTCTCTCACAGTTCTGGAGGCTGGCAGTCCAAAAGCAAGGTTCTCTCCCCAAAATCTCTGGTGAAGGGTTCTCCCTTGCCTCTTCTGTCTTCTGGTAGCCCGAGGAATTCCTTGGCTGGAGGCAGCATCCCTCCAACCTCTGCCTCCATCACCACCTGGCTATCTTCTCTCTGTGTCCGCATCATCCATGGCGTTTGCCTCTGTGTGTGTGTCTGTGTCCAAATTTCCCTCTTCTTATAAGGCCACCAGTCATCTCGGATTAAAGCCCATCCTAATGACCTCATCTTAACTTGATGCTGTCGGCAAAGATACCATTTCCAAATAATGAATGTCACACTCACAAGTACCAGGGGTTAGAACATATCTTTTGGGAGGACACAATTCAACCAGTAATATAGTACCTCCTAGTACTCCCATGCCCTGTGATTACATTAGTAGAATTAATTATAATAGAATTTTAATTATAATGGAATAAGTTAATAGAAAACCACACTCAGGACTGCAGGCTTGGGTCACCCCATCAGGCAGGGAACTACAATGACCCAAAGTGATTGCCAAAAGCAAAAGAAATAAATATGGAATGAAAAGTGCAAGAAGGTACTTAATAATGGAGAGAACTGTAATAGATAGGAGTATCTTTTCATTTTGATAAGAACACATTTGTGTATATATTAAGTTATTTTCTCTCTTGCCTTCTTCTTATTTCCAACCATCTAATATAAGCTGTGTCAATAGTAGTTAACCTTATATCTCAGTGTTTGAGCCAGATAATGTCAATGGGAGAATGTATCGCAGCTCAAGATGGAATGACTGTCATCCACAGATGGGTAAAGGAACTTTGCATCTTTTAGGGAGAAGGTTAGGGTGTTTTCAGTTGTATGGACAGTTGCATTATTTTAGGTGAAAGTACAATTTTGATATTGTCTTTTTCAGACAATTAAGTATGTTAAAATAGTTGTATGTGGATAAGAAGGTTACAAGGGGTAGATAGTGGTAAATATGTATCAAGTCAACTTAGCTTAACTTAGCTTGACTGTGGAATCATGGTAAGACCAGTTCTAGCTAAACTAGAACTGTGGTTCCCAGAAGCCCTGGGTAGTACTATCAGCCACAAGACACATTTAGTGTGAGATCTGGACAGCAAAAGTGAAGCCAAAGCCACGTCCTTTTTATATTCAGAAAGTTGGTGCAGGGTACCAGGCCCTGCTGCTGCTTGCCTCGCGGCCCCCAGCTCTGTGAGCTCACCTTGTCAGCGTGGTGACTTCACCTCCAACCTCACCCATTTCCCCCTAAACTCATCTCCTAGGAGTTTGAGCTCCGTGCCAGCGGCTGCCAACTTCTCCCGCCCTTCACCACCTGTCTTCAAAGTTGAGGCGTGGAGAGGATGAGAGGTTGGTGCAGGTTCTCATCCATGCTCACAGCATCTGTGTTGCCTGTGTAGATGCCAGTCCTCTCTTCCCCCATTTAGGTACATCCTTGCCTCCCAACTGCCTGCCTGCTGACTTCATACTCCCACACCAGAGGAAGAAGCAGTAACCCCACACATAAACCATTTTTTTTTTTTTAGAGACAGGGCCTCACTCTGTCCCCCAGGCTGGGGTGCAGTGGCATGATCATGCCTCACTGTGGCCTTAAACTCCTGGGCTCAAGCAATCCTCCCATCCTGGCCTCCCGAGGAGCTGGGACTACAGGCATGAGCCACCACACCTGGCCATCTGTCATAAATCTTTTAACTAACTCCCAAAATTGTGTGAAGTCAAGTTCCTGTAACAAATTCTTTATTATGTATCCTACTGGTCCTGCTTCTCTGATTGAACCATGGCAAAGTCAATGCCACTGCAGACCCTTGATCTACCAGCCTTACCAGACACTGACAGGCTGCCTTAGCCAGCGGTCCTGCTAGAAGCTTTCCATGGGGTCAGACCTGCAAGACATCCTGCCAGCTGAGTGCCTGAAGATCCTGGATCATTGTGACTCACAGTGTGTGGTTTACGGGCCCATTGATTAATGTTTACCCTGTGGATATCTTCTTTTAAATGCCATCTATCCAAAAATGTGTTTATTAACCACCAATTAAATTGTGTTCTCATATTTTATGACTCACAGATAGTGAAAGCTGCACATCAGCCCAGGAAAGCCAACATTCCTCTCCTGCACTGATATAATTCCAGCCAAAGGAAAGAAACTTGACATGTGGTCAGCTCTTCAAAGGCCACAGCAAAGGGAAAGTGTCACATCTTTCAATTTGCCTCAGAAAAGCCTGTGGGAAGTGGGGAGGGGGTTGCAGTCTGCAGATGGGAGAGCCATGACAAACCGTTCCAGCAATGCTACCAATGGGATTGCAACCCAGTCTTCAGCAGAGCCAGGGATGCAAGGAAGAGGGGAAAGAATAGGTGGAGAGGTGGGGAGCACATGGACTCGCCTTCATGGGTACTAGGGGACGTCGTGTGGCATTCTGAGTCTGATCCTTCCTGAAACAACGCGAATGAAGAACTGCACACAACTCAACAGAGAAGAGAGCTGCCCTAGAAAGCTTTGGGTTAAGTGACATCAGGGATAGGTCCTGCCATCCTCTGTCCAGTTGGTGTCATCAGCAAAGTTTGGGCAACGTTACAGAAAACCTACAGAAGACAGTCACCCCAGCCTCAGCTGGTCAGGACTCTATAGTGGGAAGTGAACAAAAAAGAGTTTATCCCATGGCTCACCTCCTGGGAATAATGACAAAGATGATGATAACAATGGGGGCATCGGCATGAAGCAAGAGACTTCCATGCCTGATTTTACTCTGTTGTTAATTAAGTTTGTAATTCTGAGTCTACAGTGTCACCATTCTTGGCTTAGTTTGCATCTTGTAAAAGAAGAACGCTGAGGCATAGGGTGTCCTTGGCAAAGATGCGGATGTCCACTGAGGTCTGCGTGCCCCTTCCCCTCTGTGGACTAGCTGCTGCCCAGCCAGAGACTACACTTCCCAGACCCCCCTGTGATTTGTTCTCAGCAATGGAATGATGAGCAGGAGTAATTGGAGCACTTCCAGACCAAAAGGGACAAAAAACAGATGCATCTTTTCCAAACTCTCTTCTATATCCTGGCAGGATGTTGGAATCCACAGCAACCTTGGAAACCACATGCCCAGAGCCCCCATCCTTCAGCCTGTGTCCCCAAACACCCATACAGAGTGAGCGCAGACCAGGACTTGATATGAATGAGAAATAGCCCCTCATTATGTTCAACTAGTGACATTCTAAGGTCTCTCCATCAAAGCAGCCTTTAAGCTTCAAGTTTATGACTAACAATTTACAAATACTTTCTTGTTAATATTTTTAACTTAACTTGACCTAGAGAATGACAACCATGGGAAATAAGTCAGATATTTTTCTCATTTTACAAATAAAAACCTGAAGCTAAAATGCTGAAATTGTTCCCCAAAGTCATTGACAAGCAGCAGAGCCAGGAGGCAGGAGCAGGGTCTTGGATTAGGTTTGAGTGCAAGAAATAGGGTGGTGCCGGCATTCATACCACAGGGCTCTGGGTGTCATCGTGGGCCTACCTGGGACTGCCTCCGTGATTTTAAGGAATTGTTTAATTTCCCTCAGGACCGTTTCTTGGATAATAAACAGGGAACAATAGGCCATGTCAATCATGTAAAGTTGTTGTAAAGATAAGGGAAGGCCGGGCATGATGGTGCATGCCTATAATCCCAACACTTTGGGAGACCAAGGCGAGAGGATCACTAGAGCCCAGGAGTAGAAGGTTGCAGTGAGCTATGACTGTACCACTGCACTCCAGCCTGGGTGACAGAGCGAGGCTCACACTTACTGAACATCTACCACAGACCAAGCACTGTTCCACCATCTTGAATCTATTGACTCATTGACTCATCCAACCACCCTACAAGTTATATCAAGTTATATCCTCCCTATTTTCAAGATGATGAAATTAGGAAAAGTTAAGTAATTTCTCCAACAATGCATATCCTTAGCCTGGATTCTCCAGAGAGCCAAGAGGGAGGAAGGGAGGGTGGGATCCGCCCCAAGCTGGTTATCACTAAATGCATCTTCTTGACCTGGTCAGACTGTCCGCCTAGAAGCTTCTTAAGGTGTGACTAATGACTGTGAGTCTGGGGCAGGAGGATGCCTGGGTATGAGCGCTGAGTAGGGTCCCCAGGAAGCCCCAGGGCAGAAGATAAGAGGAGCCCAAGTGAGCCTGAGGCGGGGCACGGCCAGGCTGACTGCTGGAGTCAGTGGGAGTCTGTGCAGAGCTGGTCGCCACCTCTGAGGCTGGCACAAGAGACAGGCGAACTCGAAAAAGCATGCAGTCGGGCAAAGTCGGGTATGTTACAAGCCTACGATGTCATGGGGCTAGTCTTTCTCTCCTTGTGTGAAAGACGTGGTTCCCATTCCTGACCAACCACAGGGAGGCATGCATTGTGAGCTAGTTAGCTCCTGGTGGGAACAGGCTTACACAAATCCACACATATGTTCTGTTCCAGTCTACGGCCAATGCCTGTCTTGGAGGAAGAAACGACCCAAGTACAGGGAAGCTGCAGCTTTCTGCTCAGGACTGCCAGCATGTGGAGCTTCCAGGTCTAGGGTGGATGAGACACATCCCCAGGGAACTCCCTCTGGCTAGATGATTGAAGATGTTAACGATGCATATAGTTGCACCCAGCCATGCTCACCAGGGGAGAAAAATGCTGCTGCCCCCACCAAGCAAGGGTCTTTCAAGGAGCTCCTAGTCAGGCTTGTGTTTTCAAATCTGACACACACAAACACACACACACACACACACACACACACACACAAAGGCCAGGCACAATGGCTTCTGCCTGTAATCCCAGCACTTTGGGGAGGCTGAGGTAGGTGGATCACTTGAGGTCAGGAGTTCAAGACCAACCTGGCCAACATGGTGAAACCGCATCTCTACTGAAAATACAAAAATTAGCCAGGCATGGTGGCAGGCGCCCATAATCCCAGCTACTTAGGAGGCTGAGGCAGGAGAATTACTTGAACCTGGGAGGCAGAGGTTGAACTGAGCCAAGATTGCCCTACTGCACTCCAGCCTGGGGGACAGGGCAAGACTCCTTCTCAAAAAAAAAAAAAGAAAAGAAAAAGTTTAGTTCTTTGATTATACAAGTAAATACTTCTCCATTAAAAGTAATTTATACTGTTGTAGAAAAATTGGAGGTATAAATACACTTAGAAGTTTGAAGAGCTCATCTTCCCTGGTCTATGTCCTCTGCTCCTGGAGACCCAGCCTCTGTGGCCCTGTGACCTGCAGGTATTGGGAGATCCCCAGCTAGACGTCATGTCCCCTGAGATGCCTAGAAATGGTCTCTTCCCAGGGTGAGAGAGGAATGAAAACTTAAAGGAAAGAAACTCTGGGCTTCCAAGATGGCCAAATAGGAACAGCTCCAGTCTGCAGCTCCCAGCGTGATCGATGCAGAAGATGGGTGATTTCTGCATTTCCAACTGACGTACCTGGTTCATCTCACTGGGACTGTTTGGACAGTGGGTGCAGCCCACGGAGGGCAAGCTGAAGCAGGGCGGGGAATCACCTCACCTGGGAAGCACAAGGGGTCAGGGGATTTCCCTTTCATAGCCGATGGAAGCCATGACAGACTACCTGGAAAAACGGGGCACTCCTGCCCAAATACTGTGCTTTTCCCAAGGTCTTAGCAATGGGCAGACAAGGCAATTCTCTCCCGTGCCTGGCTCGGCAGGTCCCATGCTCATGGAGCCTTGCTCACTGCTAGCGTAGCAGTCTGAGATCCATCTCCTATGCCTGGCTGGGGGAGGGGCATCTGTCATTGCTGAGGCTTGAGTAGGTAAACAAAGTGGCTCTGAAGCTCAAACTAGGCAGAGCCCACTGCAGCTCAACAAGGCCCACTGCCTCTAGACTTCACCTCTGTGGGCAGGGCATAGCTGAACAAAAGGCAGCAGACAACTTCTTCAGACTTAAACGTCCCTGTCTGACAGCTCTGAAGAGAGCAGTGGTTCCCCCAGCACAGCGCTTGAGCTCTGAGAACAGACAGACTGCCTCCTCAAGTGGGTCCCTGACCTCCGTGTAGCCTAACTGGGAGACACCTCCCAGTAGGGGCCAACAGACACCTCATATAGGGGGCTGCCCCTTAGGGACGAAGCTTCCAGAGGAAGGATCAGGCAGCAATATTTACTGTTCTGCAATATTTGCTGTTCTGCAGCCTCCACTTGTGATACCCAGGAAAACAGTGTCTGGAGTGGACCTCCAGCAAATTCCAACAGATCTGCAGCTGAGGGACCTGATAGTTAGAAGGAAAACTAACAAACAGAAAGGAATAGCATCAACATCAACAAAAAGGTCATCTACACAAAAACCCCATCTGTAGGTCACCAATCTCAAAGACCAAAGGTAGATAAAACCACAAAGATGGGGAGAAACCAGAGCAGAAAAGCTGAAAATTCTAAAAATCAGAGTGCCTCTTCTCCAAAGGATTGCAGCTCCTTGCCAGCAACGGAACAAAGCTGGACAGAGAATGACTTTGACGAGTTGACAGAAGTAGGCTTCAGAAGGTCGGTAATAACAAACTTCTCCGAGCTAAAGGAGGATGTTCGAACCCATTGCAAGGAAGCTAAAAACCTTGAAAAAAGATTAGATGAATGGCTAACTAGAATAAACAGTGTAGAGAAGTCCTTAAATGACCTGATGGAGCTGAAAACCATCACAAGCTTCAATAGCCAATTCAATCAAGTGGAAGAAACGGTACCAGTGATTGAAGATCAAATTAATGAAATAAAGTGAGAAGACAAGGTTAGAGATAAAAGAGTAAAAAGAAATGAACAAAGCCTCCAAGAAATACGGGACTATGTGAAAAGACCAAATCTGTTTGATTGGTGTACCTGAAAGTGATGGGGAGAATGGAACCAAGTTGGAAAACACTCTTCAGGATATTATCCAGGAGAACTTCTCCAACCTAGAAAGGCAGGCTAATATTCAAATTCAAGAAATACAGAGAACATCACAAAGATACTCCTCGAGAAGAGCAACCCTAAGACACATAATTGTCAGATTCACCAAGGTTGAAATGAAGGAAAAAGTCTTAAAGGCAGCCGGAGAGAAAGGTCGAGTTACCCACAAAGGGAAGCCCATCAGACTAACAGCAGATCTCTCGGCAGAAACCTGACAAGTCAGAAGAGAGTGGGGGCCAATATTCAATATTCTTAAAGAAAAGAATTTTCAACCCAGAATTTCATATCCAGCCAAACTAAGCTTCATAAGTGAAGGAGAAATAAAATCATTTACAGACAAAAAAATGCTGAGAGATTTTGTAACCACCAGGCCTGCCTTACAAGAGCTCCTGAAGGAAGCACTAAACATGAAAGGAAACAACCAGTACCAGCCACTGCAAAAACATAACAAATTGTAAAGACCATCGATGCTAGGAAGAAACTGCATCAATTAACGGGCAAAATAACCAGTGAACATCATAATGACAGGATCAAATTCACACATAACAATATTAACCTTAAATGTAAATGGGCTAAATGCCCCAATTAAAAGACACAGATTGGCAAATTGGATAAAGAGTCAAGACCCATCAGTGCACTGTATTCAGGAGACCCATCTCAGGAGCAAAGATGCACATAGGCTCAAAATAAAGGGATGGAGGAAGATCTACCAAGCAAATGGAAAACAAAAAAAAAAGCAGGGGTTGCAATCCTAGTCTCTGATAAAACAGACTTTAAACCAACAAAGATCAACAGAGACAAAGAAGGCCATTACATAATGTTAAAGGGATCAATTCAACAAGAAGAGCTAACTATCATAAATATATATGCACCCAATACAGGAGTATCCAGATTCATAAAGCAAGTCCTTAAAGACCTACAAAGAGACTTAGGCTCCCACACAATAATAATGGGAGACTTTAACACCCCACTGTCAGTATTAGACAGATCAATGAGACAGAAGGCTAAAAAGGATATCCAGGACTTGAACTCAGCTCTGCAACAAGCAGACCTAATAGACATCTACAGAACTCTCCACCCCAAATCAACAGAATATACATTCTTCTCAGCACCACATTGCACTTATTCTAAAATTGACAACATAATTGGAAGTAAAGCACTCCTCAGCAAATGTAAAAGAACAGAAATCACAACAAACTGTCTCTCAGATCACAGTGCAATCAAACTAGAACTCAGGATTAAGAAACTCGCTCAAAACCACACAACTACATGGAAACTGAACAACTTGCTCCTGAGTGACTACTGGTTAAATAATGAAATGAAGGCAGAAACAAAGATGTTCTTTGAGACCAATGAGAACAAAGACACAATGTACCAGAATCTCTGGGGCACATTTAAAGCAGTGTGTAGAGGGAAATTTATAGCACTAAGTCCCACAAGAGAAAGCAGGATAGATCTAAAATTGACACCCTAACATCACAGTTAAAAGAACTAGAGAAGCAAGAGCAAACACATTCAAAAGCTAGCAGAAGGCAAGAAATAACTAAGATCAGAGCAGAACTGAAAGAGATAGAGACACACAAAAAAAAACCCTTCAAAAAACCAATGAATCCAGGAGATGGTTTTTTGAAAAGATCAACAAAATTGATAGACCACTAGCAAAACTAATAAAGAAGAAAAGAGAGAAGAATCAAATACACTCAATAAAAAATGATCCCACAGAAATACAAACTACCATCAGAGAATACTATAAACACCTCTATGTAAATAAACTAGAAAATCTAGAAGAAATGGATAAATTCCTGGACACATACACCCTCCCAAGACTAAACCAGGAAGAAGCTGAATCTCTGAATAGACCAATAGCAGGTTCTGAAATTGAGGCAATAATTAATAGTCTACCAACCAAAAACAGTCCAGGACCAGGTGGATTCACAGCAGAATTCTACCAGAGGTACAGAGGGGAGCTGGCACCATTCCTTCTGAAACTATTCCAATCAGTAGAAAAAGAGGGAATCCTCCCTAACTCATTTTATGAGGCCAACATCATCCTGATACCAAAGCCTGGCAGAGACACAACAAAAAAAGAGAATTTTAGACCAATATTCCTGATGAACATTGCTGAGAAAATCCTCAGTAAAATACTGGCAAACTGAATTCAGCAGCACATAAAAGAGCTTATCCACCACGATCAAGTCAGCTTCATCCCTGGGATGCAAGGCTGGTTCAACATATGCAAATCAATAAACATAATCCATCACATAAACAGAACCAATGACAAAAACCACATGATTATCTCAATAGATACAGAAAAGGCCTTTGACAAAATTCAACAGCCCTACATGCTAAAAACTCTCAATAAACTAGGTATTGATGGAACGTATCTCAAAATAATAAGAGCTATTTATGACAAACCCACAGCGAATATTATAATGAAAGGGCAAAAACTGGAAGCCTTCCATTTGAAAACAGGCACAAGACAAGGATGCCCTCTCTCACCACTCCTATTCAACATAGTGTTGGAAGTTCTGGCCAGGGCAATCAGGCAAGAGAAAGAAATAAAGGGTATTCAATTAGGAAATGAGGAAGTCAAATTGTCTCTGTTTGCAGATGACAGGATTGTATATTTACAAAACTCCATCATCTCAGCCCAAAATCTCCTTAAGCTGATAAGCAACTTCAGCAAAGTCTCAGGATACAAAATCAATGTGCAAAAATCACAAGCATTCCTATACACCAATAACAGACAAACAGAGAGCCAAATCATGAGTGAACTCACATTCACAATAGCTGCAAAGAGAATAAAATACCTAGGAATCCAACTTACAAGGGATGTGAAGGACCTCTTCAAGGAGAGCTACAAACCACTGCTCAATGAAATAAAACAGGACACAAACAAAGGGAAGAACATTCCATGCTCATGGATAGGAAGAATCAATATGAAAATGGCCATACTGCCCAAAATAATTTATAGATTCAATGCCATCCCCATCAAGCTACCAATGACTTTCTTCACAGAACTGGAAAAAACTACTTTAAAGTTCATATGGAACCAAAAAAGAGCCCGTATTGCCAAGACAATTCTAAGAAAAAAGAAAAAAGCTGGAGGCATCATGCTACCTGACTTCAAACTATACTACAAGGCTACAGTAACCAAAACAGCATGGTACTGGTACCAAAACAGATATATAGACCAATGGAACAGAACAGAGCCCTCAGAAATAACACCACACATTTACAACCATCCGATCTTTGACAAACCTGACAAAAACAAGAAATGGGGAAAGGATTCCCTATTTAATCAATGGTGCTGGGAAAACTGGCTAGCCATATGTAGAAAGCTGAAACTGGATCCCTTCCTTACACCTTATTCAAAAATTAATTCAAGATAGATTAAAGACTTAAATGTTAGACCTAAAACCATAAAAACCCTAGAAGAAAACCTAGGCAATACCATTCTGGACATAGGCATGGGCAAGGACTTCATGTCTAAAACACCAAAAGCAATGGCTACAAAGCCAAAATTGACAAATGGGATCTAATTAAACTAAAGAGCTTCTGCACAGCAAAAGAAACTACCATCAGAGTGAACAGGCAACCCACAGAATGGGAAAAAAATTTTGCAATCTACCCATCTGACAAAGGGCTAATATCCAGAATCTACAAAGAACTCAAACAAATTTACAAGAAAAAAACAAACAACCCCATCAAAAAGTGGGCAAAGCATATGAACAGACACTTCTCAAAAGAAGACATCTATGCAGCCAACAGACAAATGACAAAATGCTCATCATTAATGGTCATCAGAGAAATGCAAATCAAAACCACAATGAGATACCATCTCACACCAGTTGGAATGGCAATCACTAAAAAGTCAGGAAACAACAGATGCTGGAGAGGATGTGGAGAAATGGGAACACTTTTACACTGTTGGTGGGAGTGTAAACTAGTTCAATCATTGTGGAAGACAGTGTAGCAATTCCTCAAGGATCTAGAACTAGAATTACTATTTGCCCCTCCAATCCCATTACCGCATATATACCCAAAGGATTATAAATCATGCTACTATAAAGACAGATGCACACATATGTCTATTGCGGCACTATTCATAATAGCAAAGACTTGGAACCAACCCAAATGTCCATCAGTGATAGAATGGATTAAGAAAATGTGGCACATATACACCACAGAATACTATGCAGCCATAAAAAAGGATGAGTTCCTGTCCTTTGCAGGGACATGGATGAAGCTGGAAACCATCATTCTCAGCAAACTATCACAAGGACAGAAAACCAAACACCGCATGTTCTCACTCATAGGTGGGAATTGAACAATGAGATCACTTGGACACAGGGCAGAGAACATCACACACCAGGGCCTGTCGGGGGGTGGGGGGCTGGGGGAGGGATAACATTAGGAGAAATACCTAATGGAAATGATGAGTTGATGGGTGCAGCAAACCAACATGGCACATGTATATCTATGTATCAAACCTGCACGTTGTGCACATGTACCCTAGAACTTGAAGTATAAAAAAAGAAATTAGAAAAAAAAGATAATATGACAGGCTAGGAAGAAAGGCAGGTGGAAAATTATTGTCTAATGAGCACAAAGCTTTTGTTTAGAATCATGAAAAGTTTCTGGAAACAGATAATGGCATGGTTATACAACACTGTGAATGTATTTACTGCCACCGAATTGTACAATTAAAATGGTTAAAATAGTTTTTAAAAAAAAGTTTGAAGAAGAGAACTATTATCACCTAAAATCTCTCTTCTCCCCAAGATAACCACACTAACATTTTGGTGTATTCCTTTCCAGGCCTTTCTTTGTAGACATATAAATATAAACTGCATTTTTAAATAAAATGGAGTTGATGATACAAGTGTTTTATTACTCTGCTTTGTTCTCTTAACATTTTATGATAAATATTTTATTGCCATTAAGAATGCTTCCAAAACACATTATTTATAGCTGAACAATATTTTTTGGATATTCGGGCTGTTTATAATTTTTCACTCTGATATATGGTGCTGGGATGAAGAGCCTTAAACAGAAGTCTTTGATCACATTTCTGATTACTTCCTTTAGAAGACACTTAAAAGTAGAATTACTGGGACAAATGATATAAATATTTTAATGAAAATTTTTATTGCCAAATAGTTTCCAGAAATTGACCAATTTACAGTTCTATCTGCATCTGTCAGTGCAGACACATTGCAAAAACAAGTCAGTATTTTAAATGCTTTTCAGAGTAGCAGGAGGAAATGGTATTTCATTTTTTTTGACTCCTATTTCTTTGATTAATGGTTCTATTGACCAATTCTTAATTTGTTGACCGTTTGGATTTCTTCTTTTAAGAACTGCTTGTTCATTTTCTTTGATAATTTTTAAGTTGGTATGTTAGTATTTTTTATTGACTGGATATAATTAGGAGCTGCTTATTTGTCATGCTCATTGCAAATATTTTTGCCTGTTTTCATTTTACTTTTTACAATTTTTTACAATTTTTTATTTTTAAAGGCCAGTCAAATTTAGCAGTGGGTGTCATTTTGCTTTTAACTTGTATTATACAGGGATTTTGTAAATATAGCTGGTTTGGGGACTTTTCTTTGTTTTACATGGTTAAATCTAACAAGAGTTACCTTTGTGATTCCTCCCATGATCTCATGCTTATAAAGTTCTCTCCATCCCAAGATCAGTTACACATGCTCTTATTTTCTTCTAGATAATTAAGAAAAGATATGAAATCACAACACATTAGTATTGGAAGAGTTGGCGAAGTCCTTCATTTCACAGATGAAGAAACTTAGGCTTAAGGGGTAAAGTAACTCAAAAACCAGATCACGCAGCCATTAAGTGGAAAAGCCAAGATTTTCCTTTCGATTGAGGTATAATTAGCACACAATAAGATGCACACCGTCTCAAGTCATCAGTTCGATGGGTTTTGATAATTGCTGACGCTCTTGTAATCACCACCCAAATCAAGATACAGAATATTTCCACCACCATCAGCAACCACTATCTGAGATCTTTCACTATAGGGTATTTTGTCTAGATTTGGATTTTATAAAAACGGAATCATAAAGTACTTTTTAGTGAATGTCTTCATTCACTTAGCATAATATGTTTGAGATTCAACCATGCTGTTGTGTCTATCAGCAGCTAATTCGTTTTTTATTCCTGCGTAGGATTTGTATGAATCTACTATACTATGAATGTACTATATATACAAATATAATATAATATGTTTATCCATCCCCCTGTTTAGGAACACTTGGTTGTTTCCAATTTGGGGCTATTATGAAAAAGGCTTATATGAATAAGTATTTTTTGGACATGTTATTTCATTTCACTCGGGAGTGAAATTGCTGGGGCACTGAATGGATGCATGTTTAACTTTATAACAAAGTAGGGCTAAGGTTTACTATCTGACCCTAGAGACCATGCCCTAAGCCACTGGACACACTGTCCCTCACAGACCCAAGCACTGAGAGATCAAGTTTAAATCCCAGCTATTCTCTGTCCTTGCTGTGAACACTTTGGCAAGTTCCTTAACCTCTCAGTGCCTGGTTTCCTCATCGGCACCACCGTCCCACTCCACCTCCCAGGGGTTGTTGTGAAAACTAAAAGAGTTAATACAAATAAAGCCCTCAGAATGAGATCTTGCAAGTGGTTGGTTTATTATTATGAAGAATGTCTCTACATTTAGTTTGTCAGATACTGGACTGAGAGAATGGTTCTCTTGAAAGTAACCAGGAAAGGCCTCCCTGTGATGGAGGGGCCACCCTTTAAGACTGCTTGCAGCAGAATGCTATCCCTTCCCACAAAGTCAGCTGGGCCTGCCATAACTGTCCCAGTGCTCCAGTGTGCTGCCTCAAGTGCCCCTGCTGCCTCTGCAGTGCTCATTCTCCAGGTCTTGTTCTTGTCCTTGTGGGGTTCAGCATACACAGCTCTCTTGATCAGAAGGTGGCCCCAGCCAGTCCCTGAGGACTCACTGCTTTTAAATACTCCTTAACACCTGAGCAGGATCCCACACGCTGCTCTACCTCTCCTCCTTAGGGGCTAACCAAATTGCACAAGACTCCATTGGCTGTGGTTAATCCCTGATGTCCCAGCTTGCAGTCCGTCTGCAGGCAGGTCTTCGGAGGGAACGCATTTGCACCCTGGTGTAGTACTGCTAGGACTGGATGGCAGAGCACCTTTCCAAACCTGAGTGCAGTTGTCCCTCAGAATCCATGGGGGATTGGTTCAAGAACCCCAAGATTACCCAAATCCATGGATGCTCAAGCCTCAAGTTTTGGATATCAAATGGCCTGCAACCTAGGCACATCCTCCTGTAAACTGTAAAAATACCTAATACAAAGCCTACACATCATTTAGTGTGCATGAAATCCACATACTTCTCAGCATGCAACAAAAATTCAAGTTTTGCCTTTTGCAACTGTGAAATGTTCTTTCCCAAATATTTCAGTCCTCGGTTGGTGGAATCCATGGATGCAAAAGCCATGAATATGGAGGGTTGACAGTACTTCCTAATTCCTTCTAGAATATCACCTACTTCTGCCCTTCCTCCATGCCAATCTTTCCCACTGGATGAGAAGCTCCATAAGGGCAGAGTCTAAGAAAACTTCATGCATGGGGCCCAGGCACATCATTAGTCAGGCCTTCAGTAAGCATTGTCGATGGATAAGGCAAAAATACATTTATGTATAAGCATTCAATGCCTATCTTCTCCTCTCACCCTCAGAGGAGATTTCTGCCTTCTCTCATAGTTCAGTTTCTGGGCTTTTATTGAAAAGATCAGAAAAGGGTTGAAAAGAAGAACAGAGCTCAGAGATGCTTTTTAGATTTCTTTGGAAAATAGAAGCAAACTATTAATCCACCAACAGGAGTACTTATCATTTATAATTATGGCTATGCATATAATAGAGTATATAGTGAAAATGCAAAATCTAACACACACTTATCCATGGACTCTATCCGTGCACTTATCAACATGCATAAATCATGCAAAGTTCAGTTCTTAAAATCTGGAGAGTGATTCATGCATACATATATGTGATACCATTTAAATAAAATTTGAAAAATGCAAAATGTTGCTATTATTACTATGATACCTAGTTATGAATACATACTATGTAGAAATAGTACAAAAACGTATATAAAATAGCGTGAGAGTGATAAACACCAAATTCAGGAGGAAGGTTATCTAAGTTGGGACCAAATTATGTAGATAAATTATTTGTGAAGAATAACTGAAAGTTTTGGAGCCACAACTGACTTGATCAGAGTTGCAGTTTAGGAAGGTAAATCTTACAAGAGAAATGGAGGAAAAGTTGATTCATTCAATATTTATCAAGAGTCCATTATCAGCCAGTTGCAGTGACTCACACCTGTAATCCCAATGCTTTGGGAGGCTAAGGCAGGAGGATCAATTGAGCCAGGAGATTGAGACCAGCCTGGACAAATGGTGAGACTCCATCTCTATAAAAACATTAAAAAATTAGCCAGGCATGCTAGCATGTACCTGTGGTCCTAGCCACTCAGGAAGCTGAAAGAGGATTGCTTGAGCCGAAGAGTTCAAGGCTGCAGTGAACGATGATCACGCCACTGCATACTGCACTCCAGCCTGGGCGACAGAGTGAGACACCATCTCAAAAAAAAAAGAAAGAAACAGAAAAATCCATGATGTGTCAAACACTTGTTACAGGCACTTGTGAATGGATAGAAACCCCTGCCCTCGGTTGCATTCTTTCTGCTTTCTAGCCCTAAGGCAATAAAGCCTGTTTCACAGCTGCATCTAGTGAGGGCCTAGAACCTCAGGATTGGAAATGAGGAGGATAGACTACCCAGGTAGAAGGCACAGCCTGCTCAAATATGCAAGGCACTGCATCAGGTATGAAAATGAGGTTTGGCATCTCGGTGGCCTGAAAAAATGGGTGTCCCTGGGTGAAACCAGGAACATGGAAGTGAGACAGAATGAGCACTTGTTATGTGCCCAGCCCTGCAGCAGGGCCCAAGCACTGCGGAGGTGGATGTCATGTTCCCTGCCCCGAAGCAGCTCAAATTATTTCTGACAACCATTCATTCAGCAGTTCATTCAGCAAATACTTTCTGAATAAGTGTGCGGAAATCTGTACTGGGTAACTGTCATCCTAGCAACCTAGCAAGAATGTGATCTATGGCCCCACAGCAGAATGTGGCTGTGGTTTGGGGGGGTCTGGTGCAAAGGTGAGAGGTACCCTGACTCCAGGCAGGAAGGAGAGTGAGAGAGTTACGATGTGCACTTGTCTCTCACCCAGTTCAAGAACCTGCTCCTCTCCTCCTTAAACACTGTTCATTCCCAGGTCCTGGTCCCTCACTGGCTCAGCCTCCAGACCCGCAGACCACAGCCATAACTCTCCAAACTCAAAACATCCACTCAGGGGAGATAAATCTCCGCTTATGGAAGGACTTTCTCTGGGAAGGAGGGTCAGAAAGGCCGCCTGAGGCAGCTGACCGCTCCTGTGGGCTGAATGTCAGTCTGGCGAAGCAGAAAACATCTGTCAGTGAGTCAGAGACCTGGGTTTCAGTCTCAGCTCTGCACTAAAAGCTGGGGGACCTTGTGCAACCGCTTCCCCTCTCTGGGCCTCCGCTTCTTCATTGGTATGAAGGCACACTTAGATCTCTTGGGGCCACTCCTGCTATAACGATTGTGTTTCGTTTTTGAGGGCTGCTGTAACAAAGTACCATGAGCCGGGTTGCTTAGAGCAAGAAATACGTTTTGTGTAATCGCTCTGGAAGTGAATAGCCTAAGAGAAAGATGACAGCAAAGCTAATTCCTTCTCAGGATTGTGCGGGAGAATCTGTTTCTTGTTTCTGTCCTGGCTTCTCCTGGTTTGCTGGCATACTTTGGTGTTTCCTGGCTTAGGGACACATCACCCGGATTTCTGTCTTGATGTCCACATCATGTTCTCCCTGTATGTATGTGTGTTGTATGTGCGTGGAAGGCGGGGGTGGTGTCTCTAACTTTTTTGGGTTTTTTTGAGACAGTCTTGCTCTGTCACCCAGGCTGGAGTGCATGCAGTAGCTTGATCTCGGCTCACTGCAACCTCCACCTCCCAGGTCCAAGCGATTCTCCCATCTCAGCCTCCTGAGTAGCTGGGACCACAGGTGTGCACCACCATGCCCAGCTAATTTTTGTGGTTTTTTTACTAGAGATGGGGTTTCAACATGTTGCCCAGGCCAGTCCCCAACTACTGGCCTTAAGTGATTCACTTGCCTTAACCTCCGAAATTGCTGGGATTACAGGAGTGAGCCACCACACCCAGCCCGGCGTTCTTCTTATAGGATATCAGCCATATTGGATCGGGGCCCACCCTACCTACTCCAGTATGACCTAATCCTAACTCATTATACCTACACCTATTTCCAAATAAGGTCATATTCTGAGGTACTGTGGGTTAGGAGATCAACACACATATTTTGTAGGGGGGCACAATTTAACCCATAATGACCATCCTGACCTTTTAATTCCTCCTCCCAGGAATCTGTAGGGTGACTGTAACATTTATCATTCAAACAGGGGATTTTGAGAATGAAAAGGGGAACTACTAACAATTGTGGCAAATGACAGGTGTCACTGGGGACTGGCCCAGGTGAGCAGGTATGCTGGTCCCCTCAGGGGCCTGGGGGATCTACCGGGGCCAAACACGAGGGTGGTTGCAGGGCCCAGGGCTGCTTCCACCACCCACGGGGTCATGGTGTGACCCAGAGGAAAACTACATCATCTCTCAAAATGAGAACGGACGGAGTGAGGGGAGAGACAGTGCCTGGGGAAGCGCCAAGGGACACGAAGAGGCTGGTGCTGGCATGTGGCACCTGGAGTTTAGTTGGAGAAAAGTCACCATTTTCAAGCAGTAGTGCTTCCTGATGTGTGAGTATGGCCGCAAGCCCGGGTGGGACATGCACAGTGTATGTGGGACTATAGGATGCATGGAGAAGCCCTGCATCTATCTACACAGAGCGTTTAATCCATCCTGGGGGACACTGATTCACGTGAATGATTAGAGGGCATCCTTATGCTCAGTGGAGAGGAACTGGGCTCCTTAGTGCAATCAAAGTTCGGAAAAGAAGGTATTCAGCTGGGCGCGGTGGCTCATGCCTGTAATCTCAGCACTTGGGGAGGCCAAGGTGGGTGGATCACGCGGTCAGGAGTTCAAGACCAGCCTGGCCAACATGGTGAAACCCCATCTCTACTAAAAATATAAAAATTAGCTGGGTGTGGTTGCATGCCCCTGTAATCTCATCTACTCAGGAGGCTAAGGCAGGAGAATTACTTGAACCTGGGAGGCAGAGGTGGCAGTGAGCCGAGATCACACCACTGCACTCTAGCCTGGGCAGCAGAGCGAGACTCTGTCCTCACAAAAACAAAGAAAAAAAAAAGAAAAAGAAGCATTTGAGTGCTGTAAAGTAATTGGGAGATTTGTGCTCACAAAGGTCACTTGAGAGCAGAGGAACGAAAGTCCAGTCGTGTAAGGGACAGTGACCAGAGTAGCCTGAGTAAATACGGCCTTGAAAGATGAACTGAGAAACTCTCCTCCCATCTCTATTTCCTATATTCTCATGGGATCAGCATAATTTCTTCCTTAAACATCTGGTAATACTCTTTAGTGAAGCCACCTGGGCCTGCAGTACTCTTTGTGGGAAGGTTTTAGATTATTAATTCAATCTCTTTCATTGATGCGAGTCAATTCCATATTTTCACTTCTTCCTGAGTCAGTTTTGATAAATGGGTCATTTTAGTGGACTTGTTCTTTTCATCTAGGGTATCAAATTTATTGGCATATAATTTTTTCAAAATAGTATTTTATTAATGCCTTTAGGATCCTTATGATGTCCTAGATACAGTAAAGATATGGCACAGCCATGTACCACATAAAGTTTCAGTCAACAATGGACTGCATATGCAATGATAATCCCATAAGAGTAAAATGGAGCTGAAGAATTCTGATCACCTAGTGAAGTTGTAGCCATCATAACATTGTAATGCAATTACTTTATTTTTTAATAAATTTAGTGTAGCCTAGGTTTACAGTATTTATAAAATCTATGGAAGTGTACAGTAATGTCCTCAGCCTTCTGAATAGTCCATTCTCACACTGCTGTAAAGAAATACCTGAGACTTCATAATTTATAAATAAAAGAGGTTGAATTGGCTCACAGTTCCACAGCCTGCAGAGGAAGCATAGCAGCTTTTGCTTCTGGGGAGACCTCAGGAAACTTACAATCATGGCAGAAGGGGAAACACCCACCTCACATGGCAGAGGCAGGAGGAAAACAGAGGTGGGGGCAGGTGCCACACACTTTTAAACAACCAGACCTCTTAAGAATACTATGATGAGAACAGCACCGGCGGATGGTGCTAAACCATTAGAAACCTCCCCCATGTTCCAATCACCTCCCACCAGGCCCCACTTCCAGTACTGGGAATTGGACATAAGATTTGTGTGGAGACACAAATCCAAACCATGTCACCTTCACATTCACTCACCACTTACTCGCTGATTCACCAGAGCAACTTTCCGTCTCACAAACTCCGTTCACAGTAAGTGTCCTGTACAGGTCTACCACTTTTGATCTTTTGCACTGTAGTTTTACTTTATCCTTTCTATGTATAGACATACAAAAACTACTGTGTTATAATAGGATCTACCATATAGCCTAAGTGTGTAGTAGGCTGTACCATCTAGGTTTGCGTACGTGCACTCCATGATGTTTGCACACTGATAAAATCACCTAATGACACATTTCTCAGAATGTAACCTGTTGTTCAGTGAAGCATGACCACTGTCATACATGTGATCTGTCACTGACTGAAATGTTATTTGGTCTGTGATGATATTGTAAATCTCACAAAGTATTATTATAAAAGAGTCAACAATCTTTTAAAGAAATTCAAAAATGAAGGAAAGTATCTCTTATATTTAATCAAATATTTTCTGTTTCTGGCACTTTTCATTCCTTTGTGTATCTAATGTCTCTCTATCTGGTATCACCTTAATTCTGTGTTAAGAACATCTTTTAGCATTTCTAGTAAGGTAGGCCTCTTGGATAAAAATTCTCTCAGCTTTTGTTTGTCTAAAAAGTCTTCACATCACTTTTCTTAGTTTTGGAAGACACTTTTGCTTGGAATAGAATTTTTGGTCAACAAGCTTCTTTTCTTCCCTCCCTGCTCTTCAAAGACATCACTTCATTGTGTCTGACTTGCATAGTTTCCAACAAGAAAACAGCCTCAAATTTTATATTTGCTCCCCAATACATAATGTGTCTCTTTTTTTTTGCTGGCTGGGTTGCTTTTTTAAATTTTCATTAGTTCACGTTTGCAGCAATTTGGTTATGATGTGCCCTCGGGTGCTTTTCTTTGTATTTTCCTACTTGAAATTCTCAGAGCTTTTTGAATTGGTGTCTTTCCAGTTTTTATAAATTTGAGCAGTCTTTAGCCATCATTTCTTCAAATATTTATTCTGCCCCCTTTTCTGGGACTCGAATTACTTGTATATTGACCAACTGATATTGTCCAATGTGTCACAAAACTCTGTTCATTTTTTCCTAGCAATTCACCATTTTTTTTTTTTTTGAGACGAAGTCTTGCTCTGTTGCCCAGGCTGGAGTGCAGTAGTGCAGTCTCAGCTCACTGCAACCTCCACCTCCCAGGTTCAAGCGATTCTCCTGCTTCAGCCTCCCTAGTAGCTAGTATTACAGGCACCTGCCACCATGCCTAGCTAATTTTTGTATATTTAGTAGAGAAGGGGTTTCACCATGCTGGCCAGGCTGGTCTCGAACTCCTGACCTCAGGTGATCTGCCCACCTCAGCCTCCAAAAGTGCTGGGATTACAAACATGAGCCACCACACCTGGTAAATTTTTTATCTTAATTGAGCATTTCTATGATTCTATCTTCTTTCCTTTCTTGGCGTATCAGTTATACTTCTCCTACCTTTTTTCAGTCATTGACCTAGAATTTGCAATATACATTTAGAACTAACCCAAGCCCACTTTCAAATAACAATATACAGCCTCATGGGTAGTGTGAGTACATTATAATAACAAAATAACCGAAAATCCTCTTTTTATTCCTTGTGTCATTGCTGTCATTCATTTCATTTATATGTAAGCATATGTAAGTGTGAATATATAAGTATATTTGTCACAAGCATATATTTATATATGTATTCAGTTATAAATCTTATGTATATATCTTATGTACATAATTGAAGGTGCAGTTGCTATTATTATTTTGAACAAACTGTTATGTGTTAGATCAACTAAGAATAAGAAAAATAGGCCAGGTATGGTGGCTCACATCTGTAATCCTAATACTTTGGGAGGCTGAGGCAGGAGAATTGCTTGAGCCCAGGAGTTTGAGACCAGCCTGGTCAACATAATGAGAACCCACCTCTATATTTAGAATAATAATAATCTAAAAAAGAAAAAAATTAATGATAAGAAGAATAAACATTTTTATATTGATGTTCTTCCTTTCTTTATGCAGATCTAAATTTCTGACCTGTACTATTTTCCCTCTCTCTAAAGAACTTCTTTTAACATTTCTTACAAGGCAGATCTACTGGCAAAGAAATTCCCTCAGTTTTTGTTTGATTGAGAATGTCTTTTTTTTTTTCTTCACTTTTGAAGGATAATTTCACAGGGTACAGCATTCTAGGCTGGCGGGGGGTTTTCTCCCAAACCTTTAACTATTTCACTACATTCCCATCTTGCTTGCATGGTTTCTGAGGAGAAGTTGGATGCAATTCTTAGCTTTGCATCTCTCTAGCTTAGCTGGTTTTTCCTTCTGTCTTCTTTCAGGATATTTTTCTTTATCTTTGGTTTTCCGTAATTTGAAAATGACATGTCTAGGTGTAGTTGTTTTGGCATTTATCCTGCTTGATATTCTCTGAGCTTCCTGGATCTGTGGTTTGGTGTTTGACATTAATTTTGGAAAATTATTGGTCATTATTATTTCAAACATTTCTTCTGTTTCCTTTCTCTTTTTATTCTCCTTCTGGTATTCCGTTACATGTATGTTACACCTTTTGTAAGTGTCTCACAGTTCTGTTTCTTTTTTCAGTCTCTGTTCTCTTTGCTTTTCAGTTTTAGAGGTTTCTATTGATCTACCCACAAGCTCAGAGATTCTTTCCTCAGCCATGTCCAGTCCACTAAGAATTCTATCAAAGGACTTGTCCATTCTTCCTTTCTCTCACAGTATTATTGATCTCTAGCATTTCCTTTTGGTTTTCCCCTTAGGATTTCCATCTCTCTGCTTATATTACCTATCTGTTCTGGCATGCTGTCTACTCTATCCATTATGGCCCTTAGCATATTAATAGGAGTTGTTTTAAATCTCCTGTCCTAATTCTAATATCCCTGCCATGTCTGGTTCTAATGCTTGCTCTGTCTCTTCAAACTGTGTCTTTTGTTCTTTAGTATGCCTTGTAATTTTTTCTTCACAGCTAGACATGATGTAGTGGGTTAAAGGAAATGCAGTAAATAGACCCTTAGTAATGTGGTGGTAAAGTGTATGGGGGGAATAAGCATTCCATATTTCTATGATGAGGTTTCTGTCTCTTAGTGACTCTGTGCCTCTGGACTGTGAACTTCTCAATTTTTCTCCACCTTAGGTTGGGCAGGATGGCTAGAGTAGCTGAACTTGGGTTATTTCCCCTCTCCTACATAGAAGGATAGAGCTGGCTGGATTTGGGCATTTCCTCCTTCCCTCCCAGGTCATTAGGCTCTGATAAAATTCCAGCAGGTTAGACTCTAGTTAACTAATTTCTCCCGACAGCAGACCTTGTTAAGACAGAGTGTTCTGGCATATTTCAAAATGGCTCCTTTCTCTCTCCCATCCTGCTGAAAGCATGAGGAGATTTTTCTCCAGTATTTACTGTGAGAACCTGGTTGATATCCTGAAGACAAAACTCACATAAGTGTTGGGGGCCTCCTAAGACTGGGTCTCCCTAGAGCTTTTAAGTCTCAGATTTGTCCACGCCTAGACTCCATCAGCTTGTCAGTTACAGTTCCGGTTCTCCCAGGCAGCAGTGGTTCCTGCAGAGGTTGCTGCTCTAATGTACTATGATTCTCTGTATTTGCTTGTCTGTCTGTTTAATTTAGGGGGCAGTAGTTTGCCCTATGACATCATTTCTCTTATGCATCTAAGAAGAGTGGTTGATTTTTCAGTTTGTTCAGCTCTTATTGTTAGGACACAGTGGCAACTTCTAAGTTCCTTATATGGAGGACAGAAAGCCAGGAGTTGCATTTTTCATTTCAGATATTATATTTTTCCACTCTAGAATTTCTGTTTGGTTTTTTTATATCTTCCATTTCTCTCTCCATTATCTTCATATTTTCCACTAGATTTTTGAGCATATTTATAATGGATGTTTTTTAAATAAATTTTTATTTTAGAATAATTTTAGATTTGTAGGAAAGTTGCAAAGGCAGTATAAAGTTACTGTACACCCTTCCTTAGATTCCCTTAATGTTAATATCTTGCATAACTCTGGTACATCTGTTAAAAGTATGTGTTGTGGCTGAGCACAGTGGCTCACGCCTGTAATCCCAGCACTTTGGGAGGCCGAGGCGGGCAGATCACTTGAGGTCAGGAGTTCGAGATCAGCCTGGCCAACATTGTGAAACCCCATCTCTATTAAAAATACAAAAATTAGCTGGACGTGGTGGCACACATCTGTAGTCCCAGCTACTTGGGAGGCTGAGGCGGGAGAATCGCTTGAACCCAGGAGGTAGAGGTTGCAGTGACTCACCACTGCACTCTAGCCTGGGCGATAGAGTGAGACCCTGTCTAGAAAAAAAAAGAAAAAGAAAAAAAAGTATGTGTTGTGAGTTAAACTGAACTCCCCAAAAAAGGTATTGAAGTCCTAACCCCTGGTACCTGTGAATGTGACCTTACTTGCAAATAGGGTTTTTGCAGATGTAGTTAGGTTAAGATGAGGTCATACTAGAGTACAGTGGACCCTAACTCCAGTATGACAGGAATCCTTATAAGAAGAGACACACAAGGAGAAGGCCGTGTTATGAAGGAGGTGGAGACTGGAGTGATGCATCTACAAGCCAAGGAATCCCAGGGTTTGCCAGTGACCACCAGAAGGCAGAGAGAGGCGGGAATGGTTTCTCCCTAAAGCCCTTCAGAAAAAGCACCTCCCTGCCAACATCTTCCTATCAGACTCAAGGCTCCAGAACTGTGAGAAATGAAATTCTATTATTTTAAGGCACCCTGTTTGTGATACTTTGTTACACGGTCCTAGAAAACTAATACAAGGAAAATACTAACATTGGTACATTACTATACACCAAACTCCAAACTTTGTTCAGCTTTCACCACTTTTCCCCCTAATGTCCTTTTTCTGTTCTGGAATCCAATCCAGGAGACAGTGTTGCATTTAGACACTGCATTTCTCCTGTCTCCTCTGGACTGGGACACTTTCCAAACTTTGTTTTCCATGATCTTAAAAGTACTGGTCAGCATTTTGTACGTGTTTCCCAGTTAGAGTTTCTTTGATATTTTTCCTCATATTAGGCTAGAGATATATGGGGTTGTTCTTTTTTTTTTTTTTTTTAAATACCAGACAGGTGAAGTGCCCTCTCATAACATCATATAGGGGATAAATGATATTAGCCAGATATATCAGCAGGGATATAAACCTTGATCAATTGGTGAAGATCGTATCTGTCAGATCTCTGGCTGTGAAGTTACCATTTTTCCCCTTCCATCCTCTATTCTTTGCAAGTGAGTCACTAAGTCCAGTCACACTCAAGCAGATGGAAATAGGGAAAATTAAATTACTTTTCTGCTAATTCCACATGTCTGTCATTTCTGGGCTTATTTCTTTTGAGTAATTTTTTCTCTCCTGGCTATGGGTTACATTTTCCTGCTTCTTTGCAAATCTAGTAATTTTGTGAATGTTACATTCTTGAGTGTTAGATTTTGTTGCATTTCTTTCAAGAGTGTTGCACTTTATTCTGGCTTTCAGGTGAGTTATTCAGACATCAGTTGAATAGTTTGGGCTTTAAAAAAAAAGAAAACCTTTTTATCAGGCAGGAGATCTAGAGAAGTGTTATTCTAGATTAGTTAAGTACCACTGCCAAGATGTGTACTTTCTGCGGCTGTTCAAGTATTAAACTAGGTTTCTCCAAGCTACCTAGTGGAATTGAATGTGTCCCAGTCCTGTGTAAGCTCTGGAGATCTCTTGGCCAGCAGCCTCTCGGCAATTGTTCTTTCCCCAGTGGTTGTTCTTTGCCCAATCCCAAGGATGCCATCCTGCTCAGCCCCAGACTCAAGAGAACCCCTCTGCACATTTCTGGAGTCATTTTCTGAGTAGTTTATTCATCTCTATTCTCTGCCTTAAAAGTCCCAGCTCCCTCAGCCTCCGGAACTCCAATCTCTGCCTCAACAGGACCACTGGGTTCTGTTGGGGTTCACTCTTCCTGCACCCTGGTTCAGAAATCCCCCGCAAGCAGGGAGCCAGGGAAATTGTAGGGCTTTCTTGCTTCATTTTCCTTCTCCCAGCAATCACAGTCTCAGTCTACCCACTACCCAGTGTCTGACAATTGTCATTGCACATGTCTTTCTTATCCAGTTTTTCAGCTGTGCGTGACAGGGAGACAACTGCCGATGCTCTTACCACTCAAGGCAGGAGTGCTTCTAAGTTTTCTTTCTCTCTTTCTTTCTTTCTTTCTCCTTCCTTCCTTCCTTCTCCTTCCTTCCTTCTCCTTCCTTCCTTTCTCTTTTTTCTTTTCTCTTTCTTTCTTTCTTTCTTTCTTTCTTTCTTTCTTTCTTTCTTTCTTTCTTTCTTCTTTCGACAGAGTTTCGCTCTTGTTGCCCAGGCTGGAGTGTGCAATGGTGCAATCTTGGCTCACTGCAACCTCTGCCTCCTGGGTTCAAGCAATTCCCCTACCTCAGCCTCCCGAGTAGCTGAAGTTTCCATAGTTCTTCTCGGCCCTCTATTCCCTGAAAGGAGTAACTGCTTGCTATAGTCCCTGCCTTGTAATACCTTAGCAGTCGGTTGAGCCTTTTCAGTTCTCCAATACAACCAGAGAGCTGTGTTGCTAACAGGGATTTACACTGCGCTCTCTCCATGGGAGTAATATGTGTTTCCATCTCCCATCAGGACCGCCCACCTTCCTTCAGAGTAAAAGCGAGAGATGGAGCGGAGGGCTGGTGGCATGGTGACAGGTGATACGGATGGTCACCTTTTTCTGCCTAAAGAAAAGGGGGCCTATAACTAGAGGGGAGGCCCAGGAAGAGTTCCCAGGGGAGCCCACACGGTGTTCCCTGGAGTCAAGAGGCCCCAGGTCAGGTGTCCGACCTTTACAGGAGAGCCAGATGGCCAGAGCATGGGTTGCTATGTGGAAGGGCCAGCAATGAGAGGGTTGTCCTGGAGTGCCTCTCGGGGACTGGCAGGGCCACGGAGCCAGGTGCTTCCTCTGGCTAGGCCATGCTAGCCAGGCACGGTGGCTCATGCCTGCAATCCCAGCACTTTGGGAGGCCAAGTCAGGAGGATCAGTTGAGGCCAGGAGTTTGAGACCAGCCTGGACCATATAGCAAGACTCCGTCTCTACAAAATATAAAAATAAATTAGCTGGGCCTAACGGTGCCCACCTCTGGTCCCAGCTACTCAGGAGGCTGAGGCAGAAGGATCACTTGAACCAAGGAGATCAAGGCTGCAGTGAACAATTATCTCACCACTGCACTCTAGCCTGGGTGACAGAGTGAGACCATGTCTCAAAAATAAAATAAAATAAAATAAAATGAAAAATAAAGGCCATGTTCACAAGCGCACCCTCCAGGACCAGATAGCCCCAGCAGACAGGTGCAAGCTGGGCCTCCAGGAGCAGGAACTGAGGGAACTGTGTCACATGGAAGATGGGAGGTCCCCAAGGGGAAGGGAGAGGGTGTCCAATAATTCCTAAAAGTCCCCAGAGAGAAAGCCTCACCTTGGGCACCAACCGGCCCAGTTAGAAGGTACCTACTCAGTTCCTATCGCCAGCCAGGGATGACTGCTTCACCCCTTTATGGCTCCCCACCTCCCTCTCACCCACCTCCCAACAAGCAGGAGAGCCAGCAGGGGCCGTTGAACTAAGTCTGATCTGAAGCTGCCTCTTTGACTATTTTAAGTTTGGCCTAAAGTTCTTTCCATGCATAGTGAGCTGTAAGCTACCTGGAGACTGAACAGACTGCAGCCTACTCTTGTGCCAATCACCGAGTTTCTGGCAATCGAAAGCGGCCAACTGTTCAAACTCTGTTCACATAAGGCAAGTGCCCAGCTGCAATCACCCTGCTGCTTCTGCACCTCACTTCTGTGTTCTGTTCCTCACTTTCCCTTTTTTGTCCATAAACCTTCTTCCACCATGTGGCTATGTTGGAGCTTCTCGGAGCCTATTCTGCTCCCGGCTCTGCCCAATGTACAAATCATTCTTTGTTCAATTAAGCCTGTTAAATTTAATGTTTTTTTAAAAAAATTTAATGTTGTTTAAGGTTTTTCTTTTATCACAGAGGAGGAAGACACACAGAGAGGGAAAAGATACACCCCTTCCTCTACTGCAGGTTTAGGAGGCTGTGGGGCAGGGAGAGTGGAAAGTTTAACTTCAATAAGAACGTTAAGGCCGGGCGCGGTGGCTCACACCTGGAATCCCAGCACTTTGGGAGGCTGAGGCACGTAGATCACTTTAGGCCAGGAGTTCAAGACCAGCCATGACCAACATGGTGAAACTCTGTCTCTACTAAAAATACAAAAATAAACCAGGCATGGTGGTGCATGCCTGTGGTCCCAGCTGCTCAGGAGGCTGAGGCAGGAGAATCACTTGAACCCAGGAGGAGAAGGTTGCAGTGAGCCGAGATGGTGCCTCTGTACTCCAGCCTGGGCAACAGAGTGAGACTCTGTCTCAAACAAAAACTAGAATAAAATAAGATAAAAACCTTTAAAAACTCCTTTAGATTAGTCTGGACTATTTGGTACAGGAAGATGAGACAGTGTCTTAGTACCTGCAAAGGACCAGAAAGCAATGGAATCTAAATGACGCCCCCAGGACAGGGATCCAATGGAGCAGGCGGGAAAGGCAGTCAGGTGGAAAATAGAAAATGATTTCATTATTTCAGCCCCAGCCTAGCTCCTTCAGTAAACCAGTTACAAATATTAGATGCATGAAAATCTTCATAGGAAAAGAGATGGGAGCCCAGAGTCCCAGACAAAGAGCAGGCAGCTGCTCTATCTTCCCTCGGTGCCCTGCCACCCCACGGCTTCCCCTGCAGGCCACGCTGAGTCCCCCAACCCTGCGGCTTCCCCTGCAGGCCACCCTGGGTACCCCCCTACCCCACCCCATGGCTTCTCCTGCAGGCTGTTCTGTCTTTCCTGAGTCCCCCACCCCACGGCCTCGCCTGTAGGCTGGTGGCAGTCCTCAGCTCCAGACCTTCCCCACGACCCAAGGTTACTCTCAGGGTGGAGCCAGAAACACCGGCCCTAGCTCCCACACACACCTGAAGACCTGTGTCCCTGCCTAACCATGTGGGACCCCAGCACAGGTATGTAGATGTGACAGGCCACCTGCACTCCAGCTGGAGAGAGGAAATAGATCAGGCATCAGTCAGCAGCCCTCAGCAAACCATATGAGGCTAGAGCACGCGTCACCCTAGGAAAACGGAGCCTCTTCCGGGAAGAATATCTTCTCAAACCAGCCATGGTTTGAGAAAGGCTGTCAGGAAAGACCAGTTGTTGTTTTTTCTGTCCAATCTGTCACAGATCTATATTTTGTAAAATGCAGTACAAATGAGTTATTAGGAAAAATTGAATAAAAACAAAGCACTCAAAATACAAGCTGAAAATTTGTATTATTAGATTGGACGGACATAAAATTACTCCATCAAATTACAATTTCTGTACTTATTTCTTCATGGGCCAGCCACAGCCAGTCCACGGACCATGCTGTGAGCAGCCCCAGCCCGGCCAGGAACTGTTCATGGCAGCCAGCCCTGGCCACTGCACTGCCCAGGAAGCTGGTCATTAAAACTTGCAGGCCATTTGGCAGACCTAGGCCATACCTTTCGTGTCTCCCTGCTGGCCTCTCCAGCCTCCTTAAAGCCACTTCTGATTAGGTCAGTTCCCCTGGCATCAGCCTTCAGCAGATCCCCCAGCGTGGATCCACGTCCTCCTTCTCTGACTGCTGTGCCCTCTTCCTGACCTCGCGTATCCAGTCCTGACCGCTCTCAGGCTCCACTTCACTGCCCCACCTTGTGAGTCCTCCCAATACCATCACTCTGAGGATTTTCAGGGGAGTTCGTCCACACTTCTCTTATTTCTCATTTCACTTCCTACTCAGCACTGGGGTTCTTATACCGACCTCTTACCTTCCCTGCGAGATCGTAAAATCCTTGGGGGCAGGATTCATTTCTGACTTATCTTTGCATCCTTCATAAGAGCTGGTACAGTGGCTACCCCCAAACCACTGACTTTTATTAATGATTGAAAACATTAAGGCCAGTCGCAGTGGCTCACGCCTGTAATCTCAATACTTTGGGAGGCCAAGGCGGGAGGATCACTTGAGGTCAGGCATTTGAGACCAGCCTGGCCAACACAGTGAAACCCCATCTCTACCAAAAAATACAACAATTAGCCGGATGTGGTGGTGTGTGCCTGTACTTCCAGCTACTCGGGAGGCTGAGGCAGGAGAATCACTTGAACCCAGGAGGCAGAGGCTGCAGTGAGCTGAGATCACACCACTGCACTCCAGCCTGGGTGACAGAGTGAGACCCTGTCTCAAATTAAAAAAAAAAAAAATAGAACTCTCTCCCTGAGTCTGGATGGAGTCATTTGGGCAGAGATAAGCAGCTGTTTGTCTGTTCTTCCTACCTTGAGTGCCAGTAAGTCCCAGGCCCTGAAGGCCCCCAGTCTGGGAAGTTCCCTCAGCACTGGGGAAAAAGGTCGGTCGCTAAGTGGACAGTTTGATGCGCTCTGTGCCTCTCTGAGCCCTTCAGAAAACGAGGACACCAGCTGTCCCCTGTCTCAATTGAGCAGGACGTCTCCTTTCATTTCTCCTGGGCCTCTTACTCCCTAGCAGGGTGTCAGAGCCCGCTGCCAGTTGTCCCAAGATGGGGAAGCGGCCCCGACAGATGGAAGATAGCTCAGTGCTGTGTGAAGGGAAACGGCTTTTGTTTCAGCCCCCGGTGTGTGTGGCAGGCACGAGGCTTGATGACAGGGTGATGAGCTGTGGAAGGAATGCACCACAGGGCTGGAACACAATCGTGCTTTGTTTTTGTTCTTGCATCTGAGAATGCCCCTGGACTGATGGCAGCGACGAGGCCCAATGTGCCACATTTCATCCTACAGGCGCCAATCCACATCCCCCCACCGCAGAGAGGTGGCTCTTCCTGCAATCCGGCCGCGATGCGCCTGCTGTAAATCAGCGTGGCTCCCCCCAAGTCAAAGGCCGTCTGAACAAGGTGACAGAGAAATGCAAGGAGGATGGACAGCCTCGTCTGGCTCTGCCTTGGAGGGGGAGGCTGCCTGGCCTCCCACAGCCGGGACAGGTTCCCTATGTGCAGCGCTGCCTGCGAGAGGGTCCCCAGGATGAACTCCTGCTGTGTCACTCCTCAGAACCCGAGTCCTGTGCCAAGGACGGTAACTTTAGCTATGAAGGGGAGTCAAGAAAGAGAGAAAAATGAGGAGAAAGCAAGAAAAACAGAAAGATTGAGGACAGGGGGATAGAAGGAGGCAGAAGGGGAGAAATGAAGGAAGAGGATTTTAAAAAATAAAAAAAAAAAGAATGGACGCAGCAAACCACCATCGCACACGTATACCTATGTAACAAACCTGCACGTTCTGCACATGTATCCCAGAACTTAAAGTAAAATTAAAAAAACAAAAACAAAAAAGAGAGTGTGTGCAGGGTACCTCCCCTTTACAAAACCGTCAGAAAAAAGAAAGGGAATGGACAAGAAAGAAAAGACGGGAAAAAAAGGGAAAAAGTAAGGACATTTTTAAAGGGGGGAGAAGAGATGGCAAATAAGAAATGATGTTGGCAGTAATGGCTTTTGAGAGCCTTACTGATTGATAGAAAATATTTCTTAGATAGGTTTCCCCTCCAGGAGAGGACTCTTGGTTCAAGCTCCCTCCTCTCATGCTGGCCAGGAGCAGGGCTGCAGAGGAAGCTCTGAGTTTCTCAGAGAAGCCTAGCACTCCCTTCTCTTCCTTCTAGGCAGCCAAAGTCCTGGGAGGCACAAGAAAGTGAGTTACAAGTTCCACTCTGTCCCACAGGGAGGCTGCAAAGTGGTGTCATCTCTCAGAGGAAGTCGGCTGAGCTGGCTGGAAAGTGTGTAAGTGTGTGTGTATGTGTGTGTGTGTGTATGCGCGCGCGCTTGCAGCTTCTCTGCCAGAGTTGGGAAATCAGAGGTCTGATCACTTTTGACTCTGGTGTAGCTGTTTTCCTCTTGTAATCCTCAGTGTGGTGAGCAGAAGGCAGTGGAAAACACACTCCGTGAAGTTTTTTTCCATTAGAAGGTCACTAAACTGTGTAACTCAGAAATAAGGTTCTGCTGCACACATAGCTTTCAACTTACATATTCCTGGACTTTGGACAACATCTTTTGTCCCAGAAATGAGAGAAGGAACAACACTTTTAAATTATTTTTAATTTTTAATTGTGGTAAAATACACATAACATAAAATTTACCATCTTAACCACTTCAAGTGTACGGTTCTGTGGCATTAAGTACATTCATGTTATTGTGCAACCATTACCACCGTCCCTCCACAGAATTCTTGCAAAACTGACACTCTCTACCCATTAAACAATAACTCCTCATTTCTCCTTACCCCAGCCCCTGGCAACCTTCAACCTATTTTCTATCTCTTTGACTTTGACTACTGAAGATACCTCACATAAGTGGAATTATGTAGTATTTGTCTTTTTGAGACTGGCTTATTTCACTTAACATCATGTCCTCAAGGTGCATCCACATTGTAGCATGTCAGAATTTCCTTCATTCTTAGAAAAAGCAAATGCTATTGTGTAGTACGTATACAGCACATTTCGTTTTTCCACTCGCCTACCTTTTGGCTATTATGATTAATCCTGCTATGAACATAGATGTACAAATATCTCTTTGAGTCCCTGATTTCAGTTATTTTAGGTATACACTCAGAAGTGGAATTGCTAGATCTTATGGTAAATCTATTTTGAAGCTTTTGAGAAACTGCTATACCGTTTTCCACAGTAGCTGCAGCATTTTACATTCCCACCAACATTGCACAAGGGTTCCAATCACTTTCTCCACATCCTTGCCAACACCTGTTATTTTCTGTTGTTTATTTAAGAGATTGGGTCTCGCTATGTTGCCCAGACTGGCCTCGAATTTCTGGGCTCAAGTGATCCTCCTCCCTCACCCTCCTTAATAGCTGGGATTATAGGCACATGACACCACATCCAGATAATTTCTGTTTTTGATAGTAGCCATTCGAATGGGCAGGAAGTAATATCCCATTGTGGTTTTGATTTGCATTTCTCTACTGATTAGTAATGTTGAACATCTTTTACTTGTTTATCTGCCATTTGTATACCTTCTTTAGAAAACTGTCTATTCAGGTCCTTTGTGAATTTTTTAATTAGGCCATTTGGTTTTTGTTGTTGTTGTAGAATTGTAGGAGTTCTTTAAATAGTCTGGTTATTAATCCCTTATGAAATGTATGATTTTCAAATATTTTCTCCCATGCTGTGGGTTGCCTTTTCACTCTGTTGATTGTGTCCTTTGATGCAAAGAAGCAGAATTTTAAGTCAACTGCAATACTATGGCACTTCTCGAGATGTCACTAAATGTGAGAGAGAGGCCAGGTGTGGTAGCTAATGCCTGTAATCCCAGCATTTTGGGAGGCCAAGGCAGGTGGATCACAAGGTCAAGAGATCAAGATCATCCTGGCCAACATGGTGAAACCCCGTCTCTACTAAAAATACAAAAATTAGCTGGATGTGGTGGTGTGTGCCTGTAGTCCCAGCTACTGGGGAGGCTGAGGCAGGAGAATCACTTGAACCCAGGAGACTGAGGTTGCAGTGAGCTGAGATCGTGCCACTGCACTCCAGCCTGACGACAGAGCGAGACTCAGTCTCAAACAAACAAACAAAAAAAGTGAGAAAGAACAAGATAAAACCCTACCCTGATGACTGCAAAGTGTGTGCACCCCCATCCACCAGTATTTCAGCCTAGCCTCACCAGAACTTGTTGACCAAGTTAGGACATAACCCACCTCTTCCATTACCTTCCCTATCAGAGTCTGTATGTGAGGTTCCCAGAAATCCTTTCTTTGCAGACCTATGCTAAATAGAAGGTTTTGTGTTTGGGCTTTTTTGTTGTTTCATTGTCTGGTTGGGTTTTGTTTTGATGTTGGTGGTGTTTTGGTTTGTATCTCTGCCTTCTGACTATGGTTTTTCAAGTCCTGCAGCAAGGAATCTTGCAGAATTAACTTCACATAAAGGATTCAAATGAACCACTTATTCGGAAGAAAACATCCCAGGTTTGCTGGCCAGTTCAGCTCTCCACACTTTGCACCAGGAGGGATCATTCTAAAAAGTGATCCCAAGGGGAGTGAGCCAGATGCAGACATTTAACTGTTCTGCAAGATAAGGACTTGAAAGCATCTTATAAGTGAGCACTCAGCATTCAAGGTCCTGGCTCTAAGTTTTATGAGCCCTAATTCTGATCCAGTGTCAGCTGCTGGATTCTCTGCCAAAGAAATACTGGAAAACCAGCTTTTCTTCAATTTCATTGGTATGTCAGCCACTGATGGACATCGTCTGTGAAGCCAGACCAACCTTTAAAACATCCAAATATATTGGAATGAGTGCATCATTTTCTTTTCGCAATGGAAAAGCAAAGCTAGTTTAATGGACGACGACGTCAACCCAATAGTGCCAATAGTGGGTGGGGGAGAGTTTCGCAGGCAGGGACAGGAAAGGTCCTGGAGTGCTGCCCAACTCTCCCCACTTTAGAGTCACTTGCCTTTCCCCAGGGAGCCCCACCAGGCCATGCTCTGCCACACTCTGAAGTCCAATTGGTTCAATTCATTCCTCTTCTTTCTTAACCACCCCTTACAAGTTTCTTGAATTTAAGGCATGTGCAAGGCACTGTACTGAGGGCAATGGCAGTGGGGAGGGAGACACAGAGCTCATATTATACACGGCAGCTGTCCTCATGGTGCTGACAGACAAGTGGAAGTGATGAAGGAACAATCAAGAAAAAGAGTGATCAATACAGGCCGGGCGGGGTGGTTCACACCTGTAATCCCAGCACTTTGGGAGGCCGAGGTAGGCAGATCACCTGAGGTCAGGAGTTCGAGACCAGCCTGGCCAACATGGTGAAACCCCATCTCTACTAAAAATACAAAAAAATTAGACAGGTGTGGTGGCTGGCACCTGCAGTACCAGCTACTACTCTCAGGAGGCTGAGGCAGGAGAATCACTTGAACCTGGGAGGCAGAGGTTGCATGAGCCGAGATCACGCGACTGCACTCCAGCCTGGGCAACAGAGTGAGACTCCATCCCCCAAAAAAAAAAAAAAAAAGGTAATCAATACAAAGCAGACTTGGTACCACAATTTAACATTCCACTCGACCCCAAGTATGTAGGGGCTTCCAGCAGAGGGGCCAGTGAGGAGGGGAAGTCCCAGTGACCTGGCATTGGAGGTACATTGTACACACAGACACCAACACAAACACAAGCACACATCTCAATGCCAGCACCCACACACGCTGACACTGATATGCACCCACACACATTCACAGATACCCATACATATACACACACACCCTAAAAAAGGGATGTGCTCTTCCCACATCAGTGCCGGGATACATTTTTTTTTAAACATTCCTCTCCTAAAAGAAATGATAAATAGGTTGGGCATGGTGGCTCATAACTGAAATTCCAGTGCTTTGGGAGGCCAAGGCAGGAAGATTGCTTGAGTTGGAGACCAGCCTGGGCAACCTAGCAAGATGCCATCTCTACAAAAAATACAAAAATTAGCCAGGCATGCTGATGCACTCCTGTAGCCCCAGCTGCTCAGGAGGCTGAGCTGGGAGGACTGCTTGAGCCCAGGAGTTTGAGCCTGCAGTGAGCTATGATCACGACACTGCACTCCAGCCTGGGGCAACAGAGCAAGACCCTGTCTCTAAAATAAGTAAATAAATAAATAAGAAATGATAAATGGACAAAAACCCAGGGCTTCCTAAAGCAGTTTGGAGGCCCAAGAAGACAGCCCGGCTGAATTTATAACATATCACCATCCTTTGCCCCATTCTAGATAGGTTTCATATGCACCTTATAAAAAGTACACCCCAACTTCCTGGAAGGGGTGGGGTTTTTAAAGGAGTAGATTAATGTTCATGGGTGGTAGTTGCTAGAGTTCCAGGTGAAGAAGAGAAGCACCAAGCTCTGAGTGTTTTTTGCAGAATTCCAAGTCCTCTCTGCAGATGTACATTTATTCCTGTAAGTGGATGCTGGGCTTTCGTTTTATGTACCCTGGCTCAATTTCAGCGCAGGTCAAGTTCAAATGCTTCATGCGGCATGGACAGTGATGAGCCTTGAGGAAGTCCAGGTGGTTCTGATTAGGTCTGGAAGCACATAACTCATCCAATAGAGAACCCAATCAATTGCAAAGGTCTGGGTCCCTGTTCCTGCCTGCTGGGTCCAAGTTTCATTCCTGTTGGAATGTAACTTCCCGATCAAAGACAAAATCTTTGATTCCTTCTTCCCACCTACCCTCCCAACAAAAAGTCACCGAAAAAAAAAAAGGCTGGCTTGGAATTGAGGCTCCAGAGGTTTATTTGGACACCACCCACCCTTTGTAAATCAACATTTTAACGAGTTAAGTGCACATGAATCAGAAACACAGGGTCACATTTCCTCTGAAATACTTGGGGGTGGGGATGCAAAATGCACTCCGAATTTGGCCCAGTCCAGAATCAGGAGGCAGGCCAGGCCCTTGTCAAGATTCTCTCATCCCAGTGTTCGGCCCAGCAGCCGGGACCATTTCCCCCAGCCGTCCTCAGCTGCGTCAGGACTGAGCGGAATGGTGCTCACATGCCCTGCCGGCCGCCACTAGGATAATCCATGCCAACCCCACAGAATGGGAGGCGAGCGATACTGAGAACAATGAAGGGGTCTGACATGGAAATTTCAGTAGGAAACAAGCAATTACATGAGAACAAACATTCCCAGTGCCACTTACAACAATTGGAACACAACAGTGATTATAAAAATGAAAGCAACAAATTGAGAGCCAGGGCAGCATGCACCTTAAAACAAATTGTCCTCCTGGTGCAGAGCTGCGACCCTCTCCCTGGGCAACTGTGTGACTGTGTGTGTGTGTGTGTGTGTGTGTCTGTGTGTCTGTGTGTGTGTAACACATGAATTTTATTTGACTTGTCTTAGAGGCTGGATCTCTTATCCCTGCGGTAGAAACCACTTCTCCTGAGCAAACTGGTTTCCATCCACCAGGCAGGGAGGAAACAGTGAGAAAACTGGAGAGGATTTTCTCTGGCCCTGCTATAGGTTCAGTCTCAGGACTGTGGGAAAATGTGCACGGCAGGGGAAAAGGCCTGTCTTCTCCAACTCAGGGCAGAGGCAGGTTTCTAATGAAGAGGGCCTAGGAAAGAAATATTTTGCAGGGAGCCAAACGTACCAGGACATACCAGCTTTCCTTGTTTTCTTCATCAAGATCCACAGAACAGTGAAGCTCATTCTAGGGTTCGAAAGGTAAATTATTTCCTTCCATCGGTTGAGTGAAAATCAGTCCTCTGGGTCTCATGCACATCTACTCAGTCTCCATTATGGGATGCCTTCCTTATCCAGCTCCAGCCTGTGTTTCTCATTCATAGCTGTCAATTCTGGCACTGCAGGGAGGAGGCATCTGAAAATAAGGCGGCAGCCTGGGGAAGTCTGGAGAGGATGCAGGGAGTTTCTGCGTGGCAGTGGTTGGCAAGTGGGGAGCAGAGCTAGCAAGGCTTCACGCTGATATACATTGCAATTTACAGGCTGGTACTTATTTTTTTCTCTAGGCAATTACTGGCTGCCTCCTGCTCCTCCTCTTCTGTAGGGGCCTTGGGGCCTCCCTCAAGCCTGGCCCAGCTCGGGGCCTGATTTGTGCGGCTAAGAGTCATTGAGCAACCTGCCAAGACTAGCAGCCAAGTTTGGATTCCTATGGCCACAGCTGCTGGCCTTGGGAGGGAGCACTGACCCCAGAGGAATCCAGCTAAATCTGTGGAACCCACCCTGGTTGTCCTTGGGCCACATTGTGAAATATGCACTTAGATTGTGGGTTGGGTTGTGGCATGTGATCTCTTTATTCCTTCAGATGATGGGCCTACTCATCTAGTTGATGGGGCAAGATTACCCAGATCTGCATAAGCCCCCCAGAGAACTATGCAGCAAAAATGGAAACTGAGGCCCCTAAACCACCCTTCCACCCTCAATCCATTCCCAAGTACAAACAATAACAGCAGATGCTAGTGTAAATCATTAAAAAGTGCAATAGATGGCTGAGCACGGTGGCTCATGCCTGTAATCCCAGCAGTTTGGGAGGTGGAGGCAGGAGGATTGCTTGAACCCAGGAGTTCAAGACCGGCCTGAGCAACATAGTGAGACTTGTCTCTACAAAAAAATTTAAAAATTAGCATGGCTTGGTGGCTTATGCCTGTAGTACCAGTTAATCAGAAGGCTGAGGTGGAAGGATTGTCTGAGCCTGGAAGGTTAAGGCTGCAGTAAGCCAAGATCACACCACTGAACTCCAGCATGGGCAGCAGAGCAAAACCCTGTCTCAAAATAAATAAATAAAACTAAAATAAAATAAAAAGTGCAGTAGAGATGGGGATCTTGTGCAAAGCATTTTAGCAGAATCTCCTGTTTTCTTTCTAATTCCCTTCCTTGGAAGGAAATTTATTGTGCAGTTCTGGGTTTTTTTTTTTTCCATTTCAATAGATTTAGGGGGTACAGATTGTTTTTGGTTACATGGATGAATTATATAGTGAAGTCTGGGCTTTTAGTGTAACCATCACCCAAACAGTGTACACTGTACCCAATAGGTAATTTCTCATTCCTCACCCCACTCCCACCCTCTGATCTTCTGAGTCTCCAGTGTCCATTATACCACTCTGGTGGACCTGTGTACCCACAGCATAGCTTCCACTTATAAGTGAGAATATGCCAGTATTTGGTTTTCCAGTCCTGAGTTACTTCACTTAGGATAGTGGCCTCTAGCTCCACGCAAGTTGCTGCAAAATACATTATTTCATTTTTTATGGCTGAGTAGTATTCCATGGTGTATGTATACCACATTTCCTATATTCACTCATTGGATGATGGGTACTTAGGTTGATTCCACATCTTTGCAACTGTGAATTGTGCTGTAATAAACATACAGGTGTAGGTGTTTTTTGATATAATGACTTTTTTCCTTTAGGTAGATACCCAGCAGTACGACTGATAGATCGAATGGTAGCTCTATTCTTAGTTATTTGAGAAATCTCCATATTGTTTTCCGTAGAGGTTATACTAACTTTCATTCCCATCAACAGTGTATAAGCATTCCCTTTTCACTGCATCCATGCCAACAAACTGTGGGTTCTGATTGCTTTATTTATATTTAAGCCCTGACACCCGGGGATCTCAGAGAAGCTGGATCCCTGGATCCTACCTGGCCAGCCAATGGGCAGGCTTCCTGAGGGTACACAGCTTTAGGACTGTGGACTCAGGCACTCCAGGGAAGCGGGAAATAAGAACTTCTCCTTAGTGCTTGCAACTGCCACATCAGAACTTAGCTGAAATCCGAGGGATCGGATCCCAAATCCTTCCTCACCAGCCCCCATCCACCAGTCCTTTTGCTCAGGTGATAGGAAGGTCATCCTAATGATAACCACGTGGTGGGTTTCAGCTGTGGAAAATTCCTGGCCCCTTTCTCCTTCTTCCCACCCCCTCCTTCTCCCCTTAAGCACACACACATGCAGCTTTCCCTTCCTTTATTTAAGCAAACAACTCTCCATGATTGGGTACAGCCCCTTCTTATCTAAATAGTCTGCAGATGCATGAAGATGCAGGCGCTTTCTGCTCCTATTCGGAGCTTGTTCTGGTGCCCATCTTCTCCAAACCTACAACAAGTGGCCTCCCTTAGACCTTGCTGACAGCAATCCCTACTGCCTGCTCCCCTAGTAAGTCAGCTCAGGGGACAGGCTGTCCTCAATGTATCAGGGGTGGGATTTTCCCTCCAAAGACTTCAATTTCCCCTCTCTTTCTTGGCTCCTCCCATAACCTGAGGTTGAAACTGCCCAGACATGAGCAAATGGAACAGGGAAAGTCCCAATTTTGTTGTCAGATTCCTATGTAACTTTAGTTGTCCAGGTACATACCACCAGTTGGTTAACACCATCAACCCCTGGTGGGTCTGGGGATGGGGGCTGAGGACTGGGAAGTTTGGTAAAGGGCACAGTCCATAATGTTAATAGATGGGAAAAATAGGAAGGAACCTGTGAGTTTCCATAATGAGCAGGGTCTGAGGGAAAAGAATTAACCCTAAGGTCTAGGACAAGAATGAAATCTAATGAGTGGGTTGAGAAGATCAGCCCCAGCTTTGGGTTTATAAGCATGACTCTCTGGTTTGATTTTCTTCCCATTCCAAAGCGTGGTCAATATTTTGAGTCCTTAGGAGATGGGCTGTGCTGATCATAGAGATGGTGATACTGTAACAGGGGGTGAGGACGCACCTGAAACCATCAGCCTGTTAGAGCTTCCCTACCCAAAGTACATTCTGCACACTGACAGCTTCACAGCTTCAGCCTCACCCGGGTACCCAAGGAAACGTGGTACACATACACTATGGAATACTACGCAGCCATAAAAAATAACAAAATCCTGTGCTTTGCAGTCACATCCAAATGCCACATGTTCTTACTAATAAGTGGGAGCTAAACAATGGGTCCACATGGACATCAAGATAGACAGAATCAATTCTGGGGACTCCAAAAGGAGGAAGGGGTGGGGGCAAGAATTGGGAAATTTCCTATTGGGTACTATGTTCACTATCTGAGTAATAGAGTCAATAGAAGCCCAAACCTCAGCATCATACAATATACCCTTGTAACAAAGCTGCACATGTGCCCCCAAATCCAAAATTTATATTTAAATTTTTAAAAGATTATTCAAATGTTAATATGGCCCACTAGTAGTTTGCAAAAAAAATTATATAATCTTTGGATTAAGAAAAATAACCTCTTTTGATATTAAAAGCATTACGAGTCATGTGTGCTTTAGGTACTTATGGATTATTTGACAAAGCTCCATTGGATAGGCCATGTATGTCTTTATACAAATAAAACTGGAAAAATATGAGGAAAAAAAAGAAAAGAAATGCAGAATTCAAGCCCACCTCAGACCTACCCTTCAGAATCGGCATTTTAACACTGGTCCTCAAGTGAGTCATATACATATTAAAATGTGAGAAACACTCCTTGGACAGCCAAATGTACTCAGTCTTAAGGAAAGAGGGCTCGTTCCCCCTTGCATTTAACTTGCCTCTATTAGCTGATGCCGGGTAAGATGAACTCACAGAGCTTCAGAAGGGACTGCGGCAATATGAAGTGTGGATGTGGGGAGAGGGAGATGACAAAATAACTTCCTGCCTCTCATCCCCGGGCCACGCAGGTCCTATGAGAATGTTTTGCAAAGTAAGATCCCGTGAACTGCTGGCATCAGAGAAACCTAGCACCTTGGTTCTAGAGCCCCTTTGCCAACCTTCCCAAACTTTCCCAATCAGAATGTCTGGGGGTGGGAGCCAAGACCCACATATTAGTAAGCTCCCCTTGGTGATACTCACATAGGCTGAAATTTAAGAACGATTCTCCCTCTGCCCTTCAATTGCTATTGGATGATTAGTACCATGTCCCACCCTCAGGAGCAAAAGTGAATTGCTAGCACTTCTGGACCCAAGGAGGGGAGACAGCCTTTGAAGTTAAGACCAGCCTACCTCTGTGTCCCTTGGTCTTTTATACCTCCTGCCTAGGGAAGTGCCGAAATTTTTCATTAAGGAGGTGCAGGTGCCATGCAGCTTGAGGACAAGCCTGTGGTTCCAAGTGCTGCCAGCATCTCTGAGGCACAAGCGTCAAGCAGTCCTGACCCTTGGGCACCCCAAACTCCACCACGGTGACTCCAGCAGCTGGAACTGAGATACCTTTGCACACACTTCATCATCCTTTTGCAGACTTAAAAAAAATGGAAATGGTGGGTCATGGTGGTGAGCTTCAGTAGGGGGTGGCAATGACATCTCCACCCAGCCTAAATAAATTTTCTTTCTTATTAACCACAGGGAGCTAAAAGGAAATATGGACATTTTCCTTGGCTGGACTAGTATCTCACTATTTTACCAGTCAGGTACATTAGCATGTGAGAATCTTTCTGGACTACAGCATGACTTTGATAGAATGTTTACAAGTCCTCATACCACACCTTAAAAAAAAAGTTGTGTCTCTGTGCTTGGGCGTGGATTTGGGTAACCTGGGAATATTTTATCACTTCTGGGTAAAACTGACAGTTGTCTGCGGTTTGGAGGTGACTTACTGATCAGGGAACTACATCCACTGAAGTTGTCACTGTAATTGCTTGCAGAATTAGAAGTCACATGGAAGAATTCCTGAGGCAAGAAGCACATAACCTAATATGAAACAGCTTGGGCTGGGTATGGTGCAGCACTCTGAGTCCAAAGGGAAGCTCGGCAGGGAGCGCAGACATCACGCCTACGCAAGTGGGATGCAGGAGCCCTGGGTTCTAATTCCAACCAGGCGAGTGACCTGGGAGTCCCAGACTAGTTGGGAAATCCCAGCTATATCCCCATCTTACGTTAAAAGAGTGGATATGTTCCTCTCCAAGGCCTCCTATGTGTCTAAGACTCCAGATAAGGACAAGTTTTCCAATTCTAGTTGGTAATTCTAACATTGAGTTGAGCCGGAGGGGAAAGAGAATGTTTCCATGAGAAACATGGAAAAGAAATTCAGGCAGGGCCGAAAGCTACATTCTTGTAGAGCAAGCATTTAACCTTCTCTCTGATCTGAAACACACACAACCAGGAGAAACACTTCTGGAAGTTATTTATAGGAGCAGATGGTAAATGGGAGGGTGGGGGCCACGGGTAGCCTGTGGTGCCTCCCAAGTTCTCCTTCAGCCCACCCACACCCAGTTACCATTTGCAAGCTGTTGAACTGGGACCAGAAAGCATCACTGAAGAAACTCAAGAGGAGAAAGATACATGTGGTTCACCGGAAAGGGTGAGAAGTGTATGACTGAGTGGGAAAAAAAAGTCACAGCTCACAGTATCATTGATTAATTGAGTGATTTTAGTCAAGTGAATATTGATACATGGCTGAAAAAGCATGAAAATAAAATGAACACGTACGGGAATTACTATTAACATAAGCGATAACATCAAAACATCTGGTAAAATGCAGTTAAAAAAACAACACAAATGAAATGGAATGTAAAACATTTTCACAGTATTCAAAGCTTTTGTAAGAGACTTAGGATCTAAAAGAGGAGTACTACAGGAAGAAACTAGAGGAAACGGGAATTTCATCCATGTCCTGTGTATCTGCTGGCAACAGGTCAGAACGGCCAGTATGTTATTCCCTGCAGGCTGCCTAGGGTGCTCTCCTCAAACAGATCACCTGAGCCTCCTGCATCTATGAAGTTATGACACAGCAACCAGTTACTCAGAGTCTGATGAGAAAAACAGATTTTAGGTTTGGGAAATGGGATTACTGTAATTTACACATCCAAATGCAAACTGGAGCTCTGATTGAATTCTACCCTGGGGAGAACTTGATGCTAACCCACAGGTACCAAGAGCCAAGTGTTACACAGGATATTTTAAAAATAAAATGTTTTTGGAATCCTCACCTCCCATGCTATCTTCTAAGATAACTACAAATATTCTTCAAAGATTTAACTGAGTTCTGCCAAGGACCTCCCAGGACTCTATCCAGAATGATTATTGTAAAGCTTTACAAATCCCACCTTGGCCCTAGCGATAATTAGGAAATCACAGGCAAACCTCCTCTCTCGGAGACCAATGACCAGGCCAATCAGTCTGCACATTGGTTTTGTTAGATACTTTGTGGAGAAAAACAAAGGCTCGTGATAGTGCAGCTCTGTGCCTACAGAGAGCCTCCCTTTTGGTTCTGAAATTGCTGATGTGACAGAGACAAAGCTGCTATGGGTCTAAAACCTTCAATAAAGTAACTAATGACACTCAAGGTCCTGGGACTCTGAGACAGACGGTGGTAAAACCCACAGCTGCGATTCACATTTCCAATTTATTTTGAGCTCTTTCTGAAGCTGTTGCTTCCTACCTGAGAATTCCCATTTAGAGAGCTGCACAGCACAGTCACCTGCTCTTCCGTATTCTGTGGTAACTACTAATGTTCCAGGTAAACCCCTCCACTAAGGACTCTGCCGCAGAGAGAGGGCCCGGTTGCATGAGGCACTTTGTCAAAATGAGCAGATACGTATGAGCACTGAACTCTTGAGTGAATCAACCAGAACTAAGACCCAGATCCACGCACTCAGGAACTTGCTCTGAATTTCAGTTTGACAACAGAGAAGTAGAATATTTCTAATTAGCTAATATATATACACATTTTTTAATCATCCAAAATTACAGGCAAATCACTTAAGGTCCCCAGCACTTTACGATGAAAGGTCAGAGAGAACCCCACAAAAAAGGTGTTAAAAGGACAGGATCACTAACTGTGAGAGGTTAATTTATCAGGATAACTCTCCGGTAGGTAACTAGGCGGGCATGCTGATTTTCATACTGGAGTCTTCAAGAGTTAACAGAATCTACCATCCTTTCCTCCGGGTCAGGCTAGGGCCGCAGGGGGCCACTTTACAGCCTCACTGCAGCATCCTCACTGGGTATAAGCATTGGCCCAGAGGGACAATCATAAATGTCCTCAAAGTGTTGCAGAGAATTAAGAATCCGGCTTTGGGGGAAGAAATTAATATGCATTTTTTTTAGAACTACTTCCTGTACATTGGACAAGAAGGGTAAAGTTGTCTAAGTGAACTGGCTTATATACATCGCTGATTAAACATAAGGGCTTTGGGAAGTATCTCAGGGTACTTGGGAAAAACTGCAGAGATGTTTTGCTTTTGAAACTCTCTCGCTGGATGGGGACACCCCACCCATGTCAACTTTCCATCTGCAGAAATGAAACAAATATATGTAAAAAGTGCGGGGGGACAGGCAGGCTGTTCTGAATTTCTTTGATCCATAGGCAATCAAGTTCAAAGGAAATGTTTCTTTACAGGAAAGAAAAAAACGGAAAGCTCTGTGAGTTTTGCTAGGGGGTGTTAGGTTCTAGGGCAACCACGGACTCTTCAGGAAGGAAAGCCACACAGCTACACTACCAGGGAAATCCGCCTCCCTTGGCAAATGCCTGGGGAGAGCTGCTCCTCTGGGAAGCAGCCTCGGACGGATCAGGAGACCTTGTTCTAGCACACCTTTCAAATGCTCAATGTAGACTGTTTTAAAACCTTGAAAAATAAGTGGGTGTTTGTCATTGTTCTTTTAAAAATGTGAAAAGGAAAAAACATGAGATTAGAATCCTAAGCTCTTCACCCAATTTCACAATTCACCCTGACTAGCAATTTGCTGGACTGTTCTAAAATTTTTTTCATTTGTTTCTTTTTTAACTATGTGTTTTGAAAACTACTGCCTTCTCAGCCCGAAAATCGCCGTCTCTCTCAGGCTCACTGTGGTTTCCTTTTTCTGACACAAAGGCAGGCACAGGCTGCCCCTCCACATGTCTTGGGGATCAGATCATGCCCCGGGCTCATAGGAACCGAAACTTTGGGGCATCTGAGACTGGCTGATTCAGATTCAAAGACAATCACACGGAAAGACTGTGGGCAGAGAAGGCAATGCCTCTCCCCTGGTCCCTTTGCTGTCACTATTACATAATGGACTTGCACTTTTCCTCCCTGCACTTATCACTTTCTGGGCTTGACCTTAATTGTAAGTGTGGTATGAGTCTGTTTCCATTTAAAGCAGACAGAAAGAAACTACTCTGGACCTGAAAACAACGTGACTTGCCAATCATTAGAATTTTCTAGTTGAAAGGCATAGATCAGCCAATAGATCCACACCAACAAGTTGCAAAATGTAGTTTTTGCTGCTGGCTCTCACTTTCCGCCCAATCCCCCTTTTTGTGTTTTAGTGGCTGTGTTGCTGTTGGAAATGGTTTGTCACCTCCTCCTGTGCAGTGGCTGCTGCTCCACATTGCGGATCTTAAAAACCTTCCTAATCTAAATGGCCCTTGCTTTACCCGGCCATGGCTACCCTGGGGTTTGGAGCGTGGCTATGGAGGGAAGGGAGCGGGAATGCTGCAAGAACAAGCCGACTGGATTACAATGTCCACTACTGACAGGCGCAGTGCGTGTGTGTGACCCACCGGGTTCCCGGGGCACTGTCCCCCCCGCTCCCACCCCACCCGAGGCTCCCTCCCCACCCTGCCCCCGGGAGAATCACTTAAACACGGACTGAAAGGTGGGGCACTCATGGTTTTTCATTTTCTTCATGAAGTTTTTGAACTCCTTGTTTTTCTTGTCCCACTTGTGGATGGCCGTCAGCAAGTACTGGCTCTTCACCTTGCGGCCCATGATGAGGAAGTGGTGGCTGAGGTTGTCCAGCTGGTGGCAGGGACAGTCAGCCCCATTCTTCAGGTACAGCACAAGCTTCTTCAGGTCCTTCTTCTTGATGGGCCCCAACTTCAGGGGCTTCTTCTTCTTGGGGACAATCTTCTTGTCGCCATTTTCTTTTTTCACTTCTTTTATTTTCATCCTCAGTGCTAGAGATGGAGAGGACAGAAGAAGAGAAAAGAGGGTAAGAGAAAGCATTTAGAACACAGCTTTTCTTTTTTTGATCCTCAAAGTGATTGCATTTTATTATTTTATTTTTTGGCTTATACTTTCTTCTTGTAAATATATATGTTTTTAATTTTAGATTCAGGGGCACAGGTGCAGAGTTGGTTTCATGGGTATACTGCATGATGCTGAGGTTTGGGCTTCTAATAACCCCATCGCCCAAGCAGCAATTACAGTGTCGGCCATCCTCCCTCATGTCTTTTGGAATCTCCAGTGTTTACTGTGGAACAAAGCTTTTCATCTAGAACAATAACCCAAGTGTACAGCTGAGGTGGAGAAGAAAATGAAAGGCAAGTAACAAGTCAAGAAACAGGCAGTTTTATCCATAAAAACCAAGGTCTGTTAATCCCAGCACTTTGGGAGGCCAAAGTGGGTAGATCCTCTGAGGTCAGGAGTTCGAGACCAGCCTGGCCAGCATGGTGAAACCCCATCTCTACTAAAAATACAAAAATTAGCCACACATGGTGGCAGGCGCCCATAATCCCAGCTACTAAGGAGGCTGAGGCAGGAGAATTGCTTGAACCTGGGAGGCGGAGGTTGCAGTGAGCCAAGATCACACCACTGCACTCCAGCCTGAGCGACAGAGCAAGACTCCATCTCAAAAAAAAAAAATCAAGGTCTCAGTTACCCATTCTGCCACCGCCTCCGCCCCCTATTCTGTGGTGTCCAGTGGTATCTCTCTGTAATGGCCATCGGTGCCAGGAGATCCTCAAATAAATTTCAAAGCTAAATCACATTGCTCTTTTTAAAAATCCAGTTATCATGCACTGCTTTAAGAGAAAAAAGGGTCCTATAACCCAATTTACTCCACATGATCTGATGCTATTGATCTCATCATTCAAAGACAAAAAATCCTGAGTGTTTTTGTTTTTTATTGTTGTCTTTGTGGAGGCAGGGTCTCACTCTATTGCCCAGGCTGGAGTGCAGTGTCTCGATCTCGGCTCACTGCAGCCTCAAACTCCCGGGCTCAAGCAATTCTCCCACCTCAGCCTCCCAAGTACCTGGGATTGCAGGCATGCACCATCATGCCTGGCTGATTTTTTTTTTTTTTTAAGAGACGGATCTTACTATGTTGCCCAGAACTCCTGGACTCAAGAAATCCTCCCTCCTCAGCCTCCCAAAGTGTTGGGATTACAGGCATGAGTCACCACGCCTGACCATGAGGGTTTCTTTTTGTTTGGTTTTGTTTTGAAGAGCAAGTTATTGGTTTAGTATTTTAACATTGAAAGACCTACAATTCCTTGAAAATTGAGTCCTATAAAATGACAGGCAGAACTATGTGTGTGCACTCAGCAAGGGAAAGTTAAAGGTTGTTTCAAATGGTCATGCTTCCTGCATTAAACATCAACGTCCAACCACAGCATGGGAGAAATCAGTTTCTACTACTGGGTCTCTATGGCGGTAAGACAGCAGGTACTGCTAGTATCAGTCAATCGCTAATCAACCACTAATCCCCACTGACAGGCAGCACTAATGTTCTGCCAACTGAGAAGACCTACACAAAATCCAAATCTACTTTGACTTTCTGGCAGATTAGAGCAAGTTCTGGTGAAGTCCTAATTGATAAATCCAGGTGATGAGCTCTCTTCAAATCCAATATGGTACCAGGGCTGCTTCTGTTCTCAACTCCCAGGAGTGTGGGAAAATCAGCCCATTCACCAACTCTGCTTTCTCTTTTCTCTGTCCCAATGGACACTGAATTAACAGTGTTAACCTGTGAGCCACATCCTGTAGCAATGACTCCACAGGGGCTGCTGATGAAGATAAATGAGCGTGGACATGCTCTATAAACGAAGCAGACTGAACACACAGTGTCGCGGGTACAATCAACTCCCCTTTAAGACTGGTCAGCCCGAGATATTCCCAAAGGAGTTGGAAATCACTTTCTAGGTGCCAGTCACCAGATAATTTGCGTATCTTCTGAACTCTTTTTAATAGAAAATTACCAAGCCCCCTCTTTTTAATGATGCAAGGCTTCCACCCACACACCCTGAGGAAAGTCTTTAACCTGAACTAAATCACAGTGGCTAACAATTATGAAAGCATGTGACCTGCCAGAACATGTGCTAAGTATTTTCCGTGCATTTCCTCAGTTAATTCTAACAACTCCAGGAGGAAGGCATAATTATTTTCCCATCTAATAGATGAGAAAACTGAGGCATAGGGGGTTAAGTTGGCTTGCCTAAAGTCACTAATCCTAAGTTGAAACCCATGTCTAAATGTGCACTTTTAATCTGCATGTTGTCCATGCTGACTCTATGGTTCCAAAATTCTTTAGAATGGACCCCAAACTTGGAGTACTGATTAAATGGACCAAGAAGATCACAGGGAGGAGCTCAGACCCTCTTCCCAGTTTCACCTACATTTCAAAATGACTTCACTTATGAAATGGCAAAAGAGTGCCTCCTGGTTGAAAGAGACTTCTCTGGCAAAGGAGAAACTGCATTTGTGAAAGCTTTATTATTTAATATTTTAATTTATTTTATTTATTAGAGATGGGAGAAACTAATGCATACTCCAGCTGACAAGGCGAGCGCCCTCTTGTCTGCAGAGAAGTGAGCCATTGTAAGGTAGTACCCACCACATGCTGGGCTCTGCAGATGAGAATGGGATATGTCTATCTACGACTCCTTGTTTAATACTCGCAGCAACCATGTTAAGAAGGCATCAATAGTACTTTATTATAATCAAGGAGAAGGACTCAGGTTAAGTAACAACAGCATGAGGCCACAGTTTGTAAGAGACAGAATCAGGATCAGAACCCACACCTAACCCCAAAACCACTCTTTCCTGCCATACACACCACGACCCGGTTAGAAGTGATATTGCTTCATTGGAAACTATTTCACTCTTCTGATTGTGTTGCTTTCAATCACAATTCAAATCAAAAATTAATGTTCCTTTGCCATGACCGTGTAAAGGAATGTAGTTTACGTAGGTGGGGGAGCAGCCAGGGAGGAGAAATCAGAGTATGGGAATGTGTTACACATTAGACTTTACTTCTTGTCTTGCCACTTGGCCCCTTTCTTTTTTTGAGGTGGGGAGAGCAGGAAAGAAGGCACGTATGGCCAGAAATTACTAACATCTTTCCATCTTTCAAGGGTTTGTTTTAGGAGTGCAGACTACCAACAATGTTGAAAAGATCATGAGCTGTCCCGGGTGGATTTTTCCTTGTGGGTGTGTGTGCAGACCCCACCATGATGCATCCCGGGGCTGCTGGGGCGAGGGCAGGTGCTGGCCCAAGAGCAGCCCGGAACTGATCACCACCACCCCATCCCATCATGCTCACAGGGCCTGGGCCCCAGCGATGTTGCCCATGGCCTGAATTTGCAATGCAAATGGTGGTGGTGAACAAACAGAAGCCCAGAAGGTAGCAGCTGGGGCAACAGCTGGATACAGTCCCAGGTCCTGGGTTCTTCTCTGAGTCTCAGTACTCTGTCTGTAAAGTGCAGGGCACCATCCGACTGCAGGCCTGGTGGATCGACCATCTGAGGAGCCCCTGCTGGGTACTTCTGGGAGACAGCAAAGTTTATCTCCAGCACTATCCCCACCCTGTGCTCACTCCATGCTTCCCTGATTGGGCACCCTGCTGTGCCTGGAGCATAGGGCTAAAACTAAACTACCACCTTGGACCCTGGATCTCAGCTCCCTGTAACAGCTAGACCCTAATCTAAAACCAAACAAAAAAATTTTAAAAATTATGTGTTTTTTTTCTTAAGCAACAATTTTAACATCCTCCAAGGGTAGGACATGACTCCCACCTAGGCATAGCTGCCAGCAAGAATTCAGAGACCCAGAAACTTTGAAAACTCAAAATTTGAGGCTGCAACAAGGGCCTGCCTGGGTCTTTCTCGGGAAATCTTAAAATAATCCATTATATTTGAGTAGGCCATTAAGCTTTCATTCTACTTGCAGTCACCCAAACCATTTTTGCTCACAAATTATACTTCCTTGGTAGCCTCCCTCAAGAAGCCTGGCCTTATTTGGGAAGCTGAAATGAGAATGAGGAAGTCATCACACACCATCCCAAACCCTCACATTCTTCAAAGCCGTCTCTTCCTCCTGACTCCCTGCTTCTATGAGTGGTGCCTCCAACCCTCCCAAGCCCGAGACATCCTACCCATGACTTTGAACGTAAGGCAACCATTGGCCCAGAGCCAGTCATTTCATAACCAGTCCTGTGGAATGGCTGTAGGAATCCAGGAAGGGTCTGTGGGGAAAGGTGGCATGGGGTTGCATTAGGAATCAATCTTATAACTCCTCTGATGGCAGATGATAGTAGCAATGAAGGGTAAAGTACAGAGGGAAAGAGGGACATACTAGAGAGCGCCTTCGTCAGGTGAAAGGAAGAAGAGTTACTGTAAATGCCACGGGAGGCCCCGCTGGGAAACCAGGCAGCCCAGTGTCAATGAAGACCACAGGGTCCATTTAAATGGAGGAAACACCCCTCAACCCTAAGTGCCGAAGAGCTTAAGAATGAGTCTGAAACTAGAGCACTTCACTGGGTGATTAGGGGGCCACGCCAACCCATAGGAGGCCAGGATCTGGAGTGGTGAGGGCAAATTCCAGAGAGCAAAAATCCAATGGGAAGGGAAAAGAAGAGAGAAGCCATATCACCAAGCTTCTGGACTGAGTGCGAAGGAGCACTTGCAGGCACGCTAGCCACATGGATTAGACTGAGCCCGTGCAATCATTCCCACTCTTCTTGAAGTCAGTTTAAAATTAGAGTCAAAAAAACAAGTTATAAACACATGCAAGAAAGTGGTAAAGGAAAAAAGAACATATCAACATTTTGTATGACAGAAAGCAAATGGATGGTAGAATCTGGCTTAAAAGGGAGAAGAAAAGCTAAAATGCAGATAGGGATGCCAGTAAAGTGCAGAGAAAAGAAGAAAAAGAGGGACAGACAGGGATGCCAGTAAAAAACAAGCCCATTTGCACTCCAGGTCCCACAAATGCTCCTGATTGGGGCCCCCGGACACTCCTGAACTCCATCACAGAGGCTGTCAATGTTGGGATTGGCAGCAAGTTTACATATGGACACTCAAACCTACTCCCCTGGGCCATGAGTCCAGGTGGCTGCCCTCACCAACTCCAGCAGTAGCCATGGGCTTCATTCCATACAGAAGGCCTGTAGTTCCAGCTACTTGGGAGGCTGGAGGTAGGAGAATCGCTTGAACCCGGGAGGTGGAGATTGCAGTGAGCCGAGAGCGCACACTGCACTCCAGCCTGGGTGACAGAGCAAGACTCCATCTCAAAAAAAAAAAAAGAAAAAGAAAAGAAAAGGGGGAAAAAAAGAAGGCCTGAACCTGCACACAGCCTGCCGCTGGGGTATACTAGACACAGAGGAGGACCGGACAGGTGCTGCTGCGTGAACACCAAAGGGTTACATGAAAGTCTGCAAAGTGAAGAATGAGACACTCGGGTCTTAGAACACTACATTTATATGCCTGTGTCAGAGGATTGAGTGGTTTTTCTCTAAAGAAACTATTAGGCTGTTGCAAAAGTAGTCACGGTCTTTGCCATTACTTTCAACTGCAAAAACCGTAGTTACTTCTGCATCAACCTAAGAATAGTTCAAAAGAAAAGACATATGGGCCCTCTGCAAAATTCTCAAGTGAGGCCTAACAAATCACAGGCCCTGCATGTACACAAAGAGCTTCCAACGTCATGTCTCGCTGTTAAATTCAAATGGACAGTCAAGGGCTGGCAAGTATTTAAGGAAAGCCTCCAAATGTGAATGGCAGAGACTGTAACATACAAAACAGAAAAGGAAGAAAAGGAATTCAGAGATAACAGAGACAATGCAGGGAGTATTAAAAAAAAAAACTTTTCACTTTTTGCCTTGTTGCACTCCTAAAAGCAAGATGGGTCACCAGCAGCTCTCCTGGAGCCATCCAAAAAAATTCGGCCAGGGTTCTCATTCTTGTCATTATGGCCTCAATATGTGCTGCCAGTGTTTCCATCAGTATGCAGAGGAGGTAGGCTTCATTAGGTTAGACTAAGTGAGCTTCCCTGAATGGATTATCCAAGGCATCCACCAAGTGAAAGAAACCATGCTAGCTCTCTGTACATAAAATAAAATTTTAAAAAAAAAACTTTAAAAAATGATAATATGGCCAGGAGTGGTGGCCCGCACCTGTAATCTCAGCACTTTGGGAGGCTGAGGCAAGCAGATCACTTGAACCCAAGAGTTAGAGACCAGCCTGGGCAATATAGTGAGACCCCATCTCTACCAAAAAAAAAAAATTAGCCAGGCATGGTGGTGCATGCCTGTAGTCCCAGCTACTCAGGAAGCTGAGATGAGAAGATCAGCTGAGTCTGGGGAGATTGAGGCTGCAGTGAGCTATGACTGCACCCCTGCGCTCCAGCCTGGGTGACAGAGTGAGACCCTGCCTCAAAAAAAATTGTTTTAAATGATAATAAATTAGATAAGACTTTTGTATTCCTAAAACAAGAACAGAAAGCTATTAAAAGGAATGTTCAGAGACTGGGAAAGATTACTTGGAAATTTAAAATATAAGAGAAGAAATATAAAATGCAAGACAAGTAAAAAGATGTGAAAGAAAGGAAATAAATATGCAGTACACTACATGGCTCAGCTGCAAATAATATTTACATAATTCTAATAAATTAAACATTCAATATTAACCAAAAGTGTGATGTAATTATATTGGAAAGATAGTGTAAAAGAGATAAATCTTTAACTTCAATAACAGAAAATCAATAAATAATGGTTTTAAGATAAGGTTAAAGAGGCCAGGCACGGTGGCTCACGCCTGTAATCCCAGCACTTTGGGAGGCCAAGGCAGGTGGATCACTTGGGGCCAAGAGTCCAAGACCCGACCAGCCTGGCCAACGTGGCGAAACCCCGTCTCTACTGAAAATACAAAAATTAGCCTGTGTGGTGGCATGTGCCTATAATTCCTGCTAATTGGGAGGGTGAGGTAGGAGAATTGCTTGAACTCAGGAGGCAGAGGTTGCAGTGAGCTGAGATTACACCACTGCACTCCAGCCTAGGTGACAGAGCCAGACTGTCTCAAAAAATTTTTTCAAGAATATTTTTTAAATTTTTTTTAAAAGATAAGGTTGAAGAAATTTCATGAAAAGATGAACAAAATGACAAACAGATGGGAAACAGAGGAAAGAAAAAGAGAATCAATCCAAGAGTTTCAACATCTGAGAAAAGGGTATTATAGCAAGAGAGAACAAGAAAACAAACGGCAGAAAATACCAAAGAAATAATACAAGAAAACTTTCCAGAAATGAAGAACATGAGTCCTCAGGTTAAACAACACCCAGCTCAAAGAATCATGACATTTACAAATATGAAAGACAAAAAGAACTTTTAAAATCTTCAAGAGAAAAGGGTAGACATCTAATACAAAGGATCAGTATCCCAGTTGCACTGGATTTATCAATACAGACACTGGAAACTGGAGGATAATGAATCAATGCCTTTAAAATTGCCAAATTTGATACTGAGGCAAGCTATCAATCAGCATGCAAGAGTAGAATGAAAACATCTTCAGGCATTAACAGGTTTTAAAACATCATCTCCCATGTATCTTTTCTTAGGAAACTACTCAATGATGTGCTCTACAAAAATGCAGAATTTTTTTAATTTATAAAATGTATTATCAGCCAGGCACAGTGGCTCACACCTGTAATCCTAGCACTTTGGGAGGCAGAGGTAGGCAGATTGCCTGGGCTCAGGAGTTCGAGACCAGCCTAGGCAACATGGCAAAACTCTGTCTCTACTAAAAATACAAACACTTAGCCAGGCATAGTGATGCGCACCTGTGGGCCGATCTACTCAGGAGGGCTGAGGCAGGAGAATTGCTTGAACTCGGGAGGCAGAGGCTGCAGTGAGCCGAGATCATGCCACTGCACTCCAGCCTGGGCCTCTGTCTCAAAAAAAAAAGGCATTATTAATGTTATTTTTGATTGAAAAGTAATAATTGTATAAACTTATGGGTTACAATGTGATGTTTTGTATAAGAGAAGGAATGATTAAATCAAGCTAATTAGCATGTACATCATCTCACTTACCTATTTAAAAAAATGCAGAATTAAACAAGACACGGGATTCAGGAAACCAAAGGTCTAACCTAAGAAAGGAAAAGGAAGGCTTAGGATGGTTTTTCCCGAACAACTGTGTGGCAGGCTGTGATGGTTAATTTTAGGTGTCAGCTTGGATTGAGGGATGCTGAGAAGGCTGGAAACGTGTGTGTGTCCAAGAGGGTGTTTCAGAGGAGACTGACATGTGAGTCAGTGGGCTGGGAGAGGAAGAGTCAGACCTCAATGTGGGCTGGCACCACCCAATCAGCTGCGAGGGCAGTCAGAATAAAGCAAGGAGAAGAAGGCAGGTATTCAGCTTGTGGAGTTTCTGCTCTCCCTCCCTTCCCAATAATGGCTGTTTCTCTTCTCCTGCCCTTGCACATCAGACTCCATGTTTTTCGGCTCTGGGACTTTGGGGCTTGCACCAGTGGCCTCCTGGGGGCTTTCAGGCTTTCAGCCTCAGACTGGGGGCTGCATTGTTCCAAGGCTTCTCTGGTTCTCCAGCTTGCAGACAGCCTATCGTGAGACTTCTCCAATCCTGTGAACCAATGCCCCTAATTAACTCCCTCTCCCATCTCCTGTTGTTTCTGTTTCTCTGAAGAACCCTGTCTAACAAAAAAGCCTAAAGCTCCATCAGCCCAGACCAATGGTAGGAAAGAGAACTCAGGCAGATTTCCTGATGCATATCTGCCAGAAAGCTTGGGGCTGAATTCATAATATGAACATAAGTAACTGGGTTAATAAAATGGGGCAGTTACTATCTCCAGGAAAAACAAAATGATGTAAAAGAAAGGAAATAAATATGCAGTACACTACATGGCTCAGCTGCAAATAATATTTACATAATTATAATAAATTAAACACTGAATATTAACCAAAAATGTGATATACCTGTACTGGAAAGACAGTGCAAGAGAGATAAATCTTTAACTTCAATAACAGAAAATCAATAAAGAACATCTAAATATTAAAAATAAGAAATCCAATTATAACCATGTTATTTATTTGCTCCAGTTTGCTGAATATGAAGAAATCACTAAAATACTTGAAAATTATTACTTCTAGGTCATAGGAACTAGAGGTGGGAAGGGAACTGCATGCAGTTTTTGTTAAAAACCATTCATTCCAATTTAACTTTTTAAACTATATTTACGTTGAATCAAAAATTTAAAATTTAAAAAACTTAGTCTAATAAAGAATGTCAGTGTATATAAAATATAAATGAACCACAAAATGTCAGATCATGAAGGAAATACAGAGATTTCACATCTCCAGACCCTTCACCCTCCATTCAGCTGGAGCAACTTGGCCATATAGTTAGGACTTCTTAAGGGTTTTGATTAAGAATTCTGCTTTCTCAACCAGCTTTTTGTTGTTTCCTTTTTTTTTCTTTTTTGAGGAGGAGGAGGGAGGCAGTCCACTGATTTAGTCAATCCCCATCATTTTTCAGATAACAAAATCAATTGGGTTAGAATGCAAATTATTTACTTAGAACTGGAAGAGACGTTAAATCTGGTTCAACCGATGCTCAAAAGTGAAGTCACTTGTCAGCTCTGCCTGGAACCTGCTCCCTGCTTCCCTACCCAGAGCTTTATGATTCATACAGCAGTTCCTCCAGTAGGAGAGCGAGAGGGGATGAATGGGGGCCTAGCCATCTGGGATGACGGGGCAAGCAGTTGGATCCATTTTTTCCAAAAGGTGCTGTTAAAAAAAAAAAAAAAAAAATCACCCAGAGACAGATACCAGACCACACACTCTGATTCCTAAGAGACTTGCTTTTTCCCTAAATTGCTTTCTTTTTCAGAGGGGCCTAAAGTTCCCAAAGAGATAACAAGAGAAGTAGAGGGCAAGCTAGTCACAGTGAGACTGGCAAACTCTTTTTGTTTTTTTTTTTTAGACAGAGTTTTGCTCTTTTGCCCAGGCTGGAGTGCAGTGGCGGAATCTCGGCTCACTGCAACCTCTGCCTCCTGGGTTCAAGCAATTCTCCTGCCTCAGCCTCCCGAGTAGCTGGGACTACAGGCACACACCGCCACGCCCGGCTAATTTTTTGTATTTTTAGTAGAGACGGGGTTTCACCACGTTAGCTAGGATGGTCTAGATTTCCTGACCTCGTGATCCGAGACTGGCAAACTCTTTAAGAGACAGGGTCTCACTTTGTCGCCCAGGCTGGAGTGCAGTGGCGCCATCACAGCTCACTGCAGCCTTGATCTTCTGGGCGCAAGTGATCCTTCAGTGTCAGCCTCCTGAGGAGCTGTGACTACAAGCATTCAGCATCACATTTGGCTGATTTTTTAATTTTTGTGTAGAAACAGGGTCTTGGCATCTTTCCCAGGTTGGTCTCGAACTCCTGAGCTCAAGTGATCCTCCCACCTCAGCCTCTCAAAGTGCTCTCAAAGATGTGAGCCACCACACCAGTCTGTAAACTCTACAAAGTGGCTTAGCCCAGCTTGGTTGATCAGGAAAGGCCCACAGACGGGCACCCCAATGCACCAGTCGCATGGGCCTGCTCCACCCCTCCTACCCCACAGAGCCTCCAGGTGGAAAAGTCTGCTCAGATACCAAAGCCTCACTAAGCCATGAAGACAGAGCACTGGTTTCCTGCCTCCCAGCCCCAGATCACACATGTCTTGGGTAACCCTGAGGTCTGAGGCAGAAAGCACCCTCCCCAAGTCCAATTGTGCAAATGAGATTCAGTAACAGCACTGGGTACGGCATTTGGCTGCAAGCAACCACAACCTCCTTCCAACACTCAGCAGAGTTCTGGGCACCATGGCGAGCTGGCTTTGCGGCACTAGGGCCCAGATAAGTCCTACTGACAATGGCCTTGCAATGGCAGCTTAACAGACCCCACTGTTCCCAGCAGGAGCCAATGTCTGGCATCATTAATTCGTTTAGCAGAGAAAGGGGCTTGTGCTTTGTCACAATAACTCAGCGTCTCTCCCCTGACCACAAGCCACATGCTGCATACTTGGATGCATTTGCTGACTACAAGACATACGTTACACACAAGAACAAAAAAAACTAAACTAAAAGAACAAGATCCAAAGCAGATTTCTTTTTCTCTCATCTCCAAAAACAAAACAAAGCAAAACAAACAAAACAAAACAAAAAACAGCAGATGTGGAAAATGCTCCTGAGTGGCTCATTTGGGACAAATTATTTAATTGAAGTTGTCCTGTTTTCTGGACCCCAGACACCTCAGGAAGGTGGCCAGGCAGGAGAGTAGAGATTGCAACTTTGCAGAGCCCTCTCCCCAGTACTCACATATGAACGCACACACGCAAGCTCATGTACACATGCACACACACTCGCCAGCATCATCAATGCATACACACCAGCAGCATCGGTGTCAGCCATCCAGAATCCTGCTGCTAACTGCTTGATTTCCTGGATTGTGTTAAATCCCCACTGAGTTAAGCTAATGGTGCAAAATGAAAACCCCACTCTGAGAGCAAAGTGCTGCCTGGTGTGATTTCATCTGGGAAGCCACGCATCTTGGGGAGCAAGGGCTTGGGCCTCAGAGTGGATCAGAGAAGAACTGTGGCCCCTCCCCTTCCCAGTGTGCAGCTTAGCCTCTTCCACCCCCAGCCCCCCACCCTCACCACCATCCTGCACTGGAGGGAGAGAAAGAAGAATAGGAGAATCACTTAAATAAAGTCCATCACTAGGATTGATTGAATCTTGGCTCTGAGTCCAGGCAAACCTGCCAAGGCAAACAGCTTTTCCTACCATGGGGTCACTGGTTTTTCATTCCTCTCCAATCTACTTCCTGGTGTTTGCCCAAATGGCAAGTTGAAATGTGGGATGGTCTCCTGGGAGGGAAAAGATGGGGAGTGGGCTACAGAAAAGGCAAAAACTATCCCTCGCTCTGAGAGATGCTAGAGTGAGCATCATCAGAATCACCTGGAGGATTGTTAAAAATGCAGACTGCTGGGCTCCACCCCTGGAGCTTCTGAGTCAGCAGCCATGAGATGGGGCCCAGGAATCTGCATTGGTTTTTATTTTTAGAGACCAGGTCTCACTCTGTCACCCAGGTCAGAGTACAGTGGTGCAATCACAGCTCACTGCAGCCTTGAACTCCAGGGCTCAAAGGATCTTCCTGAGTAACTGGGACTATAAGCATGAGCCACCACACCACCTAATTAAAAAAATGTTCTTTAGTTTTGTACAGATGGTGTCTCACTATGTTTCCAAGGCTGGTCTCAAACTTCTGGCCTCAAGAGATCCTCCCACCCTGGCCTCTCAAAGTGCCAGAATTACAAGCATGAGCCACTGTGCCTGGCCAGAAATGTGCATTTCTAACAAGTCCCCAAGTGATGTTAATGCTGCTGGCCTGGGGATCACACTTGAGAACCACTGGTTTAAAGAGCCTGAGGGTTGGGACAGGGTGGGTTGTTTGATTTGTCACCTTGGTTATTCACAGTGGTATCTTTTAAGGACTCTTTCTTGGATGACGTCTAAACATCCTAGAGGCCCAGAGCAGCCCCCCAAACCCACTGGAGCTCAGGTGGAAGCCAGCAAAATTGGCACAGGCCTGTCCAAGACACAGCGGAGTAGGGCAAGGTGGTCAGCACTACTTACAGAATTGCTGAGGTCTCTTCCAGAGCTGTGGGTGCTTGCAAAATCAAGAAAACAAAAGCTTGGATAGCAAGAGGCAGCACATTTCAGAGGAACGGACCCCAAGTGGAGAGTCAGCAGACCCCAGCTGACCAATCCCACCACTCACATTTTAGTGGATTAGACTCCACCATTAACCTTTAGCATAAACTTGGGTAAAATCATTTTACTTCTCTGGATCCCAGCGTAGCCATTTGCAAAACGAATGTGTTCATTCATTGAGATGGATCCGTTCATTTCAGTCTCCCTGCCTGCAATGGTGAGCTACATCTGCATCTTCCTATTTCCTTTCCCTGTCTTTGAAATCCAGTAGAGAAGCCCAGACCGCACAATGGGAACATCCCACCTCTCAGATGGCAATGCTGCCCAAGCCGCTCCACCCCCAGGGGCCTTGCTTGCATGTGCCCGAGGCCAGCCCTGCAGGGCAGACAGTAGCACAAGAGCACCATCTTGGTCACAAAGTTGTCTAAGCTCAAAGACAGCCCCGGAAAAACACCTGACACACTCCACAAATAATAATCAGCAGATCTTCATGCCATCCCATGTGACAGATGGGGAGCAGAGGCCTAGGGGGCTGCTGGCCCCTTTGCTGAGAGACCCCTGACAAAGTTAGTCCAATGCCTCTGCAAAATCGCAGCAGTTGCACCTCACTCTTCTCCCTTTATCATGTTCTCGGTTTGTCCTCTCTGAAGGAAGGGGGTGCAGGTCACCTGTGCTTCAGGCCGAGCTACAGACCATCTTCTCCTTGATGCCTCCCCAGCCCAGTCTAGCCTTGGCCTTCCTGGCTCTCCTTGCCTCAACATTGATGCAGCAGAGCTCTGCATGAGAATGACCCACGAGTGTTCCTACCTCTCCTCCTCCCCTCTGTGAGCTCATGTAGGACATGGCCCAAAACGCATCCAATCTCTGTTCAATGACTAGTGCAATGCCTGACATCAGGGGGCTCAGCTAAACACACGTGGGGCACACAAATGAACAGAGAGATGGAAAGAGCTCAGCCACTGCCCGGATGTTCAAAGACTCACTCGCCAGACTGGAACTCTCTGCACAGAACTCCGCTTCAGCACTAACAACAACAGCAAGAGCCAGTGGTCACCGAGTGCTTGCCCAGGCCGGGGTCTGGTCTACCCACCTATCAGTAGATGCACTCCGGGACACCTCTAACAGCCTAGAAGGCAGATACTCCAATAATGACACCCAGTTTCTAGATGTCTGGGAGCAGAACCTTTCTGTCCCAGAAAGGTTCAAGTCCCACAACTAGTCCATGGCAGAGCGGGACTTTGATCCAAGAAGCCTGGCTCACAACATATAAACACTACCAGAAGCAAAACGAACCACATAAGCAGAACAGGAGGCCTCTGTCTTGGGGGTTCCCTTTCTACTGGGGATAGCTGCTTTTCAGGCCTGGGGGCAGAGAAGGGTCTCACTGGCCCCCTTTCCCTCCAAGAGCTTTCTAGGTATAAAGGGATTTAGAGAGGGAAGCATCTCTCTGATCCATCATAGACAGTTCCAAAGTACAAAGCTAAGAAAGCAAAAAAAAAAAAAAACCTATGTCCAAAATCCTTCATCCTCGCCATCACATGATTCTCTCCAAAGCAAAAATAGAGGCCTCATCTCTCTGGACCTGATAGTGTCAACAAGCACAGTTCAAGGTTCTTGCTTATTCCCATTTCTGACCCTACCTATTTATCCAACTTTCTACACCTGAATAGTCTCTTTCTTTTTTTCAGCTTTCTAGGCTTTATGTCAATAGCAGGAAGGCTTGAAGACAGAGGGGCCCTGGTGGCCTGCTCTGACTCCGGCCCTTGGCGGGCACGAGGTCCAGTCTGAGCCTGGGCCCAAGCCACACACCTTCCCCGGCATAAGATGGGCAGCGCTGGGCTTCCCTCCCAAGTCCAGGGGAGTGCAGGGGGAGGGCTGACGGAGCTCATACAGTTTTCCTTTGTGGGGTGCAGGGTCGGGGGATGGTGCGGCAAAGCCCTGCCCGAGGCACACAATCATCCAGTGAGATGACAATGTACACCAAACAGGATGCAGAGGAACGCTGGCCTCTCAAAGCTGAAAAGTGTCTTGACCTGAGACAGGTCTGGCCAAAGCCAAGAATCTAAAAAGCTAAGAGGAATCAGCACCCGGTCCTATGTCAAAGCTGGCCTTACCTCTATTTTCTGGAATTCGCACTCCCTGCCCTACTCCGCTGGCACGCATTCAAGGCAGCCAGGTGGCACCGGCCTCAAGCTGAATGCCCTGACTCCGGCTTCCAGGTCCTCAGACCCTCCCTGGGTCTTTCCTTTCTCTCAAGCCATCTGGAGCCTACACACAAGTCACGGGGCAGAGGTTCTGAGAGCTGAAGGGAGCAAGCGGCAATAAAAACCCATACGACCCCAACTCTGCACGCCCTTTCTACTTCTTCAGGAAGCCATTTCTTGAGAAGAAACAAACAAAAAGCTTCCCTGTGGCTGCAGGAGCTGCTGACCCATGGGGCCAAATTAGCACCTGCAGAGGGACAAACAGCCCCAGCCCTAGAGGAGACCACAGAAGGCTGCTGGATGGGCAAAGACTCAGGGCACACATAGACAGAGCTTTGCAGGAACGGGTGCTCGGCCCACATTCTGGAGCGCCTGCCCCAACTCCCAGAAGCGTTCCTAGCATGCAGAAGGCAAGTGCTTTCTAAGTATCTCTACCAAGTGGCTCCACAACAGACAGATTCTTTTAATGTTCCAAGTACTCTCCAGGGACCGTGCTTCTCTTCCTACTGAAGATAGTCAACATCCAGGTTTGGGGGCCAAGGCTGAGCCCTGTGGGACAGGCCCGTGAGCTCCTAGCAGGCATGACCACCTCTAATGTATGCAGCTCCCTCTCCTCTATTTCCTTTTCCTGCCTCTCCTGCCACCTGCCAAGTGCTCCTACCTCGTTCATGGCCTTCCACTCCGTGCAGGGAGGGAGTGGGAGTCCTCTCTCCTGCACCTCCTCCCCAAGGCCTCCAGTTTGCATCAGGGGTGCTGATCACAGCCCCACCTCACCAGCCTTCACCAGCAAGCTTTGCCCTGTTACACAGCTGGGCACATTCGGGGGCCATGCAGGCCCTTCAAGGATTTGCCAGTGGAGTGGGAGTGCAGTGCCCCTCACTCCCTCAGCATGGGGGGATTGATGTTGCAGCCACAGACAGGGGAAAATGAAAGACAAATGTCAGCTTGCACTCACCCATAGCTAGAGGCAAAGTCCCTTCAGAGCACAGAAGGGTTAAGCCCATGGCTGCCATCCAAAGAGTTGAGACACATTGAGGATGCGGAGGCAGCTAGTCTGTCCTCAGGTGCTATCCAAGCACCCTTGTGGCTCCTATCTCTTGTGAATGGATGTGTACACAGGGGCATAATATAAACAAGTCACAGGGTCAATCTGTCATTGACTGAGGGTTCACTGTGAAGCCATCCCTCATATACTGCACACACCCTGGCTAAGCAAGATCAGTAACCTGAGGAGCTGCAATGCTGTGTGCAGGGGAAACCCCCACACCCTACAGGGTGATGAATTTCATATACATGGCCAACTGGGAAAGGCACAGTCTCAAGATCTAGGATCCCCTCCCAACCTTGCTGACCACTCTCTGGTGTTCTCGCCTACCCTGATCGTGATTTGTCCAGAGCACCTCTGGCGAATGCATATGTCGTGCCTCATGGTCAACAAATAAACAAGTTTCAAAGGGTCCTCATTTGTCTGAAGAGCCTGAAATGAGCTGCTAGGACAATTCACGAGACAGCTGGAGACCTTCAGAGCACTCAGGGCCAAGGGCGCAAAAGGTGGCCCCTCCATTCCTCTCGTCACCCTATAGGACTGGGTTGCTAAGGGCCTTTTGGGTAGCTGTTTGGTTGCCTCCCACATCTGCCTCTCACTGTCCCTGGTTTGCCTGCATGGCAAAGGGCCTCTCACCCAAGGTGTTCAGATGTGTGCACCTTGTAGCTCTGTGTTTTGTAATGTTAGAAATTAGGTTTTGGCCATGCAGGGTGACTCAGGCCTATAATCCCAACACTCTGGGAGGCCAAGGTTGGGGGATGGCTTGAGCCCAGGAGTTTGAGACCAGCCTGGGCAACATAGCAAGACTCCAGCTCTACATTTTTTTTAACTAGTCGGGCTTGGTCGTGTGGGCCTGTAGTCCCAGCTACTCAGAAGGCTGAGGTGGGAGAATTACTTGAGCCCAGGAGGTCAAAGCTACAGTGAGCTAAGATTGTGTCACTGCACTCCAGCCTGGGTGACAGAGAAAGACCCTGCCTCCAAAAACACACAAAAAATGCTTGTTTGGAAATCTGAAATAGAAAAAAATAAATAAATAAAATAAAATTTTAAATAAAATAAAATTTTAAATAAAATAAAAATAAGCTCAAGCATGGGAAAGCATTTTGAACATGGCAACCTGTTCCTCTTACTTTTAATTCTGTATTATTTGGACATTTTTTATTTTATACAATGTGAACACATTGCCTTTTTGAAACTACATATTCAAAAATATTATATACACAAATATATGTACAGAGTTATATACATGTTTAGGTTTTATTCATCCATTCATTTATTTTATTTTCCTGGCTTTCTGTACAATTTTAAAGTACTGCCCTGCCTTCAAGAAAAGCCAGAGACAAGCAAATAAAGTTTTTTTGCACTGATCGGGCCAAAATAACTCCAGCTTTAGAAATTTTGATTCATTTCCCTATGTTCTTTCAAGAAGCTCTCTGTGGCTATCTACGATCTCATTCTTCTTCATTCCACTCCAAAAGAATGAAGATTCCAACGTATCTCACAGATAAGAACACTGCTGAATTTAGATTCTTGCTTTTATTACATGACCTTGGACAACATGAGTCTCCATCCTGTTTCTTCCTCTCTTTCTAGATGTAGATTTCAATATCTTTATTAAGTTTCAGGTCAGTCATGTCCTTGTTTCTCCTTCCCTTTGCTACAATAAAAAGTACTTTTCCCTGACAAGTGTCAGAATTAGACCACCAGGTAGGCGTCACATCTATCTCCTCCTCCGAGTCCCTTTCAGAGTGTGTGTGTCTCCCATACAATGGGAGTAGGATGATCTTTAGGCCTTGTCCTGCGAATAGGTCACATTCTCTGCATTAGACAGAGCTGGTGGCCAGATAGGAAACCCCCGTGAGACCATCTAGACAGAAAACGTGCAGGCCCCCGATTGCTGTTTCAGCCATGCTCAAGATTTACTTAAAGACAATCCAATGAAGTGATCAGAAGATCAGGCCAAAGTCAGCGGCTGAACTTGTAAAAATCATTCAGATCAACGCTATTTTTATAGAAACTAAAAAAAAAAATTAAACTCCTCCAACTTTCTTTTTTTTTTTTTTTGAGACAGTTTCTCTCTGTCACCCAGGCTGGAGTGCAGTGGCACAATCTGCCTCCCAGGTTCAAGTGATTCTCCTGCCTCAGCCTCCCGAGAGTAGCTGGGATTACAGGCACCCACCACCATGCCCATCTTATTTTTGTATTTTTAGTAGAGACGGGGTTTCGCCATGTTGGTCAGGCTGGTCTCGAACTCCTGACCTCAGGTGATGCACCCACCTTGGCCTCCCAAAGTGCTGGGATTACAGGTGTGAGCCACCACGCCCGGCCAAACTCCTCCAATTTTCTTGTATCTATTGATGAGTTGGGCTAACACAAAGAGTTGATTAGAGCTTGTTACTTTGCTCAGCCTGACTGTTCCATCCAACCTACTGCTGTACACAAGGTGTCCTAGCTGGGCCAGGGGACTCTCTGGGGGATTGCCTACAGCTCCCACCAGCATTACCTGTTTGCCATGGCAAACTTTAAGATTGTCAGCAAGTAGGATCCAAACCTAGGCCTGCACATCTAGAGTGGCTGACAGGAGCCTCATCACTGAGTGAAGATGGGAAGCTGGAGAATCCAAGAATAATAAGAAAGAGTCTGGTTCATTAGCCCAGACTCAGATGGAAGAGGAGAAGGAGAACGGCAGCTCCAGGTGCAGCACAGTGGCTATTATGGAAACCGGCCACACTGTGGGAAGAAAGTGCCAGGTAAACACCCTGAAGAGCTCTTTCACTAGAGGCTGGGACACACCAGGGCCCGGCCAACATTGCTGGAGGGCCCCTCCCACATTGCTGGAGGGCCCCCTCCCACATTGTCTGAGCCCCTCCCACATTGCTGGAGGGCCCCTCCCACAGCAAACCCCACTCATGCACTGGGCACAGTGCTCTGGTGGCTCTGTGATGGCTGAGAGCGTCAGCAGGGACCCTCAGTCTGGCAATGGAGCTGCCACTCAGGAGATGCTGGGCTGCAAATACCCACGGACCTCCAGCATGGCTGACAACAGCCAGGACAGCAGCTCAGGGCAGCAGCAAATGAAGTGACCTGCAGGGACCACACCTGCTCACTCCACAGAGCCCAGCCTGCAGGGCCCACACCTGCTCGCTCTACAGAGCCCAGGGAAGGTGGCGTAGGGGGAGGGGTCTCCCCTGCCTCCTCTGAAGAGCATTCTTAGGTGAGGCAGAGGCAAAGCCTCTGGGAGCTGCTGGTAAGCGCAGGCAAGTGCAGGCTGGCAGGCTAACATGGCCTGCCATCATGGGTACCCCCAGGCTGCAAGGCCAAGGCCGATGCTCCAGTCCAGGGAGAAAGTACAGAGTCAGTGACTCATTGAGTTCACTCTGCCCTTCTTCCCTCAGGTCAGACACTCACTCTTCCCTACGCCCCACAGATGCACCGCAAGAGTAAGTGGAGGCCAAGCCAGCCCGACACTCAGTCCCCTCCGCTTCCGACCTGGTGGCCTGTGCTGCCTGGTTTTCCACAATGGAGTTCCGGGTGAGATTTCCTCTAAAGAAAAATTGTGCTTCGTGGCACATGAGTGTTTAACAAACACGAACTTCACATATAGATGCACAGAATGTTAAAGCACAATGGGATTTAAGAGGCCATCTAACCAAAGTCTCATTTTACCGATCAGAAAACTGGGGCCCAGAGAGAAAATGAAGCCCCCAGCCCCTCAGCCGTCAGCATCTGAGCTGGCACCAGAACCAGGACTCCCGACTTCCTGGAGCCACTGCTGTCCTCCGCCCCTCGTTCCCCACGCACTATTCCCTTCACACACTCATTTCCGGAAGGGTGATGCCCCAGCCCCTCGGGTTCCAGCCCCATGGGCTCAATCAGCCTCCCTCATTTCTTCCACAAATGCAAGCAAGCCACTCCCTACTTCCCTGCCAGAATAAAATGCCAAAAACCAGAGAACTAAGCCCCACTCCAGGCGGAAGAAGTGCAGCCCCAGCTTACTATCAGATAAGTCGTTTCCTAAAAAGAAATGCGGCTGCAGTAAGGCAGGAAAGCCGGGAGCCAGGGACCCTGAGGCCAGCCCACCTGGCCTCACTTTTCCCAGGACCACAGTCAGATACAACAGCAGGGCTGTGGCCCAGCCCCCCAACCCTTCCAACTCAGGAAATGCTGAGCCCCCGTGAGTGCCAGGGAGTGCCCCTGCCATGCCTCCTCTGAAGAGCATTCTGGGGTGAGGCAGGGACCTAGGACAGACAGGCGTGCTCAGTTAGCTCGAGCGGGATGGAGGCTCCACCGGATGGGATGGCCAGGCTCAGGCTAGGGTCGGGGGTGCCAATGATCCCTCCCAGCCGCCTCAGAAGTGGCCACCCTTTGGTGTTCTCTGCGGAGTTTTGGGGTATGGGTCCCCAGGAACTCTCAGGCTGAGGGCTCCATGGGAGGAACAGGCAACGTTTCCACTCCAACCCAGGGTCCTCATTCTATGGAACTGGGCGGGGGGAGGGGGTGGGTGGGTAAAGCAGAAGCTCATAGTTGCCAGCCGGCCCAGACCCGATTCCTGGCATCACCCCACTTCCAAAGAGCGTCGGGAATGGGGGGACAGGGATGGGGACGATGAACCCAAGAGAGAGAAACACTCTGTGTTCCTCCCTGGGCTTGCCTATTCCCGACTTCGAGTAATCATCCAAAACAAGGAAACCTGCCAGGAGATACATTAAGTCTGTAAGCGAAGAAGCCTCCAGGCAAAGAGCTGTCAGTCACAGGGAAAACCCAACACAATACATGGATTCTACTCCTGTTCCGAGGCAGGGGCGGTTCCCGCTCAACCTTCCCACCGCCTCCCCCGCCGCACAAACACAGGGACACAACTGTGAAGGCAAAAAAGGATTTGTTTTTCAAAGTCACCAGGAAAATCAACACCAAGGGAGGCAGAGGGAGTGTGGGGCCAGTGGCTCCTCCTTGGATAAAGGAAGCGGGGCGGGGGGAGGGGGTTCAGCCCTGGGCCTGGACTTCATTCCATGTCCATGCTCCTTGCTGCCAACTGCAGGTCCGTTCCCAAAGAGTCACAGCCACTAGAATGCTCCAGGCCATCTGGCCTTCCTCTCCAAGACACGCAACATGGAACGACTCCAGGATTCTGTCTTTACACACCCTGGCGTCATCCCTTTCTTCACTGAAGAGGGGGTCCACACACGAGGTCGGGGGCAGCTAGGAACTCATTTCAAGGGTAGGATTCATACGCTGCTGGTGACCTAAAGAGATGGGGGCCCTAGCTGGCTCCTCCACCTTCTTCAGAAAGATCATCTTACATCTCCACCAGAAGGAAGGTTCACCCACCAACACAGCCAACTTCTGGAGAGAAGCCAGTGGCCAGAAAGCACACAGTGAGTGCCCCAAGCGTGGCATCTGAAGGGCTGAAAAAGAGTCCTGTGGGTCATGCCTCTGGCTTCCTGCCCAGTGCAGGCCTCCAGGTATCGCAGCTAAGAGGCTGCCAGGTCTCTGAATAACGTCTACAGTGGGACCCTACCACGGAACAAGGCAGCCTGCCCCTCTGCTGAACAAGGTTTCATTTCCTCAAGCCCAGTTTCTCCGGTGCCACACAGGAGTCTTCCCTTTGCTGGACTGCACAGCCTTGGCCCTCACATCTGTTTTCTTCCTGACACCTGCAGTCCTAAAAGGTGGACATCCTGAAACACACAGGCTTGTCCACTTGAAGGGGTTATATAGGGAAGAGAATGGCCAGGCCCCAGGAAAGTGGGAAATGCCTGGGAATGACAGGCGTGCCAGCTTGTTTTCTCTCACCTCACAGCTCCTCTTACACAAAATCTCTGCCATCGGCCACCATGGCCGAAGCGATGCTGAGCGCTCATTCTAAATGCTGGCATCGGCTCGGAGGAACGTCATGGAGAGTGGGTAAGAGCACCAGGTCATGTGCCACTGCAGGCTGGTGGCCCCGATGCATCCATCCCACCTGCACCAGGGCCTGCTGTGGGCTCTGTTCCCTCTTTAGGGGTGAGCCTGGCTCTACATCTCAAGCCTGGATTTTTCAAGCATCCTTTCTGATTTGATGCTTTCGATCTCAGGGTCTTCAGCTAATATTTGCTCTCCCTGTGAGTCCACAGAGAAGGTGAGGGAATAGATTCGTGTGTATTATAATAACCTCTGAAGTTCTTTTTAAGCTTCTCTGAGAAATACATTACCATTACTATCCTGGCTTCAATTTGGTATATCTATAAAATGCATTCACCTGTTACAGTTTAAGGAAAGTGCAGCATGTGTCACAAATGCTTTGAGGGAAGGGACCACAAGGGATGCTGACAGCCTCCACATAAACAGGAAGCCCTTCCAGGGATGCCACATGGAGCTGTAAGAGAGCAACTGGGACTGGCCGCCACAGGGTGAATGACAAGTTAGAGGAGAACTGCACTTTGTATGCTGGACATGGCAGCTCATGCCTATAGGCAGGAGGATAACTTGAGGCCAGGAGTTCAAGACCAGCCTGGGCCACATAGCGAGACCCCGTTTCTATAAAAAAAAAAAATTTAAATTTGGCCAGGCACAGTGGCTCACACCTGTAATCTCAGCACTTTGGGAGGCCAAGGCAGGCAGATCACCTGAGGTCAGGAGTTCAAGATCAGCCTGGACAACATGGTGAAACCCTGTCTCTACTAAAAATAAAAAAATTAGCCAGTTGTTGTGGGACGTGCCTGTAATCCCAGCTACTCAGGAGGCTGAGGCAGAGAATCACTTGAACCCAGGAGGCAGAGGTTGCAGTGAGCCAAAATCGTGCCATTGCACTCCAGCCTGGATGACAGAGACTCCATCTCCAAAAAAATAAAATGAAATAAAAATAAAAATAAAAATTAGCTAGGTGTGATGCTATGCACCTGCAGTCCCTGTACTTGGGAGACTGAGGCAGAAGGATCGCTTGAGCCCAGGAGTTCGAGGCTGCACTGAGCCATGATAGTGCCACCGCAGTCCAGCCTGGGCAAAGAGACCCTGTCCAAAAAAAAAAAAAAAAAAAAAAAAAAAAAAAAAAAAAACTGCAATGCACTTTGTAGTTTCCAGGACTCTTCCATACACTCTCATGTCTACACACCAGCTCTGTGGGGGATGCATGATGGCCATCATTTGGCAAATGAGAAAACTGTGGTTCCAAGCATTGCCCTTGGCCAAAGCCATGCGACTAGTAAATTGTGGGGCAGGAATGAAAACTCAGTTCTGAGTTTTAGAAAGTAACTGCTTCCAAACTGCTTCCCCATAGCAGGCTCTCTCCTACCCTATGCAGCGGAAGGGGCTCCTATGCCATCCATCTCTGGGTTTCTGAGAACAGAAGGGAAGAAGCAGCAGCTCAGAGACACATTCAGGAGAGGGGCTGCAAATGCGGGGATCAGCCCAAGAAGATGGCGCTGGGGCCAGGATGTCCAGCAGTGCCCAGCCCTGGTCAGAGACCACTGATCCACAGTTTATGCAATGCACTGCCCTTTGCAGTGGTCCTACGCCCTCCAATGCACCCCCAACTCAACCCTTCAATGAATGCGTCCAACTCAGTTTTCATCTGCTCCACCCTCTCAGGCACATAGCGACTTCTCTTCCCCATGCACCCAAGGTGAAGGCCAGTGTTCCCAGGGGCCTTGCCTGGGGAGCAGGAGGTGCCAACCAAGATATCACACCTAGAGAGCAAGTCACAGAGTTTTTGCCACAGACCAAAACCACCTAACTGCAGAGCTGGAGGACACTCACAGATCACCTATGGTGACCCCTTCAACTCGCTTAAGGAAACAAGCTCAGAGATTTGAACTGACTGGCCAAAGTCACAAACAGTTCAGTAGCAGCGCAGAAATTAGATGCCAGGACTCCAGAATCTGTGTTATTTTTTTCTTACTCCATATTTTATCTTCTAACGCAGAAGTCTTTGTTTTTGTTTCTTAACAGGTGGGTAAACTGAGCCACCGAGTGCTTCAGTGACTTGCAGGCGCTGACACAGTAGGTGGTAGAACCAGGCGCTGGGCTCACGCCTGTACAGCTCCTAAGGCTACACGTGTTCTTTCCAATGCACTCTTTAAATCCTAGAGATTACAGCACCGCCTTTATGTCAATCCCTGCTAACCGCTGGAATCCTCTAAGGAAGTGACTCCTGCCCAGAGAACCAGCAGTTCTAAATGGACTTGCTGCAAACACTGAAACCTAAACAAAAGAGGTCTATTTGGCACTCAAAGTAATAAACAAAATACCAAGACCATAGGAGTGTTCCCCAAACTTACAAAGATGGCACTCAGTTTGTATAATGGCATCAATGCAGAGAAATCCCTCCTGGGCTTCTCAGAAGCTCTTCTGGAGGATAGTGGATTAGCAGCATGCTCTAGACAGTGTCTCTCTCAAGTGCTGGGGGAGGAAGTGACCCTCGGGCCTCACCAGTGGAGACCAAGTCCCTGGGAAGCCCAGGCCAGCTGGAAAAGGCAGCTGCCCAGCACAGCCAGGCTCACCAGGCAGATGTGCTATGCACACACAGACAGACGCACAGGAGGGCACACGTACACAGCTCATCACACCACACACTACCCACATCTGTCTACACCCACACCTCACAGACTGACCCATACACAGGCAAACACAGACACAAACACACATGTGTGCACAGCAGGTGGTCCCTTGTGTCCCCCAACTACACATAGGCATCGACAGACACCCATATCTCGCAGATATAACCCCACGTGCACAGAGGCATAAACACACAAACCACACATGCACCTCCCCTTGTCCCTTATTGTCACTGCAGCCTCTCCTGCCTCCCTCTTTCAGGGAAGCTCCAGACACCTGGGCTAACCCAGCCCTGAAGGCCCTCATAAATGCCATTCCCAGTGCAATGCTTTGGGGCTGGCTCCGGAGGCACTGCTCCTGCTGCCCCTGGTCAATAACAAAGTCTGGAGAGAAAAGTCAGGACCATTTATGATGGGTCCTAATGACAACTGCTCTTGGTAATGGCCAGCTCTGCGGTGACCTAAGTATGAGCTGATTACAGGCTCTGGCTCCCGCTCTGCACACGCAGAACACAGGTGTCCCGGGGGCACTGACCGCAGCAGATGGCCCCTTCCCTGACGGCCAGGACAGCTGTGCTGACCTCATCAGCCACCTCCCGAGGGCTCCTTCAAGTGGGTGGCCCTGAGCAGGCCCAGACCCAACAGGCACCACCCTGAGCCCTCTCATACGGGACGCGGCTCCAGGGCTCCTCTCTCCCTCCCACCCTCACTCAGAGACTCCCTGTCCAAAATGTCTCACCACTGATGTCTGCAGTTCTGCCATTAGGACTTCATTATTTGATTAATGAGGTCTTTGTCTTCTTCTCCTCCTCTTCCTCGTCTTTTTTTTTTTTTTTTTTTTTTTTTTTTTTTTTTTTTTGAGATGGAGTCTTGTTCTGTCACCCAGGCTAGAATGCAGTGGCGCGATCTCGGCTCACTGCAAGCTCCACCTCCCAGGTTCACACCTTTCTCCTGCCTCAGCCTCCTGAGTAGCTGGGACTACAGGCGCCCGCCACCAGGCCCCGCTATTTTTTTTTGTATTTTTAGTGGAGACGGGGTTTCCCCATGTTAGCCAGGACGGTCTCGATCTCCGGACCTCATGATCTGCCCACCTCAGCCTCCCAAAGTGCTGGGATTACAGGCATGAGTCACCACGCCCGGCCTTTTTTGAGGACTTTTTTAAAGATATAAGACAGTCATGTTTTAAAATAAGTTCCCAGTGTCTCTGTGTTACCAACAAGGCCAAATCTCCATTCTGTAAGAAAGCAGTCAGGTTGCCGCACAAGCTGGCTTTTGCCTGTTTTGTCATCATTTCTAGATACTCACCACCACACCCTGATAAGCTAGCTAACCACAAAGAGATTCGCCACTCCCCAGTGCAGCGTCGCAGCTCCTGGTCTGATCTCCACTGGGATTATCTTCCTAGGCCCACCTTTGCTGCCTGACAAATGCCTACCAGCTCCATGGAGGACAGCACAGGGTCTCTCATCTCTGCAGCTCCCCTTGACCATTTCCTTGGAGACCAGCTCCCTTCTGTATGCTCCCGTGGCTCCCAGCTCTTCTCTATCACGGGCATCTCTGCATCCCCTGACCTCCTCTAGATGGTAAGGCCTGGTAGAGCAGAACCACTTCCCAATCACACCCCATGACCATTTTCTGGACACTCACCAGCGCGGAGCCCAGCACACACACCACGCAGTCAGCCTTGACTGGGTCTCTGACACTAACATGAAATTAGGTTAATCCAGGTGTTTCCTTCCCGAGGCAGGAAACACCATGAGGAGCAGCACAAAGGCACTGTGATCCAGGGCTGGAGCACGGACAGAGGCACCTTGGAGAAGCCTGTGACAAACCCAAAGCTTCTGCCTCAAACAGGCCCCAGGAGTGGGGACAGCGAGGTACCCTAGTGTGGCCAGGGGCACCCCAATACAGACACCCTCACCCTCTCCTCCAAAACTCACCAGCTCCTACGTGGCCAGCCCGAGGCTCACTGCAGGGCTTCCCACTCATAACGCAACTTCAAAAGCAACACACCCCAGGCAGAATTACACCACTAAAAACTTCCACTCCTGGACTCAGGTGTGCAGGTAAGAGCTATCTATAGCCAACAGAGTTTTCACCTTCCTTACCCAGGGCTTAACTCGGGTTCAGAGCACTTGGAGGGAGGAGACAGCTGCAGAATTCTTTGCAGCGAAGATCCCATAGCAGCCCTTTTTGGCTTTGTGTCCCCACCCAAATCTCTCTTTGAACTGTAATCCCCAGGTGTTGAGGGAGAGACCTGGTGGGAGGTGACTGGACCATAGAGGCAGTTTCCCCCATGCTGTTCTCACGAGAGTGAGTTCTCACAAGAGCTGATGGTTTTATAAGGGGATCTTCCCCCTTCACTTCCTTCACACACTCTCACCTGCCACCATATAAGATGTGCCTGCTTCCCTTTATGCCATGACTGTAAGTTTCCTGAGATCTCCCCAGCCATGTGGACCTGTGAGTCAATTAAACCTCTTTTCTTTATAAAGTATTCAGTCTTGTGTAGTGTCTTTATAGCAGTGTGAGAACAAACTAATACAATTATGGAGACTTCCCTCTTCCCAGGCCCTGGGAAGAAATGATATCAACACTTCTGTCTACACAGCTAAAATCTCTTTGGATGTTGATTCTAGTCAACAGATGTGGTACAGACTAAGCAGGGCTCAGTAGAAGCCCAACGATTGTTGAATCATCTCTGCAAGAGTGCACGTCTTCTGCAGGTGGTTAGATTTTCAAAAGAAAACACATGCACAAACACACATCATGAGCCTGTTTTTAAATGAATGTGTGTTAAGAGTAAAGACCCTGTAACCAGAGAGGCTGGGTGCCGGCTGGCATTTGGCACTGTGCAGACATCTCAGCTCTTAGTGCCTCTACATCTCAGAACAAAGGTCGAGACTCCTTCTAGCCAGCCCTGCATCCTGTGAGTGGAAGCAGCGGCTGCGGGTTACGTGGAGGTGAGAGGCTGCTCTCAAGACTCAAGTCTTGCCTGTGCACTTCTCAGCACCTTCCTTGCCCAGGGCTGACAACAAGTACTTACCTGACTGAACTCCTTCCCCTCACAGCTATGCACTCCCTGGGTGTCATATCTGACTCAGGCCCATGGCCACAACCACATGAGGGACCCCTGAAACACATGGGCCATTCATTCCAACTGCTGCACCACAAGAACAGGTACAGCCTTGCTGGGACCTCGTCACCCTTTGAGCTGGGTACACAGACAGCTGCGAATTGGAAGGAGCAGCTCCCCCTCCCATGCCTTGATGCAGCCTTTGAGTCCCCACGCTGTGGGCCAGGGCTAAGCAGAACATAGAATGCGAAGCGAGTTGTTATAACTGACAAATGACAAACCAACATTCTCCTCTGTATTTATTTACCAGCTTAGGTTTCGTCAATTGAAGAATTACTACTTGTTTTGAGTCTTTACTCCCTTTCCCTGTCCTCATCTCCTGACACCAGGAATGCCCTCCTCTACTTTCTCCATTAATCTTCAGCCTGACAGTTAGATCCTCATCTTCTCTAGGAAAGTTCCCTGAATTTCTCCAGGCCCCACCGAAGACCCCTCCCTCCTTCAGTCCTGAGTGCTAGAACTACGCACAAAGGCATCTGAAGTTACCAAAGAGCAGAGACAAAAAAGCATGGCAAAGGCCTGTCTCGCCCACCAGATTCTTGGGGGTTTTGTGGGGGGTTTTGTTTTTGTTTTTGTTTCTGTTTTGAGACAAGGTCTTGCCCTGTCTCAGACCCAGGCTGGAGTGCAGTGGCCTGAACACAGCTCACTGCAGCCTCGACCTCGCGGGCTCAGACGCACATCCCACCAAGTAGCTGGGACCACAATGTGCCACCATATCTGGCTACTTTTTTTTTTTTTTTTTAGAGACAGGGTCTGGAACTCCTGGGCTCAAGCAATCTTCCTGCCTCAGCCTCCCGAAGCACTGGGATTACAGGCATGAGCCACCATACTTGGCCACCAGATTCTTAAATGTGTCGAGGGCAGGAACAGGGTCCTCCATATGGGGCTGAGACCAAAGGAAAAGTGGAAGGCGCCCAGACTGTCTATGAGCCTGAGAGGTGAGCACAGCGGGCTGGCACAGCCGCCCTATGGAGTACCACAGGAGGGAATGCGCTCTCTAGGCACCAGCTGCTCTCAGGGTTTAAAGTGCTTATCCAGGCTCGTTTCTAGCTCTGGTGCCACCGACATATAGTTGGGGATTTCCTTCAGCCATAAGCCATTCCCCAAAGCTGAATGCATCCATTGCGGAAGACACCGACGTGGAAAATTTTCAAAGAGCTCACAAAGAGAAGAGAACACATCTGAGGTAGTCCCAAAAGGAAATGTCCTTTGGAGAAAGCTGATGGAAGGGCTAGAGAAAACAAGAGAGAGAAAATCCCCCTCGTAATCCTGCCTGAATGAGAAAGAACATCATTTAGGGAAGCTGGTTTCTCGTTTTCTCCCCACTGCCAAAGTACTATTTTGGCATCTCTTTACAACTCACAGACATCCTTTCAGAATTTGTAAATGATGTCCCTTAATTCCTGCCCTACAGAAAATACCTCTGTTATGCCTCCAAATATCTGCCAAGCCAGTAAGCATCTATTACCTGCACATCAATCCCTAAGTGCTGTCAAATAGCCTCAGCCCTCATGCTTACAGCCCCCCAAACCTAACAGACCAACACCTTTTACATTCAAGACTCAAATATGTATATGGAAGCTCTGCACATGCACCGAGATCCCAACCCCAAAAGCCCACACAGACACAAATGTCACCTTCTCTCAGGAGTCCCCAGTTCCTGCTCCTGCCGCTTTGAGGAGTTGGGATGAGAAGGACCCAGCGTGCAGCATGAGTTATGGGAGCTACCCACAATCATCTTTAAACTCAGCCCTGCAGGAAGAACCCCAAGGCTAGTGTGATATGGAAACTCCAGCATCTGGAGCTGGCTGGGACTGTAAGAACAAGCAGTTTATAATCCAGCAGTCTCCCTGAAAAAACCACTATCAACAATCACTACAGGCCAGTGCAGTGGCTCACGCCTGGAATCTCAGCACTTTGGGAGGCCAAGGAGGGCAGATCACGAGGTCAGGAGTTCAAGACCAGCCTGGCCAACATGGTGAAACCCCATCTCTACTAAAAATACAAAAATTAGCCAGGCATGGTGGTGCGTGCCTGTAATCCCAGCTACTCAGGAGGCTGAGGCAGGAGAATTGCTTGAACCCAGGAGGCAGAGGTTGCAGTGAGCCAAGATCACGCAACTGCATTCCAGTCTGCGCAACAGAGGGAGACTCCGTCTCAAAAAAAAAGAAAAAAAAATTAGCCGAGCATGGTGGTGGGCGCCTGTAATCCCAGGTACTCGGGAGGCCGAGGCAGAAAAATTCCTTGAACCCAGTAGGCAGAGGTTGCAATGAGCTAAGATCACACCACTGCACACCAGCCTCAGCGACAAGAGCAAGAGGCTGTCTCAAAAAAAAAAAAAAATTCACTACAGTACCTTCCCTGGAAAGACCTGGAAGGCTGTATTTCATCTCGTCCCCATCATCACCATTCATGTGTCCATCCACCCTCTCACTTAAATATGCGCTGCAGCACTCACAGAACTCAACTTACCTAATTCCCAAATGGGTCTCTCACAGCCACCCACTAGCAAAGCCAGAGACACTGGGGGAGTATCTGCAGCATTTTTTTTTTTTTGCCACTGTCATTAACACTCAGCAGAATCCAGAAGATGACTTCACCCCCTGCCACCATGCCCTGGCCCCAGCTCCCAGATCAGTCAATACGTCCAGCCCCCTGCCAATGTGGATCAACAAATGTCTATTTTCAAAGAAACCTAAGCTGGCTGCTTCTGGTTCACTTTCCTCATAACTCATCACCAACTATTTGTGGGATGCGGAGGGCAACCATCCTGAGCCTGCCCCCTTTGAATTAGGAAGTCCCCAGGTGCCAGCAGTAAGAGGCACTCAAACCCAGGGAGGCTCACGCTACAGGGGTGGCTCTTGCACACACTGACTATGGGGCAAGTCCCTCTTCTTGGTCACCCAGCCAGACAGACTGCAGTCCAGGTCCTCTGGGCACAGTGGGAGTGACAGCACTAGTGGCAGGCCAGACCCCATACACAGCAAAGCTGTAGTTCAAATATGTATTATATGTGTCTGGCTTTCACACGGAGTTTGCAACCTGCCAGTTAGTAGTGTTTACCTTGGTAAAAATTCACGGGAAATCTTAGTCTGAACAGGCCCAGAGTTTATTTTACTGCCAGATAAACAACTTTCTTTGATAAATCATCCGTGTGACAGTGTTCCTGAAAGACTAAACAAAGATTTCAAGCACAATCTATAGGCCTTTGAGAAGCCTTCCAAAGCGAAGGCATGTTTAATTGGCTGCCCTAAGGTCGGGGCAGGGCAATGATCTGACATTTCTTTGGCCATTTGTTCTTCTGGAAAAAAAAAAAAAAACAGATTGGGGCTTCCAGCACATTTCTGCAAAACTGGATGAAACTTACCAATATTTAAAAGCTCATTCGCATTATAATGCATAGCCTATTTTTTGGTTAAAGGAAGTGAATATCACAAGGCAGGTGTTGGGGTTGGGGTAGGGGAAGGGAAAAGTGCCCCAGAGATATCGCTGGAGAAAAATGGAGAACAAAGTGAAGTAAAACAGCACAAAGGGGCTCTGAAGTCCCTCAAACATAGGCCCTGCTAAATTAAAAGGAGAACGCGTTAGGTAGAGTGTTTCTAAAAAACACACAAATGAAAACTTCAGTGGTCCTATCCTGGAACACCAGGCAGTCACAGCTCCCGCATTCAGCCCTCATCACTGTCTGGAGGCTTCCAGGTTTACGTTGACATAAGGATGTCATCTCACTAAAACCCAGATCTCCTAACTTCTAGTTAGGGTTTGGCTTTCCGAGGGGGAGTTGTTTGTTATTGTTATTGTGAATTACAGCACCTTGAAGCTGCATAAAGCAGTTCTCTTTGTGGGTTTTGTTTTGTTTTTGAGACAGAGTTTCGCTCTATCACCCAGGCTGGAGTGCAGCAGCGCAATCTCAGCTCACTGCAACCTTGGCCTCTAGGTTCAAGTGATTCTCCTGCCTCGGCCTCTGAAGTAGCTGGGATTACAAGCGCCTGCCACCATGCCCAGCTAATTTTTGTATTTTTAGTAGAGATGGGGTTTCGCCATTTTGGCCAGGCTGGTCTTGAACTTCTGACCTCAGGTGATCCACCCACCTCAGCCTCCCAAAGTGCTGGGATTACAGGTGTGAGTCACCGTGCCCAGCAGCCTAAAGCTTTTAAAGGTCTTCCAAATGGGTTTTTTAAAAGACTTCTTCAGTTTAATCCTCCATTAACCAGAGAATTAACTAGCATATTCCATTCTTCTTCCTAAAAAACTTTCCGCCCAACAAGCTGATTTCATTAGTGCTGGAATTTTCCTTCCTAGGCTAAATTTCATCCTAAAACATTTTTTTCCAATAAGAAGACATAATAATTATTACAGATTGAACAGCCACCATATTCCAGGAACTGTCCACACTTGATTAAATCCAATTCTCCCAACACAGTCACGTAGGAATTCTCATCCATAGTTTGCTGATGAGGAGCCAGGCTCAGGGAAGTTAAGAGACTTTCTGGTGGTCGCTTAGCTTATAGGGTAGGGATTTAATCCAAGTCTGTCTCGCCCAGAGCCTGTGTTCTTTCCATTCTGCTACACTGCCGGCTTTCCCACCAAGAAGGGAGCCAATGATTGCTGAGCTCCTTCCGTGTGCTGGGCACAGACATCAGTCCATTTAAATTCTACAAACCCTAAGAGTAAAGGAGCACCCGATGCCCCTTCCCAGGAAGCTCCTCAACTACCTTCCTGCTTGATGGGTGTGAGAGGATGGGAAGGAGCAAGGGTGTGCAATCTGGCCTGGATGCCAGGGAAGTGCTGGTGGGCAGTAACAGGGATCCAGGTAGAGTGCTCTTGGGTCACTGAATGCCTAACTCCTTTATTTTTTTGTCTTATTTCCTTCAGTCAGTAACGTGAGGGCACGGACTGGCTGATCTTTGAGGTCCTATCCAACTCAACACAGCTTTACAATGGCAAAGTGGTACAGGGGCTTGCTTCAGTAGCACACATGGTAAAACTGGAACAATACAGAGAAGATTCACATGGCCACCATGCAAGGATAACACGTGAGTTCGTGAAGTGTTCCGTATTTTTAAAGAATAAGATACAGTCTTCAGTAGCACAGCTAGGCAATTATAGTTAACAATAATTTATTGTATATTTCAAATTAACTAGAAGACTAGATTTGGAACATTTCCAACACAAAGATCAGTGTTTCAGGTGGTAGATATCCCAATTACACAATTTTTTTTTTTGAGACAGTCTTGCTCTGTTGCCCAGGCTGGAGTACAGTGGTGTGATCATGGCTCACTATAGCCTCAAATTCCTGGGTTCAAGCAATCCTCCCACCACAGCCTCCCAAGTAGCTGGGACTACAGGTGCATGACACCATGCCCAGTTAATATTTAATTTTTAATGGGGATGGGGTTTCACTATGTTGCCTGGGGTCTTGAGGCTGGTCTCAAACTCCTGACCTCAAGCAATCCTCCTGCCTCACCCTCCCAAAGCATTGAGATTACAGATGTGAGACAGCATGCCCAGCCCCAATTACCCAGTTTGATCATTACACATTGGATGCTTTTATCAAAATATCAAACATACCCCATAAATATGTGCAACTATTTTGTATCCATTAAAAAAATTTTAAGTGGTACAGGTGAGCAACGCAGCACCCAAAGAAATGGGCAGTTCACATGAGCTGTGAACAGCCCCCTCATCCCACTCATCCCTTTTCCCTCTTTCTCTACCCACCTCCAGAAAAACCTCAGAAAATAAAGGTGAACTTGAGGGCAAATCCTTCTCTCCACTCCCCTTCTTATGAGAGTCTATAGTCATATCCAAAGATGAGGACATGATGCATAACACATAAGCCAGATGCAAAAGGACAAACACTGGCTCGGCCTCCATCTCTTCACCGCCTACCCCCCCAACCCCCCACCTCCCATGCACAAGAAGGCTGCTCAGAAAGAGACACAGGCTCTCAGCTGGGACTCACACCTCTAGTGCACTAAGCAATGGGCCAATCTCAGGTTTTTACGCACATAAAATATCCTAACAATTAGCTCCATTTTGTACAGATCTGTGGATAGAATATGTATCTTCAGCAACAATAAAACCCAGTTGTTTTCCACCTATCAATTCCATCCCCAGAGTAACAATTCCTTCCATGTCTAATTTTACTTTGACTGAATGAGATTCTGGATGTTGGGGCTTCTTTTAAACATGTATACATGTATATGCTCAGTCACCCAAAACAGGGCATGTAGTTTTCCTTGAACTTAATACACAAGTTGCCGACATCCACCTTGAAAAGAGCCTTCTCCTTTATAAAAAAAAAAAAAAAAAAAAAAAAAAAGAAGTCCATCATGCCTGCAATCCCAGCATTTTGGGAGGCCAAGGTAGGGGGATCGCTTGAGCCCGGGGGGCGGAGATTGCAGTGAACTGAGATCATGCCCCTGTGCTCCAGCCCAGGTAGAGCGAGACTTAGTCTCAAAAAAAAAAAAAAAAAAAAAATTCCAACATCCACGTCCCACATCCCCTGTCATTCATACAGTCAGCTGACAAACTTTCATTTTATGCCTACCATGTATAAGACACTGTGCCAGGGACTATTTGAGTGCAAATAGGCCTTACTTTGTTCATTCCAAGACACAGATTTTCTGCACATTTCTGCAAGAAGTATGGTTTTTTTATTGTTTTTTGTTTTGTCAGTAGTACAAACTGAACAGTGTGTCTCACAATTAACAGGCATCTCCCACCAGGTAAAACACGGCATTAGATACAGAGCCTGCTCTCAGGCAGCCTGCAGGTGCCGCAGTGACTGTGCTAGCAGCCATCTTGCTTCATCTTTGGGAGGAAACCCAAGGTTTAGTTTGGAAAGGCTGAGCCTACTTTCTGCAAGAACTCAAACTGCCCGTCAGAGTAAAACACTGTCCCCCAAACAGCAGCACAGCCAAGACATCCTGAAAGAAGTTGGAGGCAGAGTGAGAACAGATTAGTGGAGGTACGGAGGTGCGGGAAACTGAAAATATTTCTACTAGGAAATACTCCCTAATGCTAACTGTGAAAGCTGATGTTCTTTTCCTTCCTATTTGACTAACCTTAGTGTTGCATAGTACAGCTTTTCTCTTTATGAGGAAATATATAAATGGAAAAAAGAATCCTTCCAGAAGGCAAGGAAAGTTTCTAGGGGCAAAGAAATCCTTTTCCATAGGGAGAAAATACTGGGCTGAAGAAATTGCCACCTGAACTCTCAAGCTCAAAACACTGAAGAAGGTAGTACAAGTGGAAGCTCTGAACTCTCCTAGCAGAAGTGTATCACCATGCAAATTTCCCCCAGGAAAGCTTACGGGTGTTTACAGATACTGCAGAAGAAGCTAGAGAAAGTGGCCAGAGGCAGGAATTAACCTCACCACAATTATAAATAAATCAGATCCTCATATCCCTGGGATAAACCAACCCAAAGGGAAGACGGCTGTGGGTACTGAGCTGTTAACAGCAGGATGATTAGTGTGGCGGCTCGCAAATACTATATTGGGCTATTTAAGAGGCGAGAGTGGCACCCTGTTGTCACAGAGCAGGAAAAGCAGAGAGAGAACAAAAAGCAGAGCCCTGCAAGCTGATGGAAGCCAGCAGGCAGGCTGGTCGCCATGTTCGATGCGGTGACTTTGCCCCATCTAAGTCTTGGCTCCCACATCTGGTGCTTGATCCAGGCTGATCAGCTGCATTCCTGAGCATCAGCACACAAGCTTTTCTGCTCATGTTTTTTTCCTGTTGGGGAAAAAATGTGCCCTGAACTGAGCAGGTACAGTGCAGGGCTGGAGACATGAGTGACTAAGCAGATCTGCCAAGGGGTTAAAGCACACTGCATGCCGAGAAGGTCAGGGGTCAGACATGCCCAGCTCCACAGAGGCTCCCGGAGACCACAGATGCAGTGGCAGGGGGACGAGGGTGCTGCTTACCCAGGGAAATGCACCCCTTGTTCCCGGAGCTCACAGAGAGCCTTCCAGCAACCTGATGTCTTCCCACTGGGGATGTCAGGGCCACTTAATGCAAAGTTTGATCCCTGGAGGAGGGAGTCAAGCATTCTCTTTCTTCTCTGCTGTGTGTCAGCTTGCATTGTTCAATTTCTTTGTTTCCTAACTGAATCCCATCAGTGTGGCTGACTGCCTCACTTACTTGAAGTGAGCTGAGCTAGGAAACACGTTTCTCGACAAGGCTGCATTCTCTAAGGTGCTAAGAAGGGCAGAGCTAAGCTCAGCCCCTACAGAGAGAGAGAAAAAAAAATCCCTATATATTGTTTTATGAGAACATTACAGACAAAAAAACAAAAAGGTTTCTCCTGCAACCAGCTCAAAGAAGCCTGCCATACACCATACGCACACTAAGGAGGTCAGCGCCTCCGTGGCAGAGCCCAGCGGCTGTGCATCAACTCTTAAGTGAGGAGGGCAGGTGGCAGAGTGTAAAAGGACTCCAGTTGAGAAAGTCAAATTCCTTCTTTATCAAATAAGAGGACTGGATAAGATGACCTCTGAGGTCCAGGAGGAACCCAAAAGTTCTGTGAACCCAAGAGGAAAATATTGTCAGGGCTAAAGGAACCCAATCCCAAACAGCTAATCACTCAGATTCCACAAACCGTGACTGGTTATCGACATGAGATCCTCTGTCCTCTTCTGTGTACAGAACGCTGGCTGATTTGGCAGGTGCCTGCTGCCGTGGGAAGAAGATGTCCATCCCAGATGAGTTACCTGAGTGCCCTCTAGACCCCTGCCCTACACCTTAAGGTCAACCTTGCCAGATTCAAATTCTTTCCCAGGCTTGCCTCTTCAGCCTATGTGGCAAAGGGTCTGAATCCTCCAACTTCTGTCTTTTTTAAAAAACAATACTCATGTATTACATTTATTTAGAGGAAGAGTTCCACCCTCAATCTGTATCTATAGAACTCAGAAAGCACTAGGTATACAGGGAATCCTCACTGATGAATTTGAGTTAATGCAGAAACAGACAAGTAACTCACACTGCTGCATCACAGAGAACACATCAATCTTCCCCATGCATGGAAACAGGATACGCGCTCTCCAGTTTAGCTCTGGTGGCCATCTACATCCAGCTTCCATCTTCATCCACAATTGCAATACCCTGAGAATGACCCTGTCGTGAGGCATGATTCCCTCCGACTTGCATGTGTCCTCCCACATGTGTGCAGCTTACTTTGACAGGGCAGGAACAAGACCCTTCCGTGTACTTTACCATGTTCGATTAATGAAAACATGGACTGGGATGCCTCCGAATGGACTCACATCACCTATCTTTACGCTTTTCCAGATAAGAATTCTGTAAGAAATCCGATCTCAGGGACACAAGGCAGGAATTATGAGAAACACGTTGTTCAGCATCACACTGAGTCTTCTGAAAGTGTGGCTTGGCCGGAGCCACTTCTCTGCATCCATGTCAGATAGAGGCGAGAGAGAGGGAGCTGGCCCTCCAAAGGGGTGCCGTTTACATTTACTTTTCTCAGAGGAGAGACTCTCAGGGTGTGGTGAATTCAGGTATTCTGCAGGTCAGACTATAACAGACCATCCCTGGAAGGCCCCAAGGCCCCTGGCATCTCCCCCACCTCCCCCTGGCCCCCACCAGCTCCTCCTTCTCCTGGAGCTGCGAGTGCTGGTTCAGAATTCTCTTTCGATGGAGAGTGACTTGGGAAGAAGAGAGAAAAACCACCCTGCTGTGGGGATGTCCATTTTTCTTTGCCTCGCGGAACCTGATGAGGACCCCCACTCTGAATCCCCTAAGCATTGAACTCTCCCCTCCCTGGGAAGGCACCCAGAGGGCAGCCATTTAAATCCTGGACAGAGTCATGCTGACACCTAGGGGTAGATGTTAAAAAAAAAAAAAAAAAAAAAGAGCCAGTCCGGAAAAAACCGGGCCCAACCAGACACAGTAGCAGGTGGCAACTTGTACTCCCTGCAGCTTCTGAGAAGGAGCTGCTGTCCTTCCCTGCTCCTCTCGACCTGTCCCCAAATCAGCCTCCCTGCATGCCTAGAGAAGATGCCCAAAAATCTGTCCAGCGATCCCCCACAAAGGAGGGCAAAGTATGGCCTTCATCAAAACTGGCCGGTTCTGGACCCTGTCTAGTCTCCCATCTGCCTGAGAAAAGCAGCCATTTGGAGAGGAATGAGGTAGAGAATATGGAAAGCTGCAACGAGATACATCAGCAGGGCCTCCGTCTGGCAGAGGCACAGACCAGGAGGTTCCAAACCTTCCAGAGGCAGCTAGAAACGCTTTCTTACCAAACTCGCTGGCACAGAGATGTTCAATGATGGCCTCAGATTTCAACTCGTTGTCACAGGGAGGACACACCGTTGTGCCTGGGAAAGGAAGTAGGGAGAAACGGAACTGTAAGTTACAGAGCAGGAAGGGAGCAGCCCCTGGGGAAAAGATCGGCCCTGGGTCCAGGCTGAAAGTGGCTAAAGGTCTTCTGGAACTTCTGAAGGGGACCTGAGAATTGAAAACAAGAAGCCTTGAGCCCAGGGTCTACAACCAGAGCAGGCGCAGGTTTCTTGAAACATTTTGGCCCAGAGCTGCTAAATGTGACACAGTTATTTAAGCCAGCATAACCTGAGGCTGGGTGGGTGCAGGTCACATGAATGATGACTTGTGGGGCGCTGTGAGTGCCGGGAAAAGCTGGCTTACAAACCCACAGAGATCTCTTCCTGGTGTTTGTTTCCCATCCTCTCCCTTCTCCTTTCAATACCATCCTCCGATTCCTGCCCCCTTCCCATTTCCACACTCCCAGCTAGCCTGCTGATCCCTCTGACCAGGTCTCCAGGAGCCAAGAGAGAAAGAAACTCAGCCAGACTCACAAACTCCAGCTCTCGGCCCCTGAACACCTCCTCTCCAAAAGGGCCACCGCAGCAGGAGGCCAGGGCAGGCGGGCGGGGTGGGGCACTAACAGGCGCTGCCAAATGGGAGGACAGGGCTGGATAGGAAGGGGTCCTTCAGAGGCTCTTTCCTGGGCAACTGTGAAGTGCTTTGAAGAGGAGGTTTGTGGGGGCAGACGTGCATAACGTTGGAAGGCAGCTCCACTGCCTGGGAGGAGATGTCTGAGGCCAGGGCAGAAGCCTCCTCCAAGCCAATATACTGCTGAAGTCAGAAAATCCAGTGGAGGTAAAGGACTCCAGCTTCCCAGGACAGAGGGAGAGCAGGACGGCGCTTTCCTCCAAGAGCTGAAGTGGCTTATCATCATTGTCATCACCTTCACCTATCAAGCAGCCTGGAGCTTATCGACTGTCTAGGAAAACATCACGAGCACATTCTAGGGGCACCCCACCCCCGGGCACAGCACAGGAGGCCAAGCCAGGCTGGAGCTGAAGAGCACAGGAAAGTCACCGCTGACCCTGCACTCGGGGAGTGCAGGTGGGGCTTGGTGTGCTTGGAGCCCACTGCTCTTCATCCTCCTCCACCATGGCTTCCGTGGCAGCATCTCCCTCCCCATCAGCCCCCCTTATGGCTCAGACATTGAAATAGGCAAAGGCTCCCTAAGTGGAAGAGAAGAGGGGACCTGCAGAGCACCCCCAGATCAAGGCTGCCCTCAGGACACAAGTGGCCCATAGACCACTCCCTACTTCCAAACAGGGTCCCTGCAGGGCCCAGCAGAGACCCCATCCTTAGTTTTTATTGACACATTCCTCTCCCACCTTTACTCTGCACCCAGGAGCAAACACCTTCCAGATTCTCAGTGCAGTTAAGAACCACGCTCCCAGCAGACGATGGCATGACTGTCCTTAGCCCAGATGCTGGAAATTTGCTTTGCACCCAGAACTTGAGACTGGGTTCTAGAGGTGGTAATTCTCACAAAGGAGACAACTTACCACAAATTTTGCATTATGGTTTTTGCTTCCACATGGGGAAAAGGAAGTGTGACAATATGGAAAGGACCAGGTTACTTGCACAAGGAGAGTGAACTGTGCTTTTGGGTTTTCCTTGTTTAGGTTATTTTGAAAAAGGAAAAGTGGGAGTTACACAAACACACATAGCAACGTTCTGTGAATACAATCTTGACCAAATAGTGAAGTCAGGGTGATCCAAACATAAAGGGCACATCTCTGCCCGCTCCACACACTCACTGCATCTCCTCTGGACACTTGAAGTTCGCCTGAACCAATCGGCCAAGGAGGGCTCTGCACTTCTCAGGGACATTTTCCTCAGTCCCGTCAATTACATTTGGACTTCAGTGCCTCTCAGAATGGCAGGAGCTCGTTGGGGTGGGCTCTGTGTGTTTTTACCACGGCTTTCCCCTATCTCAGCTTTTCTAACGGCTGACTCTGGAGCAGCCTGATCCAGAGAGAGAAAGAGAAATGTGTGATGCGGTATTAACCTGCGCCTCATTGGTGCGTCTTGGGGCTCTACAGGCTGCCTCTGCAGGAGAAATCCACCCAGTCATCCTTCTGAGAGGTGGAACTAAATCGCTGTTTTCAGTTGTATTTAAAATAATGTTTAAAGCAAATGAACAAAAAAAGCAAAGGTTTTGTGTTTATTAATATTTAAGGGTGTGTGGAGGAGACAGCCCAACAGCTGAATCAGGATTAAGTGATTTTTGTGATACATCAATCCACACACACACAAGTGCTTTCTCAGTCTCTCTCTCTTTCTTCTCTCTTTCCCTTTCTCACACACAACCCCCACAATCTTCCCTGGCCAGTTCCTGGGGGGACCAAAAGGGAGCCCTAAGGAAGGCTTTCTGGGGAACAGAGGGCTCTGTGGCCTCTGCCACACTGACTAAATGCACAACATGCCCAAGCAACAACAAAATCAAACCCAATGTGCTGGCTCATACAACTTCACCCAGTAAAACCAGGCAGAGAGGGAAACAACAATGCATCAGCCTGGGAGTTCACAGTTCTAATGGAAGTGCCAAATTCAAAAATGACTTCCCTAGAAAAAGAGCAATTGCCTCTTCCCTAACAGGAGCTTCTATGGCTTGGGTATCAGCCTTTGCAGGGGAAAAATGTCAAGTCATTTCTCATTATCAGGTTTCTCCTTAATAACACATGACCACAGACAGCTGGCCAATAATCCAAAACTGAATTTGCCCAAGTGTGTGAACAGAAACCAGTATGCAAAGATATGACACTGCTTTGAAAATGCATTTTAATTTTAAAGAATAAAAGCATAAAGAATAAACGAATAAAAGAGTAGTGCATGCATACTTATTCTCATTGGAAAGTGCCAGTTACGACCCCACAGCCACAAGCCATAAGGTTATGAGGATCAGTAGTCTGGTTTGTCTTGACCTGCCCTCTACACACCTACACACACACACACACACACACACACGCCCCACCCTCCCCTCCACAGGGACCTCGCAGGAAATCACGTGGGGCTCCCTTACACCAGGGATTGCAGTCCTGGGGAGGGTGGTGTGCCATCTCAGGGCAGAGCCCCCCACCAAAACCACTGAGGGGAAAACCAGTCCCAAGCCCCACTCCCGACCGGCCCTCTCCCCACTTTTCTCTTTGCTCCTCAAAGACCTGTCTTGGGAGGGTGACTACCTGAGCGCTGCTGGGAGGAGTGGAGGTGAGTGAGGACGGTTCCAAGCCAGGCTGAGAAGGGCGCCGACCAGTGGAACTGCAGCCAAGGGGCAAAAGGTGTCCGGAAGACAGCGATTATGGGGTTTCCCCATCCCATCACAGCCTTTTGGGGGCTGGGGTGAGGGATTCTTTCCTCTCTTCTTCAGGCAACCCGTCCAATCCCCCCATGTTCCCTGTGGACTGCAGCACCTTTTCCGCAGCCGAGCCCCCTAAGGTGTCCACTCATGTCTGCAGACGGTCCCAGAAAGAGACCATCGGAAGCCATTGGGAATGGACTCCAGGTCAGGGCTGGGCACAGCCTCACAGGGCAGGGCTGGGCTAATCCCCGCTGGCTGAGGAAGGGGAGAAGGAAATTCCCGCAGGCTGCAGGGGATGGGTGCAAGCCAACAGAACACAAGGCGCTTTGTTTGCTCCAGGTAACTGCTCAGTTCTCGCTCACAAAGTGCAGATGCATCCGCTACCCTCACTCCACTCCCAACACCAGAGTTGACTCTGAGAGCAGCGGTGCCCAGACCTGGCCACTGCGGGCAATCAGTGCCGTTCCCATCCAGCCATCCAACGACAGTCACTGTGGACCCATCTCCACCCTCCCTAGAATAAGCAAAAGCATCTAAAATTTGGGGTATCCCTTTCCCCCACCTGCCCAAATCCTCACTCTGAGGAGCCAGGTGACTGCACTCCCCTCTTTTAGCATCAATAACAGAGGTTAAAGACACTTTAAGGTGAGCTAAGTGTAGGCAGTCTTTCTCCCCCACCCTAAAGGCCCTCCTCAAAAAGCCCTCAGGAAGCCTGCGTCTGTGCTAAGCGCAGCTGGGGTACAGCTCCCCAATCCCTGACCCTCTCCACACCTCAGAGCCTAAACTTCGCTTCTAAAGAATTCTGGGTTGAATTTACTTCTATAGAAGTCAGGTCTGTGATGTGTATATTTTATCTTTATATCTATTTCATTTTATTTGACTTCCCAGGATTTTTTTTTCTTCCCCCTCAAGAATTGCTCTTTAAACATAAGGGGGTTTTGAGAGGAACCTCGGGCCGGTCCCTCAGGCTGTTAGGAAAGTCTGCATTTTGCAGAGCTGCTCTCCCCGGGAGGAGATGAACAATGAGCTAATTACATTTTTATCTTTCTAATGAGCTGAGGATTTGTGTAAATGAGAAAAGCAGGGGGTACGCTAGAGGGAGGGAGAAAAGACTTTCCACCCCCAGCCCTCCGAGGGCAGAGCTGGTACCTGGAAGGGGTGGAGAAACAGAAGTCCCCACGGTTCCTAAACTTTCTCAGCCAGTTTTGCAGCAATCCCAAGGCTACTTGACTGAATGACCAGTGAAGGAAAGGGCTTGGTTTTATTTTTTAAATCTTTGTCGAACCTATGAAAATAAACAAAAGCTGCTCCAAGCATTCTCTCGGCCTTTCTGAACTTTCTACGCTTTGGGTTTTTGTTTTTTCCTCCCGTCTCAGAGGTTAAAAACTTCGATAGGGACTCGGAGTCCTCCTAGAGGAGAGGGAAGCTCCCCTGTTATTTAAAGCGCAAGGCTTTGTTTCAGGTATGGGAAAGGCGAAGTTGGATCCCAGGAAGAGCGGCTCCGGGGACCACAGCGAGTCCCTGCGAGGCCAAGGCGCAGAGCTGCCGCTCCCGGGCCAGCCCCGCCGTGCACCTGGGTCGCGAGGGGCGCTGAGCGATACCTGGGACAGACCAGACGCGCTTAGGAATCACGTGCACAGCATGCGAGCAACCTCGGGCCCTCAGTCCCCAGCACCGGGACCCAGCGGCGGGCGGGCGTAGGGTGGCGCGGGTTCTCCTGCAGCTCCGGCCGGGGGATGGAGGGGGCGGCTCGCGCACGTGGGAGGAGGCAGCCTTACCTTGGGGCTTGGAGGCTTCGGTGGCATTGGGCGGCGTCATGGCGATGCAGACGTCCCCCTCGGGGAACTTGTCACACTTAAGCATCTCGGGCCAGTAGAAGCCGAAGAACTGCATGACCGGCTCGCACGAGTCGCGCACGGCCTCGCAGAGCCAGCGACACGGGTAGATGGGCCGGTCCAGGCAGACGGGCGCGAAGAGCGAGCAGAGGAAGACCTGGGTGCCGGCGTGGCAGTTCTTGTTGAGCAGGGGCACCCAGCTGCTGGCCTGCTGCTTCACCTCCGCCATGGTCTCGTGCTCCAGCAGGTTGGGCAGCACCATCTTCTTGTAGCCCACGTTGTGGCACAGCCGCAGGTCCGCGGGGATGTCCACGCACTGAGGTGGCTTGGTGTAGAAGCGCCCGCTCTGGTACGGGCCGATGTCCGACTGGAAGCTCACGTAGTCGTACTCGCTGGCCGAGCCCACGGCCAGAAGCGCCGCGCCCAGCGCCAGCAGCACGCCCAGGGCTGCCCCGCGGCGGCCCCCCTCGCTGCGCCCGATGCCCATGCCGGCTCTGCGCCCTGTTCTCCGCGACGTCGGGGCTGCCTCCGCCGCCTCCCCGCGCGCGTCCTGCCGCAAACTTCCAGGGACCTCCGGGGACAAAAGGCGCAGTCCCCAGCGTTGCCCGGCTCCGCGGCCGCAAGCTGCTGCCCGGTCCCCCCGGCCAGTGGCGGCCCTCGGCCTGCGGTCGGAGGCGGCGCGGGCGGGGAGGCGGCGCTGCGGGCTGGGTGCGCCCCGGCTCCCGGAGGTGCGGCGAGCAGGAAGGCGCGGGGCGGCGGGCGCGCGGCACTGACTCCGGAGGCTGCAGGGCTGGAGTGCGCGGGGCTCCTACGGCCGAGCCCTCGGAGCCGCCCCGCGCAGCCAATCAGCTCCCGGCGGGGCGAGCCGCACTCGTTACCACGTCCGTCACCGGCGCGGGAGCCAATCGCCTCCCTCGCGAGCGGGTTCGGTTTACTAGAACCAGACGCGGCTCAACACCCCTTAAAAAACAAAACCAAAAATACATAAATAAAAGGGGGAGGAGGAAAGAGACAAGGGGAGAAAAAGAAGGGGAATGGATCACGGCGTGGGGTGGAGAGAGACCAGGGCGGACGCTGTAATTAACTCGCATTGGCTTGCAGAGAAGCGGGGAGCCTGGATCATACTTGCAAACCCATGAAATTATGAAGACTTTTTTTTTTTGAGACAGTTTCGCTCTTGTTGCCTAAGCTGGAGTGCAATGGCGCTATCTCCGCTGACTGCAACCTCCGCCTCCCGGGTTCAAGCGATTCTCCTGCCTCAGCCTCCCGAGTAGCTGGGATTACAGCCGCGTGCCACCATGCCCCCGCTAATTTTTTGTATTTTTAGTAGAGACGGGGTTTCACCATGTTAGCCAGGCTGGTCTCGAACTCCTGACCTCAGGTGATGCTCCTGCCTTGGCCTCCCAAACTTTTTTTTTCTTTTTCTTTACACTGCTTCCTAATTTCAACCAACAGCCCTTTAGACTAGCGGCTCCTCTCCTCGGTTCTCTAGCTGCGGTGCAGACAGGTGGTTTCCCAACTAACAGGGGTTCAGGAAGGCTGAAGCGAGGGAGGTCTGCTTGTAAATACCCAGTGGGCCTGGCTGGGCTCCCTGGAAGGCGAGGCGAAGGCGCAGTTGGAGCTGTTTGCTGTGAGCAGCACCTCTCCAGGTGGGGCCGCCCATGGTGGCCCTCAACACTGGGGCAGTGGGTGGACTTTGCCCGGTGTGGCGGCAGGAAGAGCTGCTAGCAACGGTATTAGCTCTGGGAGGACACTTTTTTAAATATATAATATATATTTAAATAGAAAAACCCTACTCAAGTCCTAGCCCGGGCGACAGCACATCTGTGTGTTTGTGGTGTGGAAAGCCAAAACATTAAAAACACATGTGCACTTATCAGCGTGGCTGGTGTAAATACCAAGTCCATCACTCAGGCACACATGCTAAGGTTAGACCCAGTCCAGGAACTTCAAGTTAAAATCAAGGGTCCCCACTAGGGCAGACGCCAAGAGGACGGTATCAGCACAACAGCTCGGCCCCCAGGAACAGAAGTCTCTCTGCCACCTTCTACCTCGAATTCCTGAGAATTCTTCGTAGGTTTCAAACATTCCCCTGAGAGGGAGGGTTAAGCTCTGGAGAGCTGGGAGTGAGACCCGGACTATCCCGGGACAGAAGACCACAGCAAATAGTTCATGAAGTTCCTGGAGTCTCCATATCTTCTGTCCCTAAGTGCGGGTGGAGAGAGGCTGATATATTCATAGCCCAGTCTGAGCGCACACCCCATGTGGCAAAGGGGTCACAGATCTTAGCGCTCCACAGAGACACTATAGGGCGCGCTGCCTTGCCCGCCAGCTTGTTTGTAAAGCTCTAGGGAGCTTGCTTTGGACTCTGCAAACCTAATTTCTTGATGGACAGATTCCAAGTGAAATGACTAGAGTTTGTGAAGAAGCAGGGCTGTTTTCTTAAAGCATTCGTGCCCGTACAGACACGGTGATTCCACGGTGCACACAGGAGGCTTCTGCAGATGGATGACTTCTCTGTCATTTCGTGGCCAATGGAAGATGCCTTGACACTCAAAAGGTGACATGGAGGCTGGAAGGAAAACACAGAGAAGAGAGAGCAAGATCGGGATGGCCAAGGGTTAATCCCAAGACAATTGGTGAGGCCGGCCTGTGGAGCTGAGGAAGACATTCCTCACAGAGAATAAGACCGCAGGAGACCCGGCAACTGTGTCTCAATTCAAGGGGCATTTAGAGAAAAATGCTGTTTGGTAGGGGGTCTTTTTGTCTCCTAGGGCCAGGCCCTCCACCTCAAGCCAAATGCGTCTGTTTGCTCACTGCAAAGATGGATGTTTGCAGATAACATCCTCTCACCTCTGAACCCAGGCTTAGCTGACCGCTCACTCACGTTTTCAGTTTTCCCGAATGGCAGGAGGACTTGTGTCTGTCCACGGTTAAATGCTGGAAATTCGTCCAGGTGACTGCCCTGGAAGTCCCAAGTCAGGAGTAAATCTCACAAATCCATTCAGGGGAAGACCTCGCCTATGTCTGGTCACTCCGAGTAGACTTTGATCACCTCCAGTCACCACCTCCCCCACTCACCCCTAGTGGTCCTACTGCTTTACTGACCCCTGCTGGGAACACAGTTGTCTCTCCGTGGAACAGGGAGTGATGGGAGAAGACCCCAAATCCTAAATCCAGTGCACTCCTGACTCCTCCCAGACCCAGCTGGAAAGGAAGGACCCTAAGACCTCAGTCCCACCGAGAGACTTTAATCCATTCCTGGGATGTGGGAGAGGGACCACCCGCCCCCCGTCCTCTCGGGAAATTCACATGCTGCATAACAGCACCAGGCAGAACAGCCTGAAGACTTTGTATTGCAGAGGTACATACAGTACTTTTGTCCTTTTACTTATTGTCAACTCTTTGCACTTCAAAATCCAGTCCCCCTTTTCCTAATGGCAAGTGTGTGTGTGTTTGTGTGTGCACGCACTCCTGTGTGTACAGCAGAAGGTTCTAGAACAAAGGCCCTTTAAACATGCAACTGACATGACAGAGCTCCCAGATATGAGGGTTCCTGAGTATGAGAACTGTGGGCCAGGAGACATATCCTCCCTCCTTTTTGAATGGCTTAAATAAACAGAGGCAAAATGCAGCTTTAACTTATGTTTCTCATTTCCCAGAAGTTCTGCTTTTCCCACACTGCTAGATGCCCATGCATGAAGCCTGAAAGTTCGTCCTCTGTTGCTTCAAAACACCAGCTTCAGGAGGCATTCTCAGTTCTTCAGCCTCCACAGAGGGTCACAGAGGGCCCCCCCAGGTGCCTCCCAGGTGGCCTCTTCCCACACGCAGAGCTTTTTCCTGGCTTCTCCTGGAAAAACTGGGAGGGGAGCCTTCCCAGCCACAGCTCCCATTGTGTTCCACTATCATATCATCAGTGATGTCTGCCATCCTCTCCAAAGATACATTCAGCTCGCTCTCCCTCAGCCAGCAGCACTAGGGAGGGAGCTCCCGCCTGAAGCTGGGTATCTGTGGGTCAGGGGCAATGCCAAGGAAAGCATGCTGGCCCACAGTCAGTGGACACAGGCTACAGCCTCAGCTCTGCTCCTAACTGGCTGGGCGACTCATGGGAATCGCACTTCCTCTCTCTGGTCTTAGTGTTCTCATCTGTGAAACAGAGCTATTAATGCCTGCCCGGCTGCCCTGCTAGCTCAGAAGTGTGAATTCTCAGCATGTAGGGTCACTCGAGGCACATCCTTAGACTTCCAGGCAAGTCTGAAGGGGCCAAAGTGGTATTCGTTGTCAGATGCCTTGAAACCTGGTCATGCTCTTACTTGGACAAGCTTCTTCTGCATTCTGCCTCTGTAGATGTGTAATCCTGATCCTTTCTAACTCTTTAAAGAACTGGCCTGACCTGCTAACTGAAGTCTGGGAATGTCTGGGAAGCATCTTAAAAATTTGGAGTTGAAGGCAAATTCCAGCCCCATCTCTTCATCTCTTCTTAGAGTAAGCACCCCTACCTCTTCATCTTTTTTTTTTTTTTTTTTTTGATACAGAGTCTCACTCTGTTCCCCAGGCTGGAGCGCAGTGGCAGGACCTTGGCTCACTGCAGCCTTGACCTCCTGGGCTCAGGCAATCCTGCCACCTCAGCCTCCCAAGTAGCTGGGACTCCAGATGCAGGCCACCACACCTAGCTTTTTTTTTTTTTTTTTTTTTTTTTTTTTTTTGAGCAATGGGATTTTGCTATGTTATCCAGGCTGGTTTTGAACTCCTAGCCCCAAGCAATCCTCCTGTCTCAGCCTCCCAGAGTGTTGGGATTACAGGGGTGAGCCACCGCACCCAGTCCTCTGCACCATTCTTGACAGAAGCTAACGGAGCATCCCTTTTATTTGTTTGGGATATAGTCACCAAGTTCAGACAATCCACTAGAATGTTCTTCCTTCCTTGAAGGGAAACTCTGCTCCCTGTAATTTCTTACTAGGCCATCCTAGGATCAGTTCCTATCGTAAGCAGCCAGGAAGACACCCTCAGCGGAGCCCCAAACTGGGAGGCCAAGGTCACCGTCCCCGCCCCTCCACTCAGACAGTCACACCTGCCCACTCTCCAGGCGAGGTTCTGTCAAACTGGGCTTGACAATTTTTGTTCATTTATTACTACATTAATTAATTTATAATTTATATTATAAATATATTCATGCCTATAAATATAATTTTTATATAAATAAATGAAGACTTGTATACCACCTCTTAGAAAGAAGAGAACTAAAAATAAAAGGCATATTTTAAGATGACTTTTTAAATAGAAATAAAAATATCAAATGGACTATTTCTCTGATTAAAATTCTCACACACTCTTTGTCCACAGGAAAAAGCCCAACCTCCAGGATAGTATCAAGACTCAGCCCTGACCCCCATGACCTCTCCAGCTTCACCTCCCCAGCACCCCCCACCAGCCTAGTTTCCAGTCTCCAGAAGTACTTGCACTTTCCCACCCAATGGCTTCTCGCTTGCCTCTCATCCTGGGCTCATGCTGTGTGCACATGCTGTTTTCTCTATCTGTAATGCCTTTCACTACTTTTGTACAAACTACTACTCATAGGGTTTCCAGATTTACAAATAAAAATACAGGACACCCATGGCCAGGCACAGTGGCTCATACCTGTAATCCCAGCACTTAGGGAAAGTAAGGCAGGAGGATTGCTTGAGGCCAGGAGTTTGAGACCAGCCCGGGCAACATAGCAAGACCCTGTTTCTACACATAATAATAATTTTTAAGAATTATCTGATTAGGCACAATTTTAAGAATTTTAAGAATTAGCTGATTAAGAATTAGCTACAGGCACAGTGGTACGTGCCGGTAGTCCCAGCTACTTAGGAGGCTGAGGCAGGAGGATCGCTTGAGCCCAGGAGTTGGAGGCTGCAGTGAGCTATGATCATACCACTGCACTCCAGCTTGGGTGACAGAATGGCACCCTGTCTTTAAAAATAAAAATTAAATTTAAATATTAAAAAATAGAACATCCAGTAAAATTTGAATTCCAGATCAACAAGAAAAAACTTATTAAGTGTGTCTCAAATATTACCTGAGACATACATATACTATAAATTATTCATTGTTGAACTGAAATTCAGTTTACTGGGCATCATATATTTTATCTGGCAAATCCACCCACTTATCCTAACAATGTTGTCTCCTCCAGGAAGCCAGGCCTGACCTCCTCCATCCCTAGTCAGATTCACCCACTCTGTGCCTGCAGACACTCCGTGTACATTTATAACTGGTCCCTTCCATGTACATCGTACAGTGCAGTGAGCTCTTAGAGGCCAGGACCTTGTCTTATTTTGTCTTACCCATTCCACATCTCCAGCATCTAGTACAATGCCATGCATATACTGAGTGCTCAATAATTACGCCCACCCCAACAAACAAATAAAGGGGAGACAGACATGTGAAATACCCAGGTTCTTAGGGGTGCTACCCTTGCACATTGATTTTGTGCGATGTTTTCTGAGAACAAAGGTAATACGCCAGCATGAATAGCTCCCATCGTTCTCTTTGTCTTTGAAAAAGGAAAATCTTTTCTAGATCTGAATCCTAAGGGAACTGATCATCAGTGCCTTATACAAGGACAGCAAACATAGTGTGGGACTTCTTTATTGGATCTCTTCCCATCCCAGAGCTGACCCTGTGGACAGATGCCACATCCGATTCACTCCTCTCTCCCCAGGGCTTGCACCGAGCAGGTGGCTCCATGGAGGGTGGGTTGGTCAATGCAGTGGCCCATTCCCACAAATCCTCACACAATGCTGTATAAAAACAGGAGCTGGCATCTGGGAGGCTAGAGTTTCTGGGAGCCTTGTATGCCAAGTGGGGGTGGGGACTGGGGAGCAAGAGAAGGTAGAAGGGGGCTCCACAGTGTGACACCTGGAGTCGGATCCTGGCGACGGGGCTCAAGGCTTGGCTGGGACATCACAGAGCACCAGACACAGGTCTTTAGGAAGCCCCTGCCCCTCTGGGAATCCCAGGCAAGTGAAAGTGAAGTGGCACATGCTTCAGTGACCTGAAGCCCATAAATCTGCCGGGATGGCTGCGGGGAGGGCAGCGGCCCAGCGCCGGGACACATTCCCCGAGGAGCCATGTGCTTATTTACCTAACCCTTCAAGGCAGTGGAGCCAGACGGTGCATAGCCTTCATTGGGGGATTGAGCCTGGAGCAAGCCGGATATAAATGAGGTGCTAGCGAGAGGAACGGGGGAGTGCCCATCATCACACTCCTGCCTGGCAGGAAAGCCTTCCCTGCTCCCAAGAACTGGTAACCTCAGCTGGGGAAGCCTCGCCTCCAAGTCTCCATCCAGGCAAGCCTCCTCCCCACAGTCTCTCTCAGCCTGAATAACACATCTGCCATCTGCCATTTAAGGGGCATTACTCACCTGGGCGAAGGCAGAATCCCCTGTCGCATAGGAAGATGCCTTGCTGCAGTCTTTTCCGATTTGCTCTCTGCATGCATTATGGCATTTGGGCCTCACCAAAAGCTTCTGAGCTGGCTGAGAAGTTCATTACTTTCATTTGACAGAAGAAGATACAGAAGCTCAGGGTAGTGGGACCCTGACTAGCAGTCCAGCCACCAAAGCACTGTGGTGGAGGCCAGTCGCAGGTCAGGAAGCACAGATCTTTGGACTCCAAATCCTGCTGGCTTTGCAGTAGACCTGGCTTTGCTGAAGGCCAGTCCCTGGGGAGAGAAACCTGGAGAGCCCTTGCAGCCAGCAACATCTGATTGTCCATTCATTTACCAGGCTCTCTTCCTGGACCTCCACCAGAGACTGTACAAGGTGCACAAAAACGTGAGCCACGCATGTCAGACCCGTGACCGCTACAAGAAGATGGCCTGAGACGTGGCCCAGGAATTGAAGAAAGACACTTTCAGTTTTCAGAGAGAGAGAGATCCTTTTCTATGAGAAAATGTCCCAGGAAGGCTGGATGGCCACTGAGCCCACTGAGAGAGCGCTGCAGGTGCTCCAGAAAGAAAATGGCCACAACAGGCAGAAGCTGGCTGACTCCAAGGCCGTTTCAGGCTTTCCTGAGTGGCACTTTGGCCCCTAGGGCTCCACCCACAGCCCACAGGGGCCTGGAAGTGCCAGGGGGACTGTGAGCCTTCAGGGCTCCCAGGAGGGAGGCGGGTCACAATGCCAGGGTTTGGGTCCAGAGCACCTGCCAGTTTGATTCTGTTTTCCCATAACCAAGTCCTGAATGCCCAGAGACTCGGCACAACGTCAGCCGGTGCTCCTCCCTTTAAAGCACTTTTGATGGATCCCCTGTTAGTTTAGCTACTGTTCATTAGTTCCTGCTGAAATTGCTGTCATTGATGTTTGATAGATAGCATTAGGACTGTAAGGTACTATTTTCCAAATAAAGATTGTTTAATATAAAATATATATGTATTTTATATTATATATATTTTATAACATAATATATATGTGTATATAGAAAGCCCAATATGGCATGGCACCAACCAATCAGATTGCATGCAGACAAAAAAAACCTCCTTTGCAGCCTGACAGGTGCATGCCAGTGGGGTCCCAGTGTGGGGGAATTCATAGCCTCCAGCCTCTGTGCAGAGCTCACGCTGCCCCCACAAGCTGGGCCGTCTTCCCAGCACACATCTCAGGTTTGGCTAATGGGCTTCATCTGCCTGGTCTCTCCCCAGTCTCCCTGTACATCATGGCTGTCAGAGCACCACTCTTCTTGTTTTGCATGTTTGCATGTCCGGAGTTCTAGAAGCTTCTTGAAGACAGAATCTGTATCTTTTTTGTATTTGTATCTCTAGTGCCTGCCACATGGTAGGTGTGCAGTAGTCATGTGATTGCTGAGCAAATCACCGTCTCAAGACTCATCTTTTTCATTTGATTGTCTCAATACTCTGTACTTAGGGCACCTGAGGAACCACTCTGTGACTTGTCTCCTCTTCTGAAAAGTAGGGGTTCTGCCAGGCGCAGTGGCTCACACCTGTAATCCCAGCACTTTGGGAGGCTGAGGCAGGTGGATCACCCAAGGTCAGGAGTTCAAGACCAGCCTGGGCAACATGGCAAAACCCCGTCTCTACTAAAAATACAAAAATTATCCAGGTGTGGTGGCAGGTGCCTGTAATTCCGGCTACTCGGGAGGCTGAGGCAGGAGAATCACTTGAACCTGGGAGACAGAGGTTGCAATGAGCCGAGATCGCACCACTGCACTCCAGCCTGGGCAACAGAGCAAGACTCCTTCTAAAACAAAAATTAAATAAATAAAAATAAATGGAAAAAGTGGGGGTTCATAGGACCCTTCCAGTAGGAGGCTAAACAGAGGGATGCAGAGCAATGTGGGTGCATGGATGAGACAAACTGGGGCCTCCTGGAGAAAGGGTGTCCTGCAACCTAGGAACTGGAACAGGAGGAAGGTGTCAAACTTCCCGGTATGTGGAAGAGTTGCTCAAGATGGGTTTCCTCAGTCTTAAATAGGCATTGGATTCACCTAGGAATCTTGTTAAAATGCAAATTATGATTGAGTAGGTCCGAGGGGGGCTACTAAAAATTAGAACCTCCATGACAGATGATTCTAATTTTTACTGTCTCCTACAACTTTGCTCCTCCAAGTGTGGTCCGCAGACCAGCAGCACCAGCATCTTCTGGGAACTTGTTAGAAATGCAAATCTCAAGCCAGCTCTGGCCAGTGAGAAGGAGGTAGAAGTTGGTAAGTGTGGCACCCTGGAGCACATCATAAGAAAGATAGCCTTAGAGATTTTGCCTCTTCCCTCTGCTTCCCACCTGGAATTTAGCTGTGATGCCTGAGGTACAGCAGCTCTCTGGCAACCATGAGGATGAATGCCAGCAGACCAGTATGGTGGAGCAGAAGGAAAGAACCTGGGTCTCAAGGAGTCCCTGCACCAGCCCTGCACTGCCCACCTGGGGATTCTCACTGGGGAGACCTATAATCTGTCTCCCTCACTTGCTTAAATCCAAAGTCATTTTGATTTTCTCTTTCATGCAGCTAAAACCAAACCTCACTGGCACAGGTATGTAATTCTCACAATAGGCAGGAAGCTCAAAGACTGCAGGTTCTAATTTTTACTGTCTCCTAAGACTTTGCTACTCAAAATGTGGTCCCCAGACCAGCAGCATCAGCATCTTCTAGGACCTTAACAGAAATGCAGACACTCAGCCCACCCGCCGCCCACCCCAGGCATAACAATTAGTGTTTGCATTTTAACAAGACTCCTAGGTGAATCCGATGCCTGTTTAAGACTGAGAAACCCCATCTTCAGAAACTCCTCCATGAACCTGGAAGTTTGCACATCTTCCTCCTGTTCCGATTCCTATGGCTGTGGAGCACCCTTTTTTCTGTTGTCCCTATTTGTGTTCTGTCTCACCCATGAACCTGCATCGCTCTGTAGCCCTCTGTTTAGCCTCCCACTGGAAGGGTCCTATGAGCCCCCACTTTTCAGAAGAGGAGACCAAGTCACAAAGAGGTTCCTCAGATGCCCCAAGGACAGAGCATTGAGACAATCAAATGAAATAAAGTTCTCAGGCAGAAAGAGTGGACAAAGCAACTCTCTTAAGGACACAGGCGCCAGGAGGGTGGGGGCAGGTCACAAAGTAAAAGTGCAGGCAGTGAGGAAACGCTGCCTCTTGGCCCCTCAGAGGCTGACGGCAGCAGCAGAACAGACTTTGCTTTCTTCCCCACACGTGGTGGCACCAGCAGCTGTGTATCTGGAGGCTTCTGTAATCTTCCAGCAGTTTCCCATTCAATCATATTTAATATCTGTCCCTATAAAAACATTGCCTTTTATCAAATTCTTCTAACACAGCATTATAAGACAGCCATGGCTCCCCCACCCAGAAAAGCACAATTTGTCCATCGAACCCATTTGTTCTTTATTTTTTAACAGCAGTCTAGGCCACTGAATTGCTTAATACACGGTAGGAAGGTCCATAAATAACAACTTCCCATGGAGATCCACTTAGCCTTGGAGTGCTTTCCAAGTTCTGCATTAAGTCCTCTGGTGTGAAGGGTTTTCCAGCCATTTAGGTCCATAAATATATATAACCGGCTGCTTCCTAAATTGCTGCATAATCCTTACCACCATCACTTATGTTTTCTTTTATTGCCATTATCATTGGCCTCTTGACAGGAGAATAAAATATTCTTTCTGGAAGATGAAATGCTCTACATCCTGCACATTTTAACTCATCCAGATTCTTTTTGGTTTTATTTCCGTCCCCACCCCAAGGAAATCGACTCTTCACAATTAATGGGGATTTCAGATTGGAGTTTAATTGCATCCTCTCTCTGCTGCTGACACAGCCTTGGCCGGTGGCAGGCACTGTCTGAGCTGTGTTCTCCCAGTTCCAGAAGTCAATGAATCAACAGGTGTCTATCAATCAACTGCTGTGTGCAGGTTCTGTGCTGGGTCACGTGAGGAAAAGAGAACATCAAAGATAGATTCCCAACCCCAAGAAGCACAAAGGTGGGAAGGAAAGATAACATAAAGGATAGCAGGGAAGATAACAGAGCCCATGGCTGGGGAGAGTGGAGGTGGGAAGAGTTTGGACTGAGGGGATGTCACAGCCAGTCAGGACAGCATGCTTCTTCTTAGTAGATCTATCTGCCCACACTTTGTCTGGCAACCCAGAGAAACCAACAGACATGAGATGGACATGGCCCCAGAACCAACCCACTAGGACCCCACCTCAATCCCTCTGTGGAGTATGTTGCCCATACCCCACAGGACAGAGTGGGTGACAGCGCTCACTCTCTCTCCCTCTCACTTTCTCTTCCTCCCTCTCTTTCCTCCCTCCCTCTCTCTTCCCCCCCCCGCTTCTCTCTCCTTCTTTCTCTTCCTCTCCCTCCTTGTTCTCTCCCTTTCTACCCCCCTCTCCTTCTCTCCCTCATTCTTTCCCTCCTTCTTTTCCCTACCTCCCTCTCTTCCTCTCTCCCCCACCTCCCTCTCTTTCTCTCTCTCCCTCTCTCCCCCATCTCCTTCTCTCCCCCTCCCTCTTACCTCCTTCTCTCTTCCTCTCTCTCTCCCTCTCTCTCTTCCTCTCTCCTTTTCTCCCCCCTCACCCACCTCTATCATTTTTGTTCATGTCCCACAAACTATTCTGAACAAGCAGGCTTTGAGCCTTCTGATATTTCTCCCCAAGTCTGGGTGGGGGTTGTTAATGAGAGGAAGCACACTTGTAATCAATAAGCGGTGGAGCCAGGCAGCCCTAACACCCAAGAAAGGAGAGAGCACTCTGAAGAATGAGCTCATGCAGCCTGTGACCAGGGCAGTCATACTTGCAAACCTCTGTCTTGTTAGAAAAGACACCTGAGCCAGGACAGCTACACCCTGCCTTCCCTCCTTCCTCACCTTCAGCCTCTCTAAGGTGAAGGGCAGTCCTGGATGCAGCCCTCGCTTTGCAAAACACAGGAGCGAGAAGTAGGGACCCAGAGACTCACACAAACCCCTGCTCCCTACTTAAAAGGGCACTGATAATGAATGCCTGCATGCAGCCTCTCTGTCTGCAAGCCGCTCTCCCACTTATCTCTCACACATCATATTTCTCAAGGTTCGGGCATCACTGACCCTAGAATGAGAGATCTGCAGGCTGCTCAAAACAAGCCCCATGACTCTCCGTCCTCTGGAGGAGACTGTTCCTGCCAGGAAGGGGCTGCAGAGGAGAAGGAGCTGCAGACATATGTGGCACAATCAATGCAGGAGGCAGGGGCAGCGGTCCCCGTCACAGAGAAGTCACCGACCACCTCTGGCCTTCCCCTAGCCTCCAGGCTGCCCTCGTCACTGTGGTCCTCATGCCCCATTTCCACTGCTGGCCCTCTCCCCAGACTCTTGGTCACCCTCAACTCCTCTCCCATCCACATCGGGTGCCAGATGGGGTGCCTTCCCATGGCTGGCTTCAGGAACTCTTCTCCCCTCTGGGGTGGGGACCGGTGGGGCTGGAGAGCAGAGGGCTTGGTGGGGCGGCGGGGGCAGGGCCGGGGGTCGCAGTGGTCTATGGAATGCAGACCTCTGCCCACACTCAGGGGCCAGCCCAAAGGGCATAATAGAATACATTAGTCCCCAGAGCCATTCAGCCCTGCCTCTTTAAGAACAATGGTGGCAACTGAGCTAATTTTTGCCAAATGACTGGCTTCCGTCCATTGGGAGCAGAGTGGAGCCCACCAGACAAAGTCCATATTCAGGGCTTCAAGAGGGGCTGGCTGGTCGGCACTGGGGCACTGGGCTACTTCCCAGGACCAGCAACCAGAGCATCCCAGTGCCCAGGAAAGGGCCTGAAGCTGACACCAGCCACTCAGGCCATCTGTCCCGGGGCGTGGGGGTGAAGCTGCCACTGAAAACGGGAAGCACACTCTTCGTTTTCAATACAAGAGAGCCTTGGTGCAGTGGTTGACTACAGAACAGTCTTTATTATTTGGAGGTTCACTTAGGAAAAACCAACTTGGCTGCTGGAAGGGAAAGATGCTCATGTCAACCTATGTGAGGCACCTGCAATCAGGGAAAGAGCACTGGGCTAGGAGTCTGGTTTTCTAGCCTCAGTGGCCTTCCACAATCTCTTCTCCTCTCTGAGTCACAGGTCCTAAACATGTGAAGGGATTGGGCTAGATAGGCTCATGTCCTTTGTAACTTTGATGTTTTATGTAAAAAGAAAAGTCAGACCATGCTTCCTATGTGTCTCATAGTACATTGCTAAGCATTCAAAAAATAAAGGCTTTTGGAAGGAAGGAAGGAAGGAAGGAAGGGAGGGAGGGAGGGAGGGGGAGGGGAGGGGAGGGGAGAGAGAGAGGAGGGAATGTTTATGGAGAATATGGGATAGAAATATATAGTATGAATCCAATTTTGCAGACAGAACAGAAGGATAAGAAAGAGAAAGGAGGGAAGAAGGGAAGGAAGGAAAGAAGAAAAAAAGCTAAAAATCCTGGAAATAGGTACACTGAAATGTTAGCCACCTCTGGGTTTTGAGATTATAGGTGCTTTACACTGTCTTCTTTCTGCTTTTCTTCATTTTCAGAAATTTTCACAATGACCATATATCACCTTTGCAAAGAAATAAAGATTATTAATTTTAAAGAAAAAGAGATAGATACATAGAACAGCATCAGTATTCTCTTGGGTGGAAGAAAAAATGTGTGTCTCTGGTGTTAACCTCTGTGACGCACGTTCTTAAAAATCCTACTTCATCTGATGTGTCAGGTAATGATTGCAAAAGACTTGGGGTGGGGGGTGCAGGATGGCTCACATTTTCTGGATAATTGCCCCCATTGTCCAGCTTGTGATGCATGTGGAGTCATATTCTCTATCTTTCTTCCAGACCACACAGACACCAACAAGGGAGTGAGAACTTTCAGGCCAACAATCAATCAGCAAATGTTTAATGAGCTCCTACTATGTGCAAGGTTCTGTGCTCAGAGCGTGTCCTCTCGTGCTCTCCCTCGCTCTCACCAGCTGGCTCATACACACGCCCTCCTCTATGCTCCATCTTCCTCTCACCATCACAGTCAGCTTTCCCTGGGCCTCCTGCACACACCCCCTGAGCATCTATTCATTGAACCACGTGCCCCACCAAAGAGAAGAGAATCAGAGCCTTTTCCACCTGCCCTACCTCTGGACAGGGATGCATAGGAGGGCTGAAACTGGCATAGAGAGGTTGAACAGCCTGCCCCAGGTCTTACAGCAAGTCACAGGTGGACACCAGGCCTCCAGACCTCCTCCCAGCTGGCTCTCTGGGCTCCTCCACCCTCCTGGCCCTCCTGAGCATAGAACAAGCACTGCCTGAGGCAGCCAGGCCGGGAGGAGAGCTTGGAAGGTCATATACCTGTCATTCTGGGAGAGTGCTTGGCAGCTGCTCCTTCCAGCCTGCAGGAATTCATCCTGCAATAACTTGCCACACAAGACACACCTTTCCCGTTTGGACTGGACGCTGTCCCAGGACAGGAGGGAGGTGGAGGGCTGCCTTGGGTGCTGCAGAGAGCACCCGACCTCCTCCCTGGAGATGCCTAGAGGTGTTTGTTCTCAGGAAATGTTGGTCAAGCTGCGTGTCACCTGATAAGAGAGGAGAGACAGAGAGCTGGGTGGTTCAGACATCGGGAAGTGTGTGGGGACATGAGGCAGGATCCAGCAGGGCTGGATTTTCTGCAAAGCTAACAAGGCTCAGGGCAGAAGTGCAGCAACTGGGAGCAGGAGTCCTGGCTCCAAGTCGAATGCAGCCTCAGCTCACCAGGAGGGCATCAGCATGCGAGTGTTGAGCCTAGTTCCACAGAGACTTCTCTGTCCCATCCCAGGCCCTGTGGTTCTGCTTCTAGCTCCTCTTCCTTCCTCTTCCCCTGTGTCAAAATCCTTTTGATGTCCCCATCAGCACCATCCCCAGGAAACGTCAGCCTAAGCAGAGATGGCCAGAAGAGACCAGTGTCTTTCCTTCTTTGCAGCCCCACCTGTGTGCTTCAGGTCTTTACACCAGTGAATCTCTGTGCAGCCCATCTCCTGGGGTTCTGATGAGGAGCCCTCCAACCATGCGTGGTGCTTCCCATCTCTCTCCCTCCACACTTCCCAGGGAGCAGGAGAATATTAACCAGAAGTACAGTAGCATGGCCCCCGAGCTCCCAGCTGAGCCCAGCAGCAGGGGAACCTACAGTTGTAGGGAGGGTGCAACATTCCCCAAAAGGAAGCACAATGCCCCACCTCCCAGAGACAGCCAACCCTTGCAGAACATGCTGTCTTAACAAAATTATTGCATTTCCAGCCTTTTAGTCACTCATTCAGCTCCTAAGTGCTGGGCCCCAGGGAATCAAAGCAGACAGAGACAGATCCATTCTCAAGATAGCCCCAGCTCCTGGAGGAGACCTCACTGGGCTGTCCTCAAGTGGAAGCAAGATCCGATTCTGATGATTAAGATTTGTTGAGTGTCTGCTTTGTGTCAGATGCCCGGGCACGGTTTATACACACACTGGCACAATGTCATCTTCTCAGCAAGTCTGTCAGGGAAGTCAGTTCTAAAGAAACCGAAGGTAAGACATTAAGCAATTTGCCCAAAGGCTAAGAAATAGAAAAACCGAGTGCCAGGACTCAGAAGACCTTTGATGGGACATGGTAGCAGTGGTGGGGTGGGTGGAGGAGGGGAGATGCTGGATCGAAAGGATGACAGGGCTTTTTGAGCGTACCAGGTCCTGCGTCACCAGGCGGGAGCTCTTCACAGTCCCACTGGACCACCCCATGCCCAGGAAACAAAGGCTCTTGTTAGGATGGGTGTCGCTCAACCACTCTTTGCCAGGAAAGTCGCCCCACCCCACCCCATCCCATCCCCTGGCCCAGCAAAGGACCACGGTGCCCTCTGCATTTTTTAAACAGCTGTGGCCACATAGCAGGCTGACTCTTTGCATGAGGGGCACAGAGGACGTTTGGGAACTGCTTTCCACTCTCCAAGTCTCCTCCCTTTCTGTCTGTCTTTCATTCCCCCTCTTTAAAAAGAAAGCAAGGTCTCTATCGTAGCCTATTGTGTGTGCGATGCCTGGCCACTGGTTTTTTCCGCCCTGTCTCATTAAGATGGATGGGGTTGCTGCCTTATTAATAATTGGGAAGGTTCCCCTTTGTTCCTCTTTCCTCTCCTCGCTAACGATCCTGCCCCAGAGGCTCCATAGAGAGCCAGGCAGCCCCCGAGCTAAGCAGAGCACCTCTGTGCTGCTCAGGCACTGCTGCCAAGCCAGGTCCGGCCCAGCCAGAGCATCCCACCCAGGGAGACAGTCTCGGCGCTCTCAGCTGCAGATCTAGTGAGCCACAGAAGGAAAGACTAGAAGTGACCAGAGATTGTGTCATCCAACCAGAAGGAGACTGATGCACCTGCCTAAGGTCACCCAGAGGATGGAGTCAAGAAACCCAAGTCCTGGTCCTGGGTCTACCCACAGCCCCTCTCTCCAGTGCTCCATCCTTTGCCCTTCTCACTGTCCTCCTCCAAACACAGCCTAAAAGCAGCACAACTAAAGTGTTTTCCTGTGGCTACTTCGCTAACCCATTCACTCATGTGCGTTGGTTTTCATGCTAGGGCAAAAGAGACTTCATTCATTCATTTGCTTCATTCAACACATATTTTTGAGGGTCTACCATGTGGCAGATGCCGTTTCAGGCACTGGGGCAGCAGCAGAGAGCAAGGTGGGCAAGTGTGCTCTCTCTCGGCATTCACTTTCCAATAGAGTCAGACAAGAAAAAACACATAAACACAGAAACACGGAAACAAGAATTTCTAAGAAAGCGGGAAAGAAGTCAAACAGCATGATTACGCCTAGAGGGCTTAGATCAGGGATGGCCTCCCTGAAGACGTGACATTTAGCTTGAGACCTGAAGGAGGAGTCTAAGACAATTCCAGCTCCCCAAAGAGAGCCTAAAGTCCTTGAGAGCTGGAATATCTTGAGGGGAACAATTGGGGAAAGAGTAGGCATTAAGTTGTGTGGGTCTGAAGCATAGCTGGACTTGGCTGGAAGTTTCAGAAAAAGGCAGAACCTAAGATGGGTTACATCTGGCTTGTCAAAGAAAAGGTTGCTGGGTGTTCCCTATGGGGCAATGGCTACAGCCAGGACAAGGGTCCCAGCACAGTATGTGACAACTGCTTGCCTCTTTTTCTCTTTTTTCTTTCTTTTTTTTTAAGAGACAAGATCTCCTCTGTTGCCCAGACTGGAGTGCAGTGGAATGATCATAGCTCACTGGAGCCTCGACCTCCTGGGACTCCTGGACTCAAGTGATTCTCCCACCTCAGCCTCCTGAGTAGCTAGGACTACAGGTGCACACCAACAAGCCCAGCTAATTTTTAAGGTTTTTGTAGGGACGAGGTCTCACCATGTTGCCCAGGGTGGCAACTCCAACTCTGGGACTCAAATGATGTTCCTACCTTGGCCCCCCAAAGCACTGAGATTACAGGTTTGAGCCACCATGCCCAGCAACTGTTTACCTCTTTGTCCTAAGTCCCTAACTGATGTGTCTGGGCATTATAGTAATTCTTTTCACCCCAATCCTACAGTTCTCTTTCCAGATAAATGGGACCTAATCTGGGGTGCAGGGGGTAGTCAGAGAAGAGTTCTCAAATGAGGGCAACTTGTGGGTCTGTCTGGCCTCTGGATCCTGGCTTTTCTCAATCAGTCCCAACCTGTAACCACAGAGCCCAGGTTAACAGAGACAAGTAACATAGGTAGGAACATCAGACAAAGGAGGACTTCCTAAGAGAGGGGTGGAGGCCCCACCAACTTGCCAGTAGTTTGTGAAAGATTTTGGCTGTATAAATCATGTTCTGTTTGCAAGTTTAGACTTCTCCAGGCCTGCCCTCTCTCCAGCATGGGCTCCCGCACCCTCCCACTCCGCCACCTCTTGCAGAGAAGATGGGTGCCTGTTCCCAGAATACACTCCCAAGTTCTTCAATGGGCACAGAGTCCCATCTGCCTCTGCCTGCCCCACTTCCCCAAAAATGAACATAATGAAAAGAGAGATACTTTCTATAATGCTACTTGATCTTCTTGAAGCCAACCTGACTTTATGCCCTGGGTTTGTAAACTAAAGCCTATTCATACAGCCAGATGAGACAAGGACCTCTCTGCTCATGGGATCCCCCTGTTTGAGGGATTTCCACCCCAAATCCCCCTCCCCCACTGCTGCCATGTCAAGAAGATTAATGCCTTGCTCCAACCTGTGAAGGGGAGGCTGGGCTGTCACCGACCTTGCAGGGAAAGCCAACTTTGTTTGCATGGGCATGGGAGAGCGTGGCTGACCCCAAGCGTGCATGTGCACACACACATATATGCACACACAGACACATACACACACGCACACACGCAGACACACATACACACACACATGCACACACACATATACACACATACATATGCACACACATACACATACACACATGCACACACATACACACATGCACTCCCATACACACATGCACACACATATACACACGCACACATACACACATGCATGCATACACATGCACACAGACATGCACAGACACACATGTACACATACGCACACACACGCGCACACACACACGCACACAGGCACACATGCACACAGGCACACATGCACACAGACACACAGACACACAGGCACACACATACATGCACATGTGTGCTCGCGTACACACACACCCCCCCGCCCCTCCTGGGACCCACCAGGGGAGGCTTGTATTCTCAATTCAGTTTTAGGGCCACAGCAAAATTTACCATGGCACCCATGTGGAGAAATTAGATGGATCCTCTGTTATACCTGAGAGGGAGCAGGTCTCATCTTGAGGAGACCTGGGCACAATGTGAATGAGTGAACCCTACAAAGGTAGTTGCCCTCCACAGCACTTCTTTTGGTTCTAGTCCCTAAATTTACTGATGAGAAAGAAGAATGAATTTGACAGCCTTGTACAGTGTGCCTGACTTGCACCAAGCACCTCGCTGGGCATGGGTGCAGCAGTGGATGGGGCACTGCTCCTTTTACAGCCAGCTGCCCCGCCCTGGCCTGGGCTCACAGCCTTTCCTGGTGCCACTCCACTTTGCTCTCCCGCCTCCGGGTCTGATTGGCTTTTTTCACTCCAATCCCACCACCTGGGTAGCATTTTAAATGGTATTTCCGGCCATGCACAGTGGCTCACACCTGTAATCCCAGCACTTTGGGAGGCCAAGGCGGGCAGGTCACCTGAGGCCAGGAGTTCTAGACCAGCCTGGCCAACATGGTGAAATCCCATCTCTACTAAAAATACAAAAATTAGCCAGATATGGTGGCACACACCTATAGTCCCAGCTACTTGGGAGACTGAGGCAGGAGAATCGCTTGAACCCAGCAGGCAGAGGTTGTGGTGAGCCGAGATCATGCCACTGCACTCCAGTCTGGGTGACAGAGCGAGACTCAGTCTCAAAAAAAGAAATTAATTAATTAAAAATAAATAAATAAATGTCATTTCCACCTCATAACCTTGTCATAATCACAACAGGGAAAGTGAAGGCTGGCTGAGTCCGCACTCAACCTCTCTCCAATTCCTGCCCATCTCCCTAAATCCTCCTTCATTTGATTCTTAATACTATTTACATATGTTTCAGAGCAGGTTTCCACAGCCTAAAATGGCAATAATCCTAGTAACATATAAGTAGGTTTTAATGCATTTAAATAAGATTACACGTTGAAAAACATAACGACGCCTGACAACAATACCCCTCACCTGCAAAATGGTAGCTGTGCTTGTTCTTCTTGCTGGATTGCAGAACGCTTCTTGCTGGATTGCAGTAACTGAGGTGTGTTTACCTTTATTCCTGCAGCCCCAGCCGCAGCTTGGACCTTTGCACAGATGCTTGATAATTGTTTGTTAGAAGTCCTCCATATCCATTCAGTTCTGGGTGCTAATCCCTCAAAAGCTGGCAGCAACAGGGTTTGCTAACCTAAGGAATTCATTTGCGCTGAGACACTGTGGTCTCAACAGTTCCCAACGTTGATACATTTGCATGCTGGGGCTTTGTAATCTAAACCAAAAGAATGTTTCGTAGTGACCATTTAAGGCATTGGGGTAGTGGGAGTAGGGTAGAATAATTATTGTGGAAAAAATACCTATTGGTACTCATGAAAGTACCCTTAGAAGTAAGCTAGCCCGGGGTCCCACATGACAGCCATGACTGGGACATTTACATTTGCCAGGCTGTGCCGCTCAGTGTCGCTGGCAAAGTTTAATTATCTCCAATTTTGCCTCCCAGAGGCTCTGGAACTTTCTTCTGGCCAATGTTTTTCTTGCTTAAAACCCAATGTCCCTGGGTCACCTGGCCACGCCAGGTGCTGCAAGCATTGGATTCACACCTTGATGTGTGTGGTACTGGGAGGCCACGCTGTCAAAAGCACATAGCAGAAAGGGGAGGGTGCCACCAGGAAGGGGAGTGAGAGGCTGGCCCTGCCTGGCCAGCAAGGACTCCAGGTTCCTGGGTCGGGGACAAGAGTGGGTGTGCATTCCCCATGGGGCATCTGATAAGGCCATGAAGGTCCCATGCTGTGGTCTCTGCCAACATAGCCATCCCAAAGCTCAGCTCTGGGTGTGCCACATGCTTACCCAGAAGGCTTGAGTGGGTCCTGATGCCTCCTGCACCACATCCTGACTTCGGGGCCCTCTGCGGCTTGGCTCCAATGGTCCCTCCAGCTTCCCTTCCCACTCATTCCTGCTCCATGGCCAAATCAAACAACTCACCTTGCCCTAAACAGCCACAAGGCTTCCCACCTTCCCACCTTTCCCCTTGCTGTTTCTCTTTCTTGGAAGGCAAATCCTGTCACCTCCATCATTTGAAATCCCCTCGCTTGTCCCTCCAGGTTCAAATCAATGGCCCCCTCTGCCTGATCAACATTGGCAGGACCCCTTCTCTGTACCCATAACTGTGTGTGCTCTGTTGTGTGGCCTGCTGGTTTTCTACTTTGTTTCATACATGCATTTGTCTTCTTTCCCTTCCTGGATTGGAAACTCTGAAAGAGCAAGGAGCTGGTCTTGTATATTTCCCCCCACAGCACTTGCACAATGTGCTAGTTGGTTGGAAAGATGGATGGATGGATGGATGGATGGATGGATGGATGGGTGGATGGGTGGATGGGTAAGTGGATAGATGGATGGATGGGTGGATGGGTGGATGGGTGGGTGGGTGGATGGATGGATGGATGGATGGATGGATGGACGGATGAACAGAAGGATGGATGGAAGAAGGGAGAAAGGGAAAGGAAGAGGGAGAAATGAAGGAATAAACAAAAATGAGCGAAAAAACAGAAGGCCCCTGATTGTGGTGCTCTGCCAGCTCCTCATGAGTAGCCAGAGAGGCCGGGCTCCCTGGAGACGAGGCAATAAAAGCGCACACCATCTCTGAATGGCTTCCTCCTCCCCTGCTCCCTTCCCTGGGGCCTGCCTTCAGCAGCATTCGTCACACAGGCCTGTGATCATTGAGGAAAAAACATGCAAAGGCAGAGCAGGGGTGGCCCTGCCCCGTGAAATCCTCTTGTTCAAGGGCCGCTGTCCCCACAGGAAATCAGTGAGGAAAGGACCAACCTGCTGGGCCCCTTTATTCCCTGGCCCCAACACCCCGGAAGCTAACTGCGACCACACACAGCAGGAGACACACACAATCCCCTCCGCCAGGGGGTCTCTGGTTAGCACCAGCGTCAACAAATCCTCCATACTGCACAGACACACAAATGTCCAGCCGCAAGCCGATGCCGGAAACAAGAACAAAAGCCACATTCAACAAGGAGGCTTCAGTTAACCAGAACTCTGGCCGACGGAATCTTCACTTCATTGAGGTTTTTGTTTGTGTTTTTGTTTGTTCTGCTTTCCATCTCAGTGCCCTCTCTGGAAGAAAAAGAGAAACCATCCAGAAAACAAGCTGACATTAAAATGCAGGCAAGAAGAGTTCCAGAAAAAAAAAAAAAAAAAAAAACTGGGGGAGCCTTTAGCATCTGGAGTTTCAGTGACAATTTTAGCAAAAGCAGCACAAGTAATTATCTCCCAAATTAGCGAACACAGCTATTTGCATGTCCAGGCTGCCCTAAGCCTGTGTCTACAAGTTGGAGGTTGCCTGTGTTTGTGGATTGATTGACCCAGTTCCCTAACCCCACACCAAACAATCCCTGGTGGTCTGTCTTCTGTTGCTTACTTTCCTTTTCCTGGTAACTGAAAAATGCGGAGAGTGTCGTGCCTAAAGCCATCTGCTGGTCATCACTTGCCTACTGCGGCACACTGAGCATGAGCACTGGCGTCCAGCAGACAGGCATTTCCTCTCCTGGGACCTTGGCAAGTCCCTGAATGACACAGCCTCAGGGTCCCCTCCGTGAAGTGGAGAGGATGATACCACACCCCTCTCAGGTTGCTTGAGGACTCAAAGAGGGCACTTCACACCAGCGCCCTGTCAGGGACCCACAGTGGTTATGTTCTTTCTTTCGTTTATTTACTTTTTCGAAGACAGGGTCTGTCGCCCAGTCTGGAGTGCTGTGGTGTGATCATACCTCACTGTAGCCTCAAACTTCTGATCTCAAGCGATCCTCTTGCCTCAGCCTCCCAAGTAGCTGAGACCACAGGCGTGCGCCACCATGCCCAGCTAATTTTTAAATTTTTTATAGAGAAGAGGTCCTAAGAAAGTACCTGGAGCAGGCTGCAGGATGCAGTTGGAACTACACAAACATGGAGTTTCCTCTTCCTCCTTCCACTGTTGCCCACCCCAGGTCCTTGGCAATCACTCCTGGAGCCTCCTCTTGGAAGCCCTCCAGGCCTCAGGTGCTTGCTCTAGCTCCTGAGATGAGCTGTTTGGAATCATCAGACTCTGAGACACCCCCCAGATGTTGCCCTCAGGAGCTGAAGAAGATCCAGGCAAGCTCCTGCCCTCACTGAGCCACTCGGTCTCCGCACACACACTCCTTCCGTGCTTTTGCTGAGAGCAGCAGCTCAGCAATAACTTAGGAAGGCCGAGCTGCCCAAGGGAGTTAACACTCAGCCAGTGATGTCCTCACCCCCACCTGCTAATGCCTGTTCACGCTGACCACTTTTTACCTGGGCACAGTGCCAGTTCCATCACATACCTGAACTATCTCATTTAATCCTCATAACAACTCTCTGATGTAGGAACTGTTACTGTCCCAGACAGATAATGAAACTGGGGCCCAGGAAAGTAACTCTCAAGGTCACATATCTAATAAGGAGCAGAACCAGCATTTGAGCCCATGAGGCTTGGCTCTGGAGTCGAGGCCTGCACCCCTAAACCTTGGGATCTCTGTGTCTCCACACCCAGAGGCTTCAGGCAAGAGGAGTCAGGGACCCACAGTGGCTATGTTCTTCCTTTTGTTTATTTATTTTTTTCTGAGATAGGGTGTTGCCCAGGCTGGAGTGCAGTGGTGGGATCATAGCTCACTGCGGCCTCGAATTCCTCATCTCAAGCGATCATCCTGCCTCAGCCTCCCAAGTAGCTGGGGCCACAGGTGGAAGTCACCATGCCCAGCCCATTATATTATTTCTAATCCTCACGGTGAGCCTGCATGATGGGTATAATTTTCCCATTTTTGCAGATCAGAAATACCAAGGTCTCAAGATATTAAGTAAAACTGTTACATGACCATGTTTATAAGAGGCAAATTCAGATTCATCTGATCCTGAAGCCTGAGACTTCCATTTTCCACTGCCCAGTCGGAATGCCTGGCTCCTAGAGGTTGGCATCAGGCACACCTAGGAGGGTGGCACAGCCACCGTCATGACAGTTTTGAGAGGTGATGAACCCCCATCTGTCCAAGCACTCCTCCATGACTCCCATGGTACCAACCAAATTCCAGCCTGAGAGTTACTGTTCAAGGACCTTCTTCAAGAGCCCTGCAAAGTATCCGTGGTAATGAGTTATGTTATCTGTCACGGGAACACATGAGCTAACAGACAGATTAGCTGCCTTTATCTGGGCTTAACTGTCTGTTGCAAAGAACAGAGCCCAAATGGATTATGACAGAGGATGGGGACACTTTGACTGGGGGGTGAGGAGTGGATGTTCAGGAAGCTGTCAGGGTAATGGGGTGAGGGAAGCCTGAAGGATGGATGTGGGAGAGCCCAGAGAGAGGGCAGCTGAATGTGCATGCTACGCTTTCCTGTGCAGACCCAGGTTTGCATGCCTCGAGCTCCGTTACTCATGCTGCAGAGCTGTTACTGCCCTGTTCTAGCTGCAGCACTTAGGACTGTTGCCCATGCAGGACACTTATGATGCCCTGCTCGTCAAGAAGGCAAGCACTGGGAGCAGGGAACATGAGTGGAAATATACGTGAAGTGTTTACCATGCAGTGACTGCAAAACAGCTGGCACTCAATAAACAAGAGCTGCTATTAGCATTGTATTAAGATAATTATGTGTTATCAATTGATCAATTGATTGATTGATCAGCATCACTCATTTATCTTCTCTGTACTCTCCATGGTACTCAGTGCAATTTGGTACCTCCCTACCCCTCCAGGTAGGAGGTGGGACTCAACCCTGGAGGCAGGGCTCGGACACTGAACCAAATTGAGGACTAGCTAAAACAGGGATGGGGTGGAAGCACCTTTCCATAAGACACGCCCACCAGTGTCCCATGTCAGTTTATCGTTGCCATGGCAACACCTGGATATTACTGCCCCTTTCCATGACAACAATCTGGCATCCCGGAAGTTCCAACCCCTTCTAGAAATGTTGGCATAATTCGCCCTTTAATTTGCATGTAATAAAAAGTGAGTATAAATCTGACTGCAGCACTGCCCTGAGCTGCTACTCTCAGCACATGCCTGTGGGGCAGCCCCACTCTGCAGGAGCAGGCACAGAGCTGCAACACTGCCGCCTCCATAAAGCCATTTTCTTCTACCACCAGCTCACCCTTGAAATTTTCCCTGGGCAAAGCCAGGCACCCTCTCAGGCTAAGCCCCAGTTTGGGCTCACATGCCCTGCATCACTCTAACTCTCTCCTTCACTAAGGCAGCAACCACTGAGTCACAGTGAACACTGCAGACTCCAGCCTGACGGCATACACAGAGCAAAGCCTCCTGGGCTGAACCTTCCTGCCCTGGAATCTGAGACCCTACCCTTACGAGGGAGATCCCTGGAGGGTAAACAGAGATGTCAGCCCTTGGGGACCTGCAGCAGGAGAACCACCTCTGGCCCATGAAGGACAGTTGATCCTCCAGGGTTGCAGATGACTAGAGAGTCCTGAGCTGGCCAGCACAGGTGGCTGCATCCTCGCTCCTGTGCTCCCTGAGTATGTGTGTGTGGTGGGGGGTACTTCTGGAAGTGCTGACCTCAGATACTCACTTATGCCTCTAGTGTTTCTGCCTGACCCGCTCCTATGCTCCTATCAGACCTGGAAACCTGGTGACTGCCCACACCCTACAGACAGTCTTATCTGCAACTGGGAATCAATAGGTATTTATTGTTGATTTAATGCCCAGAGATTGTAAGAGAGCATATGGCTCCCAGGAAAGTGTGTACATGATATACAGGATCTGCAGCTGGTCTCTGCAGAAGTACTTTTGGGCTTTAACTAAGGTGCATCATGGTGCAAGGGAGATTTTTGGTTGGAAAGACATTAGAGTCTCACTTCTCATAGCCTCTCAAGGACAATGAGGAGTACTGTGTCAGTCAGCTACTGCTGTAAAACAACTCCAAAACTTAATGGCTTTACTCACATGTCCATGAGTGGAAGGTTATTGGCTGGAATGACAGAGGCCCCTCATCACCAGAAGCAGCCCAGGCTGCTGCACGTGGTGGCAGTCACAGTGTTCCCAAAGCAGTAATAGCAGACAGGCCCCACAGCACAGGTGCTTGTCAGCCTCTGCCTGTTTCACAGGAGCCTAAGCAAGTCTCCTGACAGAGCCCCATCTCAAAGTGCGAGAGCAGTCAACGTCACAGCAAGAGGATGTGAAGCCGAGGAGGGACAAATTGTAGCCACCTTTGAGGTCTATCCCAAGGTTGAATGAACCTGCAGGTAGGCTGACATTTACTCTTGCACTCCTCTTACCAGAACATCAAGACCAGCTCTTCTCCACTGTGCCTGACTTATCAAAATAGATCTCAATAGATATTTGAATGGCTGCATAAATGAATAAATACACAATGCATGAAAGACAGGAAGGAATGAATTAACAAGAGGCCAGTAAGAGAGTGAGTGAATACTGTCCTAACACTCAGGGTGTCTTTTTTTAGGTCCTCAGGCCTGGGGGAAGATTCCGGAATTTGGAGAAGAAACGTAGAAACACACAACTCTTTAAGATATAGAAGCATTAAAGAAAATGTCTGGGGAGAACAGACTATGGGCACAATGAGAAAAAACTGAACTAAGAATCAAAAGCCCTGGCCGGGTGTGGTGGCTCACACCTGTAATTCCAGCACTTTGGGAGGCTGAGGTGGGCGGATCACTTGAGGTCAGGAGTTCGAGACCAGCCTGGCCAACATGGAAAAATCCCATCTCTACTAAAAATACAAAAACTAGCTGGGCGTGGTGGTGCATGCCTGTGGTCCCAGCTACTTGGGAGGCTAAGGCAGGAGAATCGCTTGAACCCAGGAGGCAGAGGTTGCAATGAGCCAAGGTCATGCCACTGCACTCCAGCCTGGGTGACAGAGCAAAACTCCATCTCAAAATAAATAAATAAAGAATCAAAAGCCCTAAGTCCTCAAACTTTGTTCTTTCTCTAATCCTAACATGATTCATTAATTTTCTCATTTTTCTGTTTCAATAAGTATTTATTGAGTATCTACTCCATGCCCGGCACTGGCCCCTAAACCCATGACATTACCAGTTAGAAGCTGTTCTAAATGAATGAGTCCCAGACCTCTTTTGAGGCATGCTTCCCACCTGCACTGGGAGGAGGAGAGGCCCACTCGCATTGCCACTGCTGCACCCCCTCCCTAAACCCCGAGGGCCTCTCAGGCTAGGGGCTGGGAGCAATGGGAGACTGGGGCCAGAGCTGGTTTTCTGGATTGACAGGATAGGGCGTCCCAGACCAATGGGAACTCTCAGATCCCTTTTAGCTCTAATGTTCTAGGATAAGAACTGGAACCATGACAAGCCCCTGAGTGATGCCTTCCATCACAATCAGTAATCCTGCGCTGTGGGGAAAGCAGACATCCACTGATGGCCCACACAGGGAAGCCCCTAAGAACAACAGAACAGCAAGACAGGATCCTCAAAACATCCCCCAAACCAAGCTCCATGACCACACACAAACCCAACTTCCCTGATCTGTTATCCTGCCAGCCTCTCATGACAAAGTCCAGCTTCCTGAGTAAATTCGAACAACTCAGTCACCTAACTCAGAACTCCATACTTCAGGGAGCAAATGGCTGATGCAGCCCCCAGTGGAGCCACTGGGCCCTCATTGCAGAATAAAAACACATCCAAAACATCAGGCACCTCCTGAGATCTCGGCGTGCCCCTTGCAGCCCACTGACTTCATCAGGATGAGGACAGGCGCTCTCTCAACTTCCCTCTCTCCCTCCTAAATTTTTCTGGGCACCTGCTCACCCTTACCTCCTTCCTTCCGCCCACAGGCTTGGATATGGCCTTTTATTACACTTCATCCAAGTGGGTTGTCTTCTTACCCTATCTTCAGTCTGTCTCCCTGCTGGCTTACAAACATTCCAGCACCCTCCCTTGTCCCCATTTGTCAATAGCATGAGATGCTGTTGATTCTCCTTCCTCATACTCTCTCCCAAGCAGGCACTTTTTCCTAACTTCCCTGCTCTTCCCTGACTCCCAGCCATGCAGGCTCAGACTCTGAGGTTCATCTTTAATAGCATCACGTGCCATGATAAAAGCCTCAAGCATTGTTGCTTGAGGATTCCTTCGTCTCTCTTCCCCATCCCCCCACACAATCAGGTGCCAGCTTCTTCTTCTTCTTTTTTTTTTTTTTTAAAGAGATTGGGTCTCACTCTGTTGCCCAGGCTGGAGTGCAATGGCCATACCTGCATCATCACTGCAGCCTTGACCTCCTGGGACCAAGCGATCCTCCTACCTCATCCTCCCAAGTACCTGGGCCACAGGCATGTGCCACCATACATGGCTATTTTTATTTTTAGAGATGGGGTCTCAGGTCTCACTATGTTGCCCAGGTTGACCTCAAACTCCTGGGTTCAAGCAATCCTCCTGCCTCAGCCTCCCAAAGTGCTGGGATTACAGGTGTGAGCCACTCTGCCGGCCCCATATGCCAGCTTCTATCTATCATCTTCCATGGTAGCTTGTGAACCATTCCTTCTCTTCATACCCATGAACACCTTTCCTTTCACCTTCTCAGGACTACAGTCAGAGTCTTTGGGCCCTCGTTTCTCCACCATTTCCTCTCCCTTTTTAAATAAATAGCCTATTTGGGGCCAAGGCTTGTACATCCTTATATTTGATCCTCCTACCCTCCCTTTGGCCTGGAAGGATTCACCTCTGCCCTGCCACGGCCGACCCAGCCTCCAAGGTTCCCTCCCCTCAGTGCAGCCCCTCTAGGAATCCTCTCATCTCCTACCTTGCCCCCTCCCAACAACCCTCTCCCGGGAGCTGGATGTCATCTCACTGTCCTCTGCATTCCTACAGCTCTGTCTCTGTACTGTCCTAAGCTGTGTATCCCTTTCTACATCGTGTGCTAGGAATCTGTGTGTTTTCCTTTCTCCCTGCTGATAAAGATTCCTTGAGAGATGTAACTACATCCTTTATATTATTACACCTTCCACAGAACTAGGATGAAGCCTTTGGATGGATTTGTTGAATGAATGAATGAAAGAATGAATGAATGCATGCATGAGTGAGTGAGTGAATGAATGAAGCCCCCAGCTTTCACAGAAGGCAGTCACAGAGTATGTGTAGCTCTCTGGGCAGGCACCTTGGGACGCTTGCCCAGAAGCAATTTTGTGTAAAAGTATCACGCGAATTATTTACCAGAGCTATGTCTCTTGACAGCAATCTACAGACACCTCTTTGTAGAAGCAATGAAATTAAAATCTGTTGCATTAAACCTAACTCCTTAAGCAGCCCCATCTTCACCCCATCCCCCAGCCCCCCTCCAGATACATGAGGATGGAGCACAGCAGCTTCTCCCCTATTCTCAGCTTCTCCCTTATTCCTACCTGAAACTGAGTGGTCTCCCCCAACCTTGGCCACCCCGCCCCTGCCCAGGCTCAGCCATTGAGTTTACATCTTTTAGCCTAATTCATTTTCTAGATAGATGGAGCAAATACCTAGCAAATATTATTTATGGCTTTGTGATAAATAAGCCTTTTACAGAAGTTTTTCAAGGAGTTCTGGGGAATTTCAAGGATAACTTTCAGCAAGTTTCAAAGGTCGGGTCAGGCTGGGATACTGAGCCCATAGTATTTGCCGGGCCGTTCATCTGTTTTGAATTATTGGCCTTATCAAGCTTCCGCGGGCTCTCAATGGAGGAGCTGTGCTGTAGCTCTCAGGCTGTATTTTATTTCCATCGTGGGCAACGGTCTTTAATGATTATTTGTGCTAGACTGACAGTGGGGAGAAAGAAAAAAGGGGTCTTCATGAAATTCAGGCTCCCGCAGATGTGCTGGGAAAGATGTTCCTACCTGCCTGGCCACCCCTGCCCGTGTGCCCCCAACCCCGCACACAGGGTGATGGCATCCCCCCGCGTGCAGCCAAGAGGACTTGGCGGCACAGAGTGGAGGTCAGAAAGGGCAGAGTTTTCCCAAGGGTCCGGGAAGCATGGGCCCTTTTCTGATGTATGAACAAACACACATCTGATTCTGTGCAGACTTGCAAATGTAGCTTCTTGGGAGCAGAGACCGCGTTTTGTTCAACTCCACAGCCTCGGAACCTAACACTCTGTCTGCACATAGTAGGTGCTCAATAAATGTTGGTTGGATTGGGTTGGATTGGATTGGTTTGAATCAAGTTGAATCGGTCTCCTACTCCCTCCCTTCTAACTGTGGTTTCCTTCCACAGAGGCTTTGTGGGTTTTTTAAAAAAATTTCTTCTCTTTCCTTTTGCATTTATTGTTGTTGGGTTTTTGTTGTTGGTTTTTTTCTCTCATTAGTTTATTTTGGTTGTTTGGATTTGATTTTGACTTACTCTCAGAACGGATTTGCTTGAGGCAGAAGTTTGGCCTAGAATGCAAAGTTCTTTCCAGATCTAGACATTTCTCCCAAGATGATTTGGCAAAATTTTCCATTCCTGAGACCTAAGACTATCCGCCTGTTACTCTAGAAGTGATGTGAAACAAAGAATGAAAGATGCTCTCTCATTGTACATTCTTTTATATTGGTATCGCTCTCTTACAGCTTTGAAAATGGATTTTCCATAGCCTTTTCTACTAATCTGATACCTTTACTGGCAGTTCCACCAGGCACACATGGGTTCTTAAAAAAGACTTGGTGAAGTGAATTGAATGCAGAAAGTCTGGATTTGTTCACCTCTTTCGCTGTTTGTTTTTAACTTCAGAAGGTAGAAAAATGTCTCCTCCTGTGAGAAATCAATCAAGGGCTCTCTTTGTCTTTAGACTAAGGCACGTTCTGCTAGATTCCCGTCTTATAAACATCTGTCCCTCTCACTTTATGTGATAAATATGGCCTGAAGAAGTGCTACCTTTGCTATTTTTAAAAAATCAAATTATATTTAAATGCACTTGTGGACATTTAAAGAAACATCTTCTAAACATGAATAACTCACTAATTTACCTACCTGTCCAATCTGAGTCTTTCACATTGGGTTTGCTCAAGGAAACTTTCTCTCTTCTTTGTTCTTCTTTCAGAAAAGACAATTGCCAGTGGAATCTCCTTCCTCAGACATAGAAGCCAGGACTGAGGCCCCAGGAGGGCAGGCCTGTTAGCCAGAATTGTATCTGGGCCCAAATAGAAGGCTGACTCCAAAAAAAGAGGTTTAGTAAATGAGAAAAAGCTGAGATCACTAGTACCCAAAGAGGTCATTAAATCATGAGGGAGGACCCAGGCCGGAGGATGTGATGGGATGGAGTGGCAGGAAAAGAAAATAGAAAATAATAAGCCCATTGGGCCAGAAAAATTAAAACCCCATGACAAAGGCCTTTGATGTTGTTGGATTTCACTTGCTCTTGCATCCAGCTCTCTGCCAGGCCAGGTACTAAAGCCCAAGGACAGAGTCAGCCGGGTTCCCGGCTTGTCTTCCTGGTGACCTTGGGTTTCTACCAGCCCTTCCAGCTTCTGGATGTGAACCTTCCAGCAGAGTCCTCTGTTCATAAAGACATCCTCAGCCTCCACTGTCCTAACCTTCAAATCTGTTAATACTCAACTCCACAAATGATGGAGGGATGACGGGTGCCTGCCATGGTGAATACTTCAGATCTATTTCATAAGGAAAAGCATCCTTTAGTAAAAAGAAGAGAAAAATGAAGCTTTTTCCCTAGTACTTCAAAGCACGTGGGGCCCAGTGGCACTTCCTGCACCAGGGCTTTCTGCACCATCTTCTCCTGGGTCTTTGCTTTGTCTGCTCTGAGTGGATTGTGTGCCAATTTCTCCTTCCTCTCCTGGAGAACCCCTTTTCTTTTCAGCACCATCCCAAGGACGGGATAAAGTCCTGGTGGTTTGCTCTAGTTAACTATTGCTGTGTATCAAACCACTCCAAAACTTAAGTCGTTTAAGACAACAATATACTATGGTTCATGTATATGTTGACTAAGTCAGCCAGGCAGTTCTCGTTTAGGGTCTCTCATGGGCTATATTCAGATAAATGGAGCCCGGATATGGATCACCTAGAGTCTGAATGTGACTGGACCTCCAAGATGAATCATGCACATGGCTGATGGTTGACATTGACTGTCAGCAGCTCAGCTGTGCTGTTATCCAAAGCACCTCCATGTGGCTTCACCAGATGGCCTGGACTTCCCACATGATCGTGGCCAAGTCCCAAGAGGGGGTGGCTCATGCCTGTAATCCCAGCACTTTGGGAGGCCAAGGCAGGCTGATCACCTGAGGTCAGGAGTTCGAGACTAGCCTGGCCAACATGGTGAAACCCCATCTCTACTAAAAAATAAATAAATAAATAAACAAAAAATACAAAAATTAACCAGGAATGGTGGCAGGCACCTGTAATCCCAGCTACTCAGGAGGCTGAGGCAGGAGAATTGCTCAAGCCCGGGAGGGGGAGGTTGTGGTGAGCCAAGATCACGCCACTGCACTCCAGCCTCAGTGACAAGAGCAAGACTGTCTCAAAAAAAAAAAAAAAAAAAAAAAAAAAAACAGAAAATCTATGGAACTCAGCTGTGTCACATACTCAGAAATGTCCCGGTGCTCCCCCCGTGTGCTTTATTTATTTTTATTTTTTTTAAGATAACAGAATTGGAAACCAAACATCAAACTGCTTCCTGGGGGGTCTTCTCTGGACTTATAATTAAGAATAAAAGGTAACCAAAAGAAAGGAGAAAAAGGCATGGAGGGAAAAGTGAAAACGCAACTTAAAAAAAAAAAATGAACATTGAGAGTTTGAATAATTCCAAAACCCTTTCTGTTTAAAAGCAAAGTAAATCTTCCAGAGCATCAAAGCCCTGTAGAGAGCAAATGGGGTTTATAGTGAAGATCCTAAATCCCCAATCTGAAGACTGCCCCTCCCCCACTGGTGCTAAGAGCAGAGGCACCAAGCCATTCACTCGTCCCCTGCAGGAGTAAGTAGGTTTTCCTCCAGCCTGTCGCGGGCTCCTTCCTGAACCATCCGGGAATGTCTCTGCTCTGAGGGTCTCTCTCTCCCCTAAAGAATCCCTGTCCACCTCTGTAGGGGGCATCTGGGAAATGGGTGGAGGACACAGCGGGGCGGCGACTGGCCCCTTCCTTGCTGTGTGGCACAGGGAAATCTGCCCCCACCCTGTGCCCAGGCCCGATCACGCATGAGGCTAAAGACGGTGTGTGTGAAGCTGCTTCCAGTTTCTTGTAGGATTATACAGCTGTAAAGAGGGCCAGGAAGAGAGAGGGGGATATTGTGATTTGCATTTTGCACTCCTGATCTTAAAAAATTTGTATCCCAGCAGGTTTGGGAAAAAGAGCCCTGGATGGAGAGTTTCACAAGCTGGGGTCTGACCTATTTCACCACCCACTAACTGTGGGTCTTCCATTTTCCCACCTCACCAGGCCACGCGGAGAAGCAGCTCTGCTCCCCTCCCTCTGAGGGGTAGGGGGACACCCTCACCCCTCAACCCTTTGAAGCCACTCATTTGTCCCCGGCTGCCTCCTTTCAGGCCACTGTGGGGAGCTGATAAGAAGAAGAGTTTGCAAACGGGCTACCATGGAGAAAATTCACAAGTTGTTTTCCTAAAAAGGGAGGAATTGGAGTGGGGGCGGGCATGGTGGGGGCAGGGCCCGTTCCCTCGGCTCTGGAGGTCTCTATATTCTTTAGCTCTTAATCATTAGATCGGAAAAGGGGGGGAAGGGCAGGCAATGGAGGCAGAGGAGGAGGGAAAGGGGAAGAAAAAAACTCAACAACAACAAAGAGCCAGCCTAACACTCAGGTCCTCGGGGACCCAGAACTCCATTCAGAGTTTTCAGAAAATAGGGTCAGGCATGTCTTGTGACCTGAGACCCCAGAGCTCCTCTGTTCCCCATAATTATCTAATACAGCACTCTCTCTGCCAAATACAATGAAACAATTTGTCACTTCAATTATCTGTCAGTCAACACTGAGGCCTTTTCAGCAGGCCAGCACATGTGTTTGGAGAGCTTGTCAGTGAGGGCTGTCTAGCCAGACCCATAACCACGGAAAATGGAACCTTTGTTAATTCTGGTTCTTAGAAAAGTAAATCCATTCAATTTCTCTCCTCTCGCTCTCTCCTTTTCTAAATGCCTTCAGCTTGGAATTCGCACAAGGAACTGAATTGGTCCTGCTCTGAACTTCGGATGACTGGCCGAAGGATTTGCATGAGGAAGCAGAAATTAATTATTCTTTTCGGGGCTTTTTCCCCCTCGTTTTCTGTAATTCTGTGTTAGAAGCGAGATTACACCCTGCGTTACCAGCGGATGGGGGTGGTGAGGGATAGGGAAGTGGGGGCCGGGCTGGGAGAGGCAAGCGGTTCCTGAGTTCAGCCCCGCCAGCGGCCCTGCTTTCCTTTTCCTTCCCTGCTCTCATGTGGGAAGAAGGCAGCTCCATGCCCGCCGCCAAGGGGAAGGCGGGACATGTGGCTCCCTCCGGAAGGGCGCTCCCCTTCAGGGTCCTGGGGATTCTCCACTTGGAGAAATAAAGGAAAAGGAAATGGGTCATCCCTTGGGCAGAGCCTGACTTCCACTCCTAGACACAGACCTAAGGCTATTTCCTGCCAGGACGCAGAGGCCTCCTCCCCTGTGGGTGGACAGGGACCTCCACGCTGTCAGGGACCTCCTCCCCGTGAGGGCAAAGCAGGTCCATGGCTGAATCATTGAGGCCTGCCTGGGAAGTCTGTACATCAGTGATATTTCCCAGAATGGTCTAACTTTAAATACTCCAGCCCACCGTCAGACCATGTGCGAAGCTGCATGTCTCCATTTGGGGTTGAGAATTTGAAGCTGCTCTAAGACCGGGTGCCAGCACCCAAGCCAGAGGACCCCTCCCGGCTCACAGGGGTCCTCGCACAGAGAGATGCTGGTGTGCTTTGAAGGTGGGAGCTGGGGGTAGGCAGTGGTTTGGTATTTCATAGCTCAATTGTTTCCACAGTAATTGGGTTTTTTTTAGAGACAGGGTCTTGCTCTGTCCCCCAGGCTGGAGTGCATTGGCACCATCGCAGCTCACTACAGCCTCAAACTCCTGGGCTGAATCCTCCCACCTCAGCCTGCCAAGTAGCTGGGACAACAGATGTGCACCACCACACCCAGCTCAATTTTTTTTAATTTTTAATGTATTTATGTATTCATTTATTTTGTAGAGACAGGGTCTCCACAAACGTTATGTTCGTAACATGTTGCCCAGACTGGTCTTGAACTCCTGGCCTCAAGCAATCCTCCCACCTCAGCCTCCCACAGTGCTGGCATTACAGGTGTGAGCCACTACACCCAGACGCCATACTGATTTTCTTCATACATTGACCTATAACAAATAAAATTATAATGTTTTAAAATTTACATCCATGACTTCATATATGCTAAATGCTTTATCCCACTTTAGACTTTTACAGATCCTCTCTATGAGGGCCTGTTTCCTCCCCATCCAACACAAGCCCAAAGCCGGGATCCAGTACTTCCTGCTTCTGGGAGGGTTTCCTTTCCCTCCTTCCAGTCCCAGGACCCAGAACCACCAAAGAACACACATTGGTGTTTTCCAAGGTATTAGAATCGTGTCCCCAGGACATCTGAGAAAACAGGTCCCTGAAAAAGTTCAAATCAAAATCTCTCTCGCCCACAGATGCACTGGAGAGTGTCCATCCTACAGCCTGGCCTCTGTGTCACCAGAATCATTCTTGCCTCTGCCCTTTCTGTCTGCTTTCTCCCCTGCCTCACTTTCTTCCTCTCTTCTTCTCCTTTCTTTCCCTCTTTTTCCATCTGCTTCCTTTCCTGCCTTTTCCCTGCCAGACTTTTCTCTATATTGTTTCCTCATTTATCCTTCCTTAGGATTTTGGCCTCTTCCTGTCTTTTTCCTTTTTGAGTCCAAAGAATTTCACAGCCATCCCTGTAGTGTTGGATTGTACAAAGAGAGAAACCACCCTCTTTTTTCCTTTTTTTTTTTTTTTTTTTTTTTTTTTGAGACAGAGTTTCCCTCTTGTCACCCAGGCTGGAGTGCAATGGCACAATCTTGGTTCACTGCAACCTCCACCTCCTGGGTTCAAGCGATTCTCCTGCCTCACCCTCCCAAGTAGCTGGGATTACAGGTGTGTGCCACCACATCTGGCTAATTTTTGTATTATTAGTAGAGACGGGGTTTCACCATGTTGGCCAGGCTGGTCTCAAACTCCTAACCTCAGGTTATCTGCCCGCTTCAGCCTCCCAAAGTGCTGGGATTACAGGCATGAGCCACCATGCCCAGTCTCTTTTTTCCTATTTTATAGGTAAGAGAATATAAGCCGGAGTGTGGACTCTTAAATTCAGTCATTGCTCAATAAAGAAAGAAATCTGCAACCACCAGGTAGGCCCAGTCCCAGCCAGGCCTGTAATGGGTGTTCCTGCCTCCATCTCACCCCCAGAACAGAGCGCACTTTTCCCCACGTGACTTAGGTGGCAGAAGTCCTCTAACACGCCATCCTGGCAGCCAACATGAACGTGGTCCAAGAGGGAACTGGGTCTTTTTCTCCTGAGCTGTGAGTGGAGCCTCTTTTCAGCTCTCAAGGAAGAGTCCATCTTGGGGGATGTGGCAATGGGGGAAGAAAATCACCTTTCTTTCTAAATGATCTCAAAGTTAACCTGGCCCTACAAAATGAGCACTCACTTTGAGAAGCCACACACTTATTTGAAATGTTTTTGGAAATTAAAACATATAGAAGAGCAGCACAAAAAACATCAGACACATTACTTTCTAAGAACCCCATGTTTTCAAGAGGGGGTTCACATTTCGTGAGCTCCAGCATCATTCTCTGCCTTTTTTCAGATTTTATTCTGATTGACTTGGGGATTTTTCCAAAAATCAAGCCTACCCTTAGTGTAGGAAAATCAGTATAGAAAAAATATATATATATAGCATGCCCTTAGTTTAGGAAACATAGCAACCATTAGGGCAGCATGAAAAGCGACACTGCAATACTGAAAACAATTCCAAAGGCAGAATGTGCCCAGCGGAGCCAACGTCTAGGCAGGAGCAGGATAACTGAAGCATCTTCTGGGAAGGTAGCTGTAGCATTGACACAGAGGCCAAACATCACAGCTGAGAGAAGCAAAAGACCTGATCGAAATTAATACACGAATATCAGGGCTAAAGCTGGGGAGGGGGGTCAGTCTGTTTTCTCTCATCTCTGGGACAGGCACACTATGGCTCTCACCCCACCAACCTTTCCCCAACCTCCATGCTGACCTACTCCCCCTCCCCTGCAAATTCCCTTCATTTAGTTGACATCAGTTTTTAACCTTTCACCTCCAGCGACATCTACTGTTTGCTCTTTGGGAAACAGAGTGACATGGTTGCCCCGTCTCCTGGTCACTCCCCAGAGAAAAGGGGCAGAAAGAGAACTGGCCTGAATGAGCAACACAGGCCGGGAGCTGTGTCTAATCCCATCTCCAGCCCTGCACAATTTAGAAGCCTTTCCCAAGGAGCCCTTGAGACCACAGCTGATTCTTCCTGTCTCACAAACGCTGCCTTTCCAGCAGACGTTTTGATTTTCTCATCCTACCCTTAGATAGTCGACTTTCCTCCACACAGCCGATCTCCCTGTAAGCCTAGGAAAGAAGAAAATATAGGCCAGGTGTGGGGGCTCACGCCTGTAATTCCAGCACTTTGGGAGGCCAAGGTGGGTGGATCACAAGGTCAAGAGTTTGAGACCAGCCTGGCCAACATAGTGAAACCCCATCTCTATTAAAAATACAAAAAATTAGCTGGGTGTGGTGGTGGGTGCTTGTAATCCCAGCTACTCAGGAGGCTGAGGCAGGAGAATCGCTTGAACCCGGGAGGCAGAGGTTACAGTGAGCTGAGATTGCGCCACTGCATACCAGCCTGGGTGACAGTGCAAGACTCCATCTTTAAAAAAAAAAAAAAAAGAAAGAAAGAAAAGAAAATATATTTGGGGAGAGTGGTAACAACCTAATGTGGTGAATTCAAGGAACACAGCCAGACTGTCAAGAAAATCCTTCCAGGAAAAGAAGAGGGGGACCCAGAGGAAGAAAGGTCAAGCTCTGAGCAAGTGTTCCATGGCTCCTCTGGTCATCCTGTGTCTGAGACACCCAGAGACTTGGGGACCAGCCTGAAATCCCTTTGTGCTACATTCATTTGAGTAATCGAGGTTTTAATTCTTTCCTTAGACTCCACTCCACTTAGCTTTCTCTGGCTTTAATCACAAAATGTCCAAAAATTGGAATGTGTGCCATTTCTCTTGGGTGACTCCACAGAGTAAATATTTTTTATACAATTTATCCAGAAACCCAGAGATGTTGGCTGAAACCAGTCCAAATGCAATTTTGCCACCACCCTCCTGAGAAACAGTGAATAAAGCTCCTTGGGTTGTGAAGCAAAATTACTTGACAGGCAACAATGCGAAATTTTTAAATACGTGCTTCATCGAACTCAGGCAGTATAAACTATTTCAAACTATTTTTACATCTAGGGTAGTAAGCACGGTAAAAGAAAAAATTATCCAGCGACACTTATTAAAGCACAGTGAGACACTTTATTCAGGACCACCACCGTAGGTACACAGACCACTGCAGTGAGGTCTTGCAGTGGGGGAGGGAGATGGGGTTCAACTCCCGATAGATCATGGGCGAGTGGCAATTGCTAGCCAACGAGCAGTGTGGGCTTCAGGAGATGAAAAGTTACTAAGAGGAAACTCAGAGGTGAGAGGGACAATGGTACACTGACCTAACAGGATTTTTGCTGAAGACAGGCTGGGGTGATCAGGCATCACCTGGGGATGGTGGAGGATGAGAGATCTGATCATATATTGAGGGTGGGGGTTTGGGCTAAACTAACTTGGCAGGGCTCTTCTGCCAACGCTGGATTTTATAAGGAAGTGCACTTATAGGCCTAGGAGGAGTTTCAGAAGATGGACTAAAGTTTGGCCAAGCAAAAGAAACTTTGTCAGTCCCCACTCTTGTTCAAGGAAAAAAGAAACATTCTTCTTTTCATTGAATAATATTAAAGCAGCCTCATTGTCTGGAATAACAGCTGAGGTTCGTTGTCTCACAGCCACAGAGAACAAGGACGCAGACACACAAAGTGTAAGGTTGAGAGTGGAAGTTTAATAGGCGAAAGAAAGAGATAGCTCTCTGCTATAGAGTGGGGTCCCAGAAAAATGGGTTGCTGGATCTGCAGTGAAATGCAGCCACGGTGGGAGTGTGGTGGGGGGTGTTATGGTGTCTGATTTACATAGGGCGTGAAAAACTGGTTGGACCCAGTGTTCCATTTGCATAGAGTGTGAATCTCTGGCTGCCCCCATCCCAATCTTTTATTATGCAGGCAGGTTCTCTGCCTGAGCTTCCCCATGTTGCCCATTTCTTTATTACTGTACACCTGGTAATAAAAAAAAGGGAAGATGGAGCCTCCATGGTGGACATGCCTGGCCCCCAGGTATCCCTTTTCTATTGGCACAGCTGCTGGCATTCCTCCGAGCAAGCTTCCAGCTTGCTTATCTATGTCTGCAGCTCAATTTTTCAGGCTGCTCTTTTTTAGAAAAGAAATGCTTTTGGGGAATGCTTTTTGCTAGAGGGAAGAAGCTCTGTCAGGAGTCTTTTGCCCTCACTATCTGCCTAAATAACTTCTTTCTACCTCCTCTATCAATATAAGGCTATTTTCCTTCTTGGTTGCCTTTTGCTCACGAAGGACCAGCTGGCTCATTTCTTGGGATCTGGTAGTGAGGAAGATCTCCTGGATGGTGTGAGCCTTTAATCAGGGGAGCTTAATTTCCATGAAAATAAAAGAAAAACAAAGATTACTACCTGGAACAAACTATAAACTCAGGTTTATACAAACTCAGAGAGCAGCCAATCAAGAAAATTTCTAGATGCTGGGCTTCAAGCATCTGCAGTTGGAGTAAGGCAGAGGCAGGAAGTGGCAAATGACAGATTTTCCTGGTTTACAGTTTTGAGTGTCACAAAGGTTGTCCGTACATACACAGTTGTGGTGATCTCTTTCAAGTTTATATCAAGACCTCAAGCTTCAGCTTGCAGGACTACAAAAAAGAGCAGTTTTACCTTCAGTGATTTCAAGTCAGAAGGGTGGGAGAAAATCAGAAATATTAATTTGGAGAATTGTAGCTAGACATTGGAGGAAACTAGAATTTAGGATGCAGTCCAGATTACAGGCAGATAATAAAACTTCAGAGAAAATAAAGAGGGCTAGACTCTAATGTTGGGTACACTATAGTTTTCTTCTGAAAGATAATTTTTCTTTTAACAGTCACCCCCATTTCTAACAAGATGATCAAAATAAGACTGATTTGTTTGCAAAATAACTTTGGTCTCATTAAACTTGATTATTTACATAACTGCATCACTATTCTTACATATATACATAAGTGTAAGAATTATGATTGACTATATCGGCTTCTGTTAATTTTGATGGAACTTTTGATGAGGAATCTCAGATTGGACTTGTAAAAGCCTCTCAAAGACAGGAAGCCACACAAAGGACTTGCCATAAAGCTATGTCTGTAACACCTATAGTTTTGAATGAATTCCTTTCTTCTCAAGATCCCCAAAATATCCTGTTTCTTATGCCAGCCAGGAAGTGACATTCCTGACTCACCTGTAAGGCCAGGAACTCTCAGGCCAGTTTTTCAAAAAGAGAGCTTTATTGACTCCATAAAGTCAGGCTTAGTTTCTTAAAGCTCTTTGGTCATAGCTGAAATATGACATTCCAGTGAAAGCCTTGGTAATATAACCAGTGTTTCCAATTGTGTCCTGTTACAAAAAGAACAGATTCTTATTGAAATGAAGCAAATTACTACATTGCCATAAAAATAAGAATACTCACAAATAGTTTCCTAATTCTAGAAGGATTGGGTATGGAGAAAAAATAAATCTTTCAACTTTTGTTCACAAAAGTATACTTTACCAAATTGCTGTAAGCTATCAATAGCTTTTAAAAGCTTCCTTAAATCTGAAAAACAAAACTTTTGAAGAATCAACAATATTTCCAATGAAAAGTCACTTAAAAATTATCCTCATCAGTTCATTCAATCCCATGTAATTAATTCTTGTTCTGCTTGATCTTGGGACAGCAGTTTCATGAACCCATTGGTTTCATTAGATTTCTGGAAATTCTTATCCAGTTCAATGGTATGATCTTAAAGTTATCAGAAACCTATATTTGTCAGAGTTTCTTTTATAAATCTCCTTGAAGATACAGCATTTTAGGATTGTAGTTGCTTACAAAGAAAAAAATTTTCAGAATAAAGCACTTAACTGTGGACAACAAGACTTCAAATGGCTATGATTAAAGTTCTGATGTGAGTTCAGTGTAATAATGGCACAACTCACAATGAATTTGTGAGTTTCTAGTATTTCCTAGAAATACTACATTTCTAGGAATCTCATGCAATTTTTGGAACACTCATATCAATAACACATCCATAAATATAACTTAAAGAACATTTAGCATCACTTATTATTTGACAATGCTTCCCATATAATTTAACATATCAAATAAGCCTAATTAGTTTAATAGCTCTATTTTCCAAAGTGAAAGATACATCCTTCAAGGCTTTCCTGAGGCCCAATTAAGTCAAAAAGACTTAATTTAGAACTTGATTTGGGTTTGTCCAGAATATCAAAGGTTTAAAACACTTGATTAGGCCAGGCATGGTGGCTCACACCTGTAATCCCAGCACTTCAGGAAGCCAAGGCAGGTGGATCACCTGAGGTCAGGAGTTCCAGACCAGCCTGGCCAACATGGTGAAACCCCATCTCTACTAAAAATACAAAAATTATCCAGGCATGGTGGTGGGTGCCTATAATCCCAGCTACTGGGGAGGCTGAGGCAGGAGAATCGCTTGAACCAGGAAGGTGGAGGTTGCAGTGAGCCGAGATGGCACCACTGCACTCAAGGCTGGGCAATAGACCGAGACTCAGTCTCAAAAAATATATAAATAAATAAATAAAACACTTGATTAAATATTAGTTATCTATTTAATTGAACTGATAATGAAAGATTTTAAATGTAAATACAGAAGGTGACGTACTTACGAACAAAAATTTAGCTCTTTTAATATTGAGAAGACCCAATTTTCTTAAGTAATCAAAGAACCAATAAAATACAACATTAAGCACAAGAAATTATCTTGATAAAACACATAATCTTTGTTTCCTAGGCCAGTTACATAAAAGGTAAGGAAAACCCTTCACATTCTCAGACCAATATGCCAAAAAAAACTTTGTCATTTTAATAGAGAAGACCAAAGTTTGTTTTGCATCAGTACACTACTAAAACAAATTTTTAATGAAACCTTATAAATGAATATATCTGGCAGTTTTGACTACACAAGATTTTCATAGCTCTTTAACAACCTCTTTTTTTTTAACTTTTGCAACTAACATGCATCAGGCAACTCATTTGTACTGTGTATTGTGTTTAATGTGTCTATGATTTTAAACATCTAAGCAGAGACAACACAAACCTGTCTGACCAGCATAAGCATGCAAGAATGTCTGTATTATATTTAATGCTGACAATTCTAAAGACATTCTTATTTTAACTAATTATTTAATTAATTTTTTTAGAGATGGGAGTTTCTCTAGTAGGTCCAGGCTGGAGTGCAGTGGCTATTCACAGGCATGACCATGGCTCACTACAGCCTTGAACTTCTGGGCTCAAGCAATCCTCCTGCCTTAGCTTCCCAAGTAACTGGACCACTGTACCAGGTTTCCTACTTTTATTTTACCAATAATTTTTAAACTAACTTTTATTTACCAAAGATTATCTCAGATCATATTAACTTTAAAACTTGGGGGCACTTTCCATTTTTCTGAGACTTTTATGAATATTTAATTTATCTGAGCATCATTTATACCTAAATCAACTTGGCATTTTAGTTGGTAATTAGCTGGCATTTAGTTGGTGGTAGAAAAATACCATGTATACATAACATAGAAACTAAATACATATACATGTACACAAACATAAACATACAGACAGATGCAACCAAATCCTATTGTTTTTCATTTAAAAATTCTTATCATGAAGCAATAAAACAGAGTAATAAAAACTCACTGGTTTATCGCCACTTATACTTTTTTTTTATTATACTTTAAGTTCTAGGGTACATGTGCACAACGTGCAGGTTTGTTACATATGTATACATGTGCCATGTTGGTGTGTTGCTCCCGTTAACTCATCATTTACATTAGGTATATCTCCTAATGCTATCCCTCCTCCTTCCCCCAACCCTATGACAGGCCCTGGTGTGTGACATTCCCCACCCTGTGTCCAAGTGCTCTAATTGTTCAATTCCCACCTATGAGTGAGAACATGCAGTGTTTGGTTTTCTGTCCTTGTGACAGTTTGCTGAGAATAATGGTTTCCAGCTTCATCCATGTCCCTACAAAGGACATGAACTCATCCTTTTTTATGGCTGCATAGTATTCCATGGTGTATATATGCCACATTTGCTTAATCCAGTCTATCGTTGATGGACATTTGGGTTGGTTCCAAGTCTTTGCTATTGTGAATAGTGCCATAATAAACATACGTGTGCACATGTCTTTATAGTAGCATGATTTATAATCCTTTGGGTATATGCCCAGTAATGGGATGGCTGGGTCAAATGGTATTTCTAGCTCTAGATCCTTGAGGAGTCACCACACTGTCTTCCACAATGGTTGAACTGGTTTACAGTCCCACCAACAGTGTAAAAGTGTACCTATTTCTCCACATCCTCTCCAGCACCTGTTGTTTCCTGACTTTTTAATGATTGCCATTCTAACTGGTGTGAGATGGTATCTCATTGTGGTTTTGATTTGCATTTCTCTGATGGCCAGTGATGATGAGCATTTTTTTCTGTGTCTGTTGGCTGCATAAATGTCTTCTTTTGAGAAGTGTCTGTTCATATCCTTCACCCACTTTTTGATGGGGTTGTTTGATTTTTTTCTTGTAAATTTGTTTAAGTTCTTTGTAGATTCTGGATATTAGCCCTTTGTCAGATGGGTAGATTTTGAAAATTTTCTCCCATTCTGTAGGTTGCCTGTTCACTCTGATGGTAGTTTCTTTTGCTGTGCAGAAGCTCTTTAGTTTAATTAGACCCCATTTGTCAATTTTGGCTTTTGTCACCATTGCTTTTGCTGTTTTAGTCATGAAGTCCTTGCCCATGCCTATGTCCTGAATGGTACTGCCTAGGTTTTCTTCTAGGGTTTTTATGGTTTTAGGTCTAACATTTAAGTCTTTAATCCATCTTGAATTAATTTTTGTACAAGATGTAAGGAAGGGATCCAGTTTCAGCTTTTTACATACGGCTAGCCAGTTTTCCCAGCAACATTGATTAAATAGGGAATCCTTTCCTCATTTCTTGTTTTTGTCAGGTTTGTCAAAGATCAGATGGTTGTAGAAGTGTGCTATTATTTCCAGGGGCTCTATTCTGTTCCATTGGTCTATATCTCTGTTTTGGTACCAGTACCATGCTGTTTTGGTTACTGTAGCCTTGTAGTATAGTTTGAAGTCAGGTAGCGTGATGCCTCCAGCTTTGTTATTTTTGCTTAGGATTGTCTTGGCAATGTGGGCTCTTTTTTGGTTCCATATGAACTTTAAAGTAGTTTTTTCCAATTCTGTGAAGAAAGTCATTGGTAGCTTGATGGGGATGGCACTGAATCTATTAATTACCTTGGGCAGTATGGCCATTTTCACAATATTGATTCTTTCTATTCATGAGCATGGAATGTTCCTCCATTTGTGTCCTCTTTTATTTCGTTGAGCAGTGGTTTGTAGTTCTCCTTGAAGAGGTCCTTCACATCCCTTGTAAGTCGGATTCCTAGGTATTTTATTCTCTTTGAATTAGTTGTGAATGGGAGTTCACTCATGATTTGGCTGTCTGTGTGTTATTGGGGTATAGGAATGCTTGTGATTTTTGCACATTGATTTTGTATCCTGAGACTTTGCTAAAGTTGCTCATCAGCTTAAGGAGATTTTGGGCTGAGATGATGGGGTTTTCTAAATATATAATCATGTTATCTGCAAACAGGGACAATTTGACTTCCTCTTTTCCTAATTGAATACCCTTTATTTCTTTCTCCTGCCTGATTGCCCTGGCCAGAATTTCCAACACTATGTTGAATAGGAGTGGTGAGAGAGGGCATCCCTGTCTTGTGCCAGTTTTCAAAGGGAAAGCTTTCAGTTTTTGCCCATTCAGTATGATATTGGCTGTGGGTCTGTCATAAATCGCTCTTATTATTTTGAGATACTTTCCATCAATACCTAGTTTATTGAGAGTTTTTAGCATGAAGGGCTGTTGAATTTTGTTGAAGGCCTTTTCTGCATCTATTGAGATAACCATGTGGTTTTTGTCTTTGGTTCTGTTTATATGATGGATTATGTTTACTGATTTGCCTATGTTGAACCAGCCTTGCATCCCAGGGATGAAGCCAACTTGATCATGGTGGATAAGCTTTTTGATGTGCTGCTGGATTCGGTTTGCAAGTATTTTATTAAGGATTTTTGCATTGATGTTCATCAGGGATATTGGTCTAAAATTCTATTTTTTTGTTGTGTCTCTGCCAGGCTTCGGTATCAGGATGATGCTGGCCTCATAAAATGAGTTAGGGAGGATTCCCTCTTTTTCTATTGATTGGAATAGTTTCAGAAGGAATGGTACCAGGTCCTCTCTGTACCTCTGGTAGAATTCGGCTGTGAATCCATCTGGTCCTGGACTTTTTTTGGTTGGTAGGCTATTAATTATTGCCTTAATTTCATAACCTATTATTGGTCTATCCAGTGATTCAACTTCTTCCTGGTTTAGTTTTGGGAGGGTGTACGTGTCCAGGAATTTATCCATTTCTTCTTGATTTTCTAGTTTATTTACATACAGGTGTTTATAGTATTCTCTGATGATAGTTTATATTTCTGTGGGATCTGTGGTGATATCCCCTTTATCATTTTCTATTGTGTCTATTTAATTCTTCTCTCTTTTTTTCTTTATTAGTCTTGCTAGCAGTCTATCAATTTTGTTGATCTCTTCAAAAAACCAGCTCCTGGATTCATTGATTTTTTGAAGGGTTTTTTGTGTCTCTATCTCTTTCAGTTCTGCTCTGATCTTAGTTATTTCTTGCCTTCTGCTAGCTTTTGAATGTGTTTGCTCTTTCTTCTCTAGTTCTTTTAATTGTGATGTTAGGGTGTCAATTTTAGCTCTTTCCTGCTTTCTCTTGTGGGCATTTAGTGCTATAAATTTCCCTCTACACACTGCTTTAAATGTGCCGCAGAGATTCTGGTATGTTGTGTCTTTGTTCTCATTGGTTTCAAAGAACATCTTTATTTCTGCCTTCATTTCATTATGTATCCAATAGTCATACAGGAGCAGGTTGTTCAGTTTCCATGTAGTTGAGCAGTTTTGAGTGAGTTTCTTAATCCTGAGTTCTAGTTTGATTGCACTGTGTTCTGAGAGACAGTTTGTTATAATTTCTGTTCTTTTACATTTGCTGAGGGGTGCTTTACTTCTAATTATGTCGTCAATTTTGGAATAGATGTGGTGTGGTGCTGAAAAGAATGTATATTCTGTTGATTTGGGGTGGAGAGTTCTGTAGATGTCTATTAGGTCCACTTGCTGCAGAGCTGAGTTTAATTCCTGGATACACTTGTTAACTGTCTGTCTCGTTGATCTGTCTAATGCTGACAGTGGGGTATTAAAATTTCCCATTATTATTGTGTGGGAGTCTAAGTCTCTTTGTAGGTCTCTAAGGACTTGCTTTATGAATCTGGGTGCTCCTGTATTGGGTACATATATATTTAGGATAGTTAGCTCTTCTTGTTGAATTGATCCCTTTACCATTATGTAATGGCCTTGTCTCTTTTGATCGTTGTTGGTTTAAAGTCTGTTTTATCAGAGACTAGGATTGCAACCCCTGCTTTTTTTTGTTTTCCATTTGCTTGGTAGATCTTCCTCCATCCCTTTATTTTGAGCCTATGTGCGTCTCTGCAGGTCAGATGTGTCTCCTGAATACAGCACACTGATGGGTCTTGACTCTTTTTCCAATTTGGCAGTCTGTGTCTTTTAATTGGAGCATTTAGCCCATTTACAATTAAGGTTAATATTGTTATGTGTGAATTTGATCCTGTCATTATGATATTAGCTGGTTATTTTGCTCGTTAGTTGATACAGTTTCTTCCTAGCATTGATGGTCTCTACAATTTGGCATGTTTTTGCAGTGGTTGGTACCAATTGTTCCTTTCCATTTTTAGTGCTTCCTTCAGGAGCTCTTGTAAGGCAGGCCTGGTGGTTACAAAATCTCTCAGCATTTGTTTGTCTATAAATCATTTTATTTCTCCTTCACTTATGAAGCTTAGTTTGGCTGGATGTGAAATTCTGGGTTGAAAATTCTTTTCTTTAAGAATGTTGAATATTGGCCCCCACTCTCTTCTGGCTTGTAGAGTTTCTGCCGAGAGATCTGCTATTAGTCTGATGGGCTTCCCTTTGTGGGTAACCCGACCTTTCTCTCTGGCTGCCCTTGACATTTTTTCCTTCATTTCAACTTTGGTGAATCTGACAATTATGTGTTTTGGAGTTGCTCTTCTCGAGGAGTATCTTTATGGTGTTCTCTGTATTTCCTGAATTTGAATGTTGGCCTGCCTCGCTAGTTTGTGGAAGTTCTCCTGGATAATATCCTGCGGAGTGTTTTCCAACTTGGTTCCATTCTTCCCGTCACTTTCAGGTACACCAATGAGATGTAGATTTGGTCTTTTCACATAGTCCCATATTTCTTGGAGGCTTTGTTCATTTCTTTATACTCTTTTTTCTCTAAACTTCTCTTCTCACTTCATTTCATTCATTTGATCTTCAATCACTGATACTCTTTCTTCCACTTGATCAAATCAGCTACTGAAGCTCGTACATGCATCATGTAGTTCTCGTGCCATGGTTTTCAGCTCCATCAGGTCATTTAAGGACTTCTCTACACTGTTTATTCTAGTTAGCCATTCGTCTAATCTTTTTTCAAGGTTTTTAGCTTCTTTGCAATGGGTTCGAACATCCTCCTTTAGCTTGGAGAAGTTTGTTATTACCTATTGTCTGAAGCCTTTTTCTCTCAACTCATCAAAGTCATTCTCCATCCAGCTTTGTTCCATTGCTGGTGAGGAGCTGTGTTCCTTTGGAGGAGAAGAGGCGCTCTGAATTTTAGAATGTTCAGCTTTTCTGCTCTGGTTTCTCCCCATCTTTGTGGTTTTATCCACCTTTGGTCTTTGATGATGGTGACGTACAGATGGGGTTTTGGTGTGGATGTCCTTTCTGTTTGTTAGTTTTCCTTCTCTCAGCTGCAGGTCTGTTGGAATTTGCTGGAGGTCCACTCCAGACACTGTTTGCCTGGGCATCACCAGCAGAGGCTGCAGAACGGCAAATATTGTAGAACAGCAAATGTTGCTGTCTGATCCTTCTTCAGGAAGCTTCATCTCAGAGGGGCACCTGGCTGTATGAGATGTCAGATGGCCCCTACTGGGAGGTGAATTCCAGTTAGGCTACTTGGGGGACAGGCACCACTTGAGGAGGCAGTCTGTCTGTTCTCAGATCTCAAACTCCATGCTGGGAGAAGGACTACTCTCTTCAAAGCTGTCAGACAGGGACATTTAAGTCTGCAGAAGTTTCTGCTGCCTTTTGTTCAGCTATGCCCTGCCCCCAGAGGTGGAGTCTACAGAGGCAGGCAGGCTTCCTTGAGCTGTGGTGGGCTCCACCCAGTTCAAGCTTCCAGGCCGCTTGGTTTACTTACTCAAGCCTCAGCAATGGCGGACACCCCTCCCCCAGCCTTGCTGCCACCTGGCAGTTCAATCTCAGACTGCTGTGCTAGCAATGAGCAAGGCTCCGTGGGCGTGGGACCCTCCAAGCCATGCGTGGGATATAATCTCCTGGTGTGCCATTTGCTAAGCCCAAGCGCAGTATTACGGTGGGAGTGTCCTGATTTTTCAGGTACCATCTGTCATGGCTTCCCTTTGCTAGGAAAGGGAATTCCCTGACCCCCTGTGCTTCCCTGGTGAGGCAATGCCCCACTCTGCACCCACTGTCTGACAAGCCCCAGTGAGATGAACCCAGTACCTCAGTTGGAAATGCAGAAATCACCGTCTTCTGTGTCGCTCATGCTGGAAGCTGCAGACTGGAGCTGTTCCTATTTGGCCATCTTGGAACCTCCCTCCTCCACTTATATTTTTATTCGAATTGTGTTTGTAATGAAAACAGGACAAGTTGAGGTTACCTACTCAATAAGGGCTAAAGCTTTTAACCAATACTTGTAGAGAAGACTCCTTCAATTCTTCATTTGCCTAACTTCCAAGTAGTTCCCTTTTTTCTTTTTAGCCTCAGGTGTTTGCTTTGGGGGCCCTCCGAGTCCCTTGAGAGCCCCCAGTGGAGGGTAGAGGGGCCTGAAGTTCAAGTGACTGAGGGGCTGAAGTGGGGAAGGAAAGGGTCTGGCAGGGTGTGGACAGAGTTGGCAGAGCATACAGGCAGCAGGGGTTCAAGAAGAGGGTTTTCAGGTGGCAGAGAAGCTTCCATGGGAGAAGCAGGAACTGACAGAGAGAATAGAGACAACAGAGAGGCCTCACAGACAGTCAGGAAGAACTTCCAGCCCAGGGAGTCAGAGAATAATCCCTCCTCAGAACAAGGAGCTAGGAAGATGACCTTCTAGCCCAGGAGGTAGCTGTCAAAAGTAGCCTGGGGGCCTGGTGCAGTGGCTCATGCTTGGAATCCCAACACCTTAGAAGGCCAAGGTGGGAAAATCATTTGAGACCAAAAGCTTGGGAACAGCCTAGGCAACATAGTGAGACCCCATCTCTACAAAAAAATATAAAAATTAGCCAGGCATGGTGGTACATGCCTGTACTCCCAGGAGTACTGTCAGGAGTGAAGACAAAGGTTTCAAAGGCACACACTTAGGGTCCTGAGTGAGAGGTTCAAGCATCGAATAATGAATCTAATCTTATCCAAGTTATGACACCATAGCTGTTAAGGAAGAAATTATTCAATGATGCTTATTAAAGTACAGTAAGGAACACTTTATTCTGGACCATGGTGATAGGTATAGGGAACACTGAAATAGGATCTTGCAGTGGGGGACAGAGATGGAGCTCAATTCCCAATACAGCATGGGCAAGTGGGAACTGATAGACAAGGAGCAGTGTAGGGGTCAGTGGATGGAAAATTACTAAGAGGAAAAACACAGGGAGAAAGCTGATTCTGGGTAACCAACCTAGCAGGATTCCTGCTGAAGATATCACCTGGGGGATAGTGGGGGATCAGGAACCTAATCCGAAATTGCGGGTGGGGGCTGCTGGCTAACCTGATTTAGCAGGGTTCTTTTGCTAAACCTGAATTTTACAAGGAAGTGCATAGATGGGTCCATGAGAAGGTTCCAAAGCCAGACTAAAGTTTGGCCAACCAAAGAATCTTTGTCAGAATTACCTGAGTTCAATGAATTTTAAAACTCAATTTATAATTAATTATCTGCTTTTTATTATCAATATCCCAACTAAATAAAAATGATCTATGATCATATAAAGTGAGTGCAGCTTTGGGGGAGGTTGTTACCCAGCCAGGAGCAGAGAAAAGGACAGCCAGGTATAAAAGCCAGAGGTCACAAAGCCTGGCTTCTCGTCCTAGGTCTGCTTCCAAGTAGTTAAGTGTCTTTAGGCAAGTTAGTGATGATAACAAGTTATTAAATACAATAAATTTTTTTTGAGATGGAATCTTGTTCTGTTACCCAGGCTGGAGTGCAGTGGTGTGATCTCAGCTCACAGCAACCTCCGTCTCCTAGGTTCAAGTGATTCTCCTGCTTCAGCCTCTCCAGTAGCTGGGATTACAGGTGCATGCCACCATGCCTGGCTAATTTTTATAGTTTTAGTAGAGATGGGGTTTCACCATGTTGGCCAGGCTGGTCTCAAACTCCTGGCCTCAAGTGATCTGCCCATGTCGGCCTCCCAAAGTGCTGGGATTACAGGCATGAGCCACTGCACCTGGCCCAAAGATAATAATTAATTCATAGAATATGGAAATAAAAACTAGTGGATTGCCTTACTCACAGGTCTGATGTGAATGTCTAATGTATGTATGTATGTATGTAATATCACTTTCTAGATTTACAAGTGAGCTGGCTTAGCTGGTGTTCACCCTAGTACAGGTATTTGGTTTGTTTGTTTGTTTGGAGACAAGGTCTTGCTCTGTTGCCTAGGCTTAAGTGCAGTGGCATGATCATAGTTCACTGCAGTCTTGAAATCCTGGGCTCAAGTGATCCTTCCACCTGAACCTCCCAAGTAGCTGGGACTACTGGTGCACGCCACCATGCCCAGCTAATTTTTTTTATTATTTATAGGGACAAGGTCTTGCTATGTTGTTTGGGCTGAATCAAACTCCTGGGCTCAAGTGATCCTCCCATGTCAGCCTCCCAAAATACTGGGATTACAAACATGAGCCATTGTGCCCAGCTCCAATACAGATTTTAAGGAATCAAACAAATGAAAGATATTACTATTATTATTATTTAGTCTTCAAAGCGTATAAGCAATCTTGAATGTGGATGTAATCAAACATATTTGGGATAAACATATGTGTCACATATAAACTCACACAAACACATCTACTCAGTCGTGTCCTGGTCCAACTCTTTTGGAAATGGACTCATCAGACCTGTCACAATATGGAGGAAATATTTGAAGTCGATTTTAATCCATTCCCCTGGCCACAGTCATTTTTTTAATCGTCGAATCTGAAATGTTGATCTCAAAATACTATCACTTTTTTTTACGCAGACTTCATCTTCAGAGCAATTTTAAATTGAAAGAGAGAGAAACACATATTTTTCATTCTCTCCTTTATGGCGATCCAGTCTCCAGCCTGGAGGGAGTGGAAAGTAGCAATAAGGAAGATCAGATGGCGTGAACATAAAACTTGAGGTGGCTTCTAATGACTTTACCAAAAAGCAAATTCAAGTATTTCCCCACATTTAGCCATCTCAGCAAGAAGGGAGGGCAAAACTCCTAGAAGTAGAAAGCGAGGGATTTAGTGTGCCTTGAAAACTAACAGGTATTTCAAGGACACTGAAGCAGCAAGTGAGAAGGAAGCTGGGAGCTCTGATTTGGGGTGGTTCTGCAGAACAATGCCGCTATTGGAGAGCACTTGTGGGGGCCCCTGGGCTGTGAAAGACCACTGATAGACATGCAAATGGAAGGGGCCTGAATAGACGTTGCAAAGCTGGGTTTCTGCGGGCTGGGCGGAGAAAGCTTTGGGGAGATAGTGGAAAGCAATGCCTCGAGCCAAAAATAACGCTTGCGCTTGCGCTGTGAGGACATTTAGGTCGAGCTGAAATGAGCCATTAAACGCTTTTTTTTAAGTGCCTTTGGATCTGAAAGGGCAGTAATAATGCAAATTCGAAGTTTGCCTTAGTTAATTGGGTAGAGGACCCATCAATTAATCAGAGAGGCAGAAAACTATTATGTAGTTAACACTTTTTAAAAAGAGTCCTACTGATAAAATGCATTTCAAAAAAAATTCTACAGCTCCGTCTGAATCTGACAACATGAAAAAGAGTAAGAAGGCCTTTATGTAACGTCTCGAATTCACCTGGGCTGAGATACACAGCCAGATCGGTAGTTAGAGGTTGCTAAACTCTCAGGAAGGGGTTAGAGAGCCCTCCAGTGCCTGGAAAGGCCTTTTCTTGGCCGGATCTCCTAGGGGACTGCCCCAGGGGATGGCAGAGAGTGGCCGGTGTCCCACGCCCCTCCACAGGCTGAACCCCTAGAAACTTCGCCAGGAACTAGCTCACCGAAGGCCCCTGGGACAAGCTGAAGGAGTCGCCGCTAACCTCAAGTGCAGGGGGAGCAGAATGAGGAAAATAATCCTCAAGACAGCTTCCGGATATCTGGTGTTAGTCTAACTATCCAGAACTTTGGCTTCCTGCCCGGTAAAAAGGAAATTTACAAACTGCAAATGTCTTTTATTATTAATAACTTTTTTTTATTCAAAAAGTACACCTGGTATATTTCTTCTTGACTTTTGAGTTAACGTTTGTTAAAAATTGTTTTAGTGTTGTGTATCCATTTCTGTCTCAAAAGAACGTGTAAAAAGAAATTTCACTAGAAAGAATAATGTGTAAATGAGGGAAGTGGAATGTGAGTTAGAGCTGTGTGAAGTGAAATTTTTCAACATTTTTTTTCCATGAAGTTCACATTCAGCGAAGTAATTATTTCTGGAAAAAAATTACCAGCTGAAATGTTTAAATACATATTTTGATCAAAAATGTATTTCTTAACACACATAGCTAATGACCCATATTTTTGAGAACTATGACCACCCTATCCTAGATTTTGCCTTATAAAATAAAGACCTCCTGAGAAAAACTTAAGAAACAAAACCTCCATATCAACCTACCTTGTTTTCCTCCTGATTCAGTAACACCCAGGAAATGTCATTCCTCTAACTTCCAAGTGCAGTTTATTGTGATTAGTATTATTGCTGTTATTATTATTAATATTATTTTAGTATTATTGCTGTTATTATTATTAATACTATTAATAATATTATTTTTGTTTTTGAAAGGACCCTGTTTTCATCCACCCCAACCCTCCTTCCCAAACTTTCTAGATCCATTCAAAGGGCATTCAGGGAGTGTATATTCAGGGTAACTTGCAGCTATGCTGGAAAGGGAGCGAGGGGGTAGGGAAGATGTGTTTCAAGGCCCAGGAAGTCAACAGCCTAGAAACCTGGGAATGGGTTAGAGAGCTCTGTTGCATCTTGGGAAGTATAATTCCTATAAGTAATTTCTTGTAGGCTTGGGGCAAAACAGGAGATGCCCAGCTAAAAGGGCTTGCAGGAGACTGTTTTTTTCCCCACCTTTCCCATTGGTCCAGTCTACTTAACAACCAGAAAATGAGATAGGAGACAGACTTCAGTAGAGCAAAACCACCCCATGGGAAAACATGCTAAATTGTGAGGTCGTATTATTTAGGATCTTTGGTTATTGCTATGGTAGGGTTGACCAGAACTCCCTTTTCTTATCTGTCCTATACTCAAGGAAATCCCTTTCCTTTAAAAAAAAAATATGTGATTTGTAAATAGCACCATACCTCTAGACAAGGAAAGAAAAGAGCCTTTACAGGTAGCAATGTGGTTCCTGTCATATAATCCTGGCTCAAAAAAAATACCACTCCTTGCTTTTACAAAAATATATGTTTACCTGCTTTCAAATAGGATCTTAGAAAACTCTATACACTTTTTGCAATTAATGAACTATTCTTCACAATAATCAAGCAACTTTAATTCTTAATCTGTGCCACAAAACTTACCATTTTGCTTACTGAGCTCCTGGCCTCCCTCAGAAGAAATCACAACCACATGGCAAAAGTCAACCTTGCCCAAACAATGCTGCCTTCTCCACATCGTGTCTAAGCCTGTGCACATGCACAGGGTCCCTGCTGTGGAAGCAGCTATGAACCGTGAGTACACATTATCAAGATTCCTGGTTAAACATGAAGGACTGGACATATATATTATTCTCTTCTTCCCTGATAAGACCAAGGAATCTGAAGAGACATAGAATAATGAAAAAAATGTTGGAAGCTGGAAAGCAGATGGCTTGGTGGTCCACAAAAAGCTGAATAGTAAAAGTGGAGAAATACAAGCAGCAACTCGGATTACACACAGAACGTTCAACAATTAGCACCAGTGGGAGTAAAGATGGGGCTAAAAACAGGAGGAAATGCTAAGAGATTCTGAGACCTCACTGAGCAAGTGCTCCTTCCCTGACCCTGGCAGATAATCAGAGATTTGTTCCCTGAAGAGTGTAGAACTTAGGGTCTCAAGACCACAGAACCCCAAGGCATGGTGGCGGTAGGGGAAGTACTGAAACTAGAGGGCTAAAGGGAAAACTTAGATTCTCAATGTTGAGACCCCTACCCTTCTTCTCCCTCTTGGCATCCAAATCACTGACAAGCAGACAGTGAATATCCCACTGGTAAACTGAGTTCTCTCACCACTTTGTATCGGTTACAAAAAAAAACATCCTATTGGAAAAGGCAATCAGGTTTTATTCACTGACCAGGAATGGAGAAGAGGAGGTTCTCACTCTCAACGTCCCTTGCCTCCAAACAATAGAAAGCATGAGGTTTTGAAGGACTGGGTTTGGGGAGGGAAAGGAAGGTTAACATAGGCAGATCAGGACTCCAGATGTGCAGGTGCAATTCATACATATATGTCTTCATACATCCCATGTACACAAAATGGCAGAGATTTTCTTTTGAGGGAGGGGATTTTGCCATTATAATGATATGCTAATAATCTGAAGGCAACCACAGGTCACCTGTTCCAGTGCACCCTGGAGTTGCAGGGTCTTATCTCCCCCTGGTATCTGGGCAGGGGTCCAGAAGCTCTGCTGCCATCTCAGGCTATCTGGTTTCTTTAAGCAGCTGTGCCTAGAGGCAGAGGGACTAAAGAAAAACAACAAGAAAAGAACTTTCCCATTTATTTCATCAGGGTTGCCCTGGTAATAGATATCTTTCCAGGAGGAAAGTTAAGAAAGTCATCTTTGGGGAATGTGCTGTAGTTTGAATAAGTTTTGTATGTCCCATCAAATCTCATGTTGAAATTTGATTCCCAGTGTGGCGGTGTTGGGACATGGGGCCTGGAATCATGAATAGATGAAGGCCCTCCCTGAGGAGGGGGAGTGAGTTCTTGCTCTAATGGTTCCCATGGGCACCTCCTCCCTCCAGTCCTCTTGCTTCCTCTCCTGCCCTGAGATCTCTGCACATCAACTCCTCTTCCCCTTCCACTATGATGGCAAGCAGTCTGAGGCCCTCCCTAGATACAGACATTGGTGCCATGCTTCCTATAGAGCCAAATAAACCTCTTATCCTTATAAATTACCCAGCCTCACGTATTTCATTATAACAACACAAAATGAACTAAGGCAGAATCCAATTAGAGGAAGAGACAAGACCTAAAGTTACTGACTTTGGGGACTCCCTAAGATGCAGCAGAACCAAGACACCTTAGAGGGAAACCCACAGCAGACAAACCCTCTCCCTCTGGCATCCAACAGCCTTTCCAGGGCCCACTCTCAGGTATGAGGGCACAGCGAAGTGTCAGGAGAGAGTGGAAGAAGATCACTAACATCAAAGATAGGGGCCAAAACGGATGAAAGCAACTCGGTGAGTTGGCAGGGAGAAAACTTCAAAAGAAATATTTTAATACATTCAATATATTCAATATTCAAGAGAAAATATTTCATCCATGAAACAATAACAGGTAATCCTAAAAAGCAACATTTAAAGAACAAAAAAGCAGGTTTTGAAAATTTAAAATATGACACCAGAAATGAAAACATTCAATATAAAAATTGAAATATAAATTTGGGGAACTTTCGTAGAAAGTAGCCCCCAAAAATGAAGAGACCTATGCATAAGAATTCCAAACGCAGATGCTCTGCCATCAAGGAGGTGGGACATAATCCCCAATCCTTACATGTGGGTACACATAGTAGCCTCCTTCCAAGAGTACAGAATGGAAACGGGGGAATATGGAGTGAATTTGCAGTGGAGATACCTCACAAACGCTACCTCACCAGGTGGTCAAGGTTGAAATCAACAGTAATCATGTTGACAGCAGGGACCCTTGACGCAGTATGATGGGAGGAACACTTTACCTCTGTGGTCTTTCCCCCAAGAACACACAACCCCAGGCTAATTATAAGAAAAACACAAATTTCAAGTGAGAGACATTCAAAACTGCCAAGGTCATAAAAACACAAAAAAGCCTGAGAGACCGTCACAGTCAAGAGGAACCTACAGAGATGTGACAACTGACAGCAGTATGGTGTCCTAGATGGGATCCTGAAACACAAAAATGACACTGAGTTAAAAACTAGGCAATCTGATAAAAATTCTGATTAATATATTTGATTAAGAAATATTAATATTAGTAATGAACAATTATTAATTAATATTTATTAATATTGATTGGTAATACTATTGCTATTAATAAGAAATATTACTATAAATATTCAGTTAATGCATCAATTGTCAAAGTCAAATAAAATACAGAGAAGAATCTTTACATTTAAGACATTTTATTTGGGAATCAAGAATTGCAATTTGGAGGCTGAGGATGGTGGCTCAAGCCTGTAATCCCAGCACTTTGGGAGGCCAAGGCGGGTGGATCACTTGAGGTCAGGAGTTCGAGACAAGCCTGGCCAAAATGATGAAACCCCGTCTCTACTAAAAATACAAAAATTAGCTGGGTGCGGTGGCAGGTGCCTGTAATCCCACCTACTCATGAGGCTGAGACAGAAGAATCTCTTGAACCTGGGGGGATGGAGGTTGCAGTTAGCCAAGATCGCGCCACTGCACTCCAACATGGGTGACAGAGTGAGATTCCGTCTCAAAAAACGAACAAACAAAAAAAAGAAAGAATTGCAATTTGGGGCATACACACAGACTGGGTGGTCTTCAGTATGTTCAAAGAACTAACAGAAACTTAGAGGTTTTATTTTAGGAAGAGAATGGTTACATATTGTTCTTTAAGAAAGTTTATTGGCACTAGTGAAGTTTGGGGGAGCTGGCAAACTCTGGTGAGTGACTTCAATGCTAAAACTATTTTCAGGGTGGCAGCAGGTTGTCTTGGCAACTATTAGGTAAAGCTGGTTTCAGGTTACAGCAGGCAGTTTCAGCAGCCAGGCTTGCAGAGAATGACACTCTTGGAGCAATGTTAGGTGCCCTGACTGATTTCTCCCCGTGATCTCTCAACTCTGTTCTAATTGGGTATGATAAGCATGACTCAGTTCTTCGTATGATCAACTCTCACAAATATTGATACATTAACTGTACCACACAGATGTAACAATGGGGGAAACTGAGGATTAAGTATATGGGAATTCTCTGCACTATTGTCACAACTTTTCCTAAATCTAAAAATATAATAATGTAAAATTTTTCTTTTAAAAATAAAAGGGGAAAAAAGTAGATGAAAAATTAAGAGACTGGACACAGTAGTTCACACCTGTAATACCAGTGCTTTGGGAGGCCAAGGTGGGAGGATTGCTTGAGGCCACGAGTTTGAGACCAGCCTGGGCAGCATGGTGAGACACTGTCTCTACAAAAAGTTTTAAAATTATCTGGGTATGGTGGCATGCAACTGTAGTCCCAGCTACTCTGGAGGCTGAGATAAGAGGAAGACTTGAGCCCAGGAGTTGAAGCCTGCAGTGAGCTATGATAGTGCCAATGCACTCTAGCCTGGGCAACAGAGCAAGACCCTGTCTCAAAAAGAGAATAGAATAGAATACAAAGAAAAGAAAAGAAAGAATGAAAGGAAAGGAAAGGAAAGGAAAGGAAAGGAAAGGAAAGGAAAGGAAAGGAAAGGAAAGGAAAGGAAAGGAAAGGAAAGGAAAAAGAAAGGAAAGGAAAGGAAAGGAAGGGAAAAGAAAGGAAAGGAAGGAAAAGGAAAGGAAAGGAAGAAGGGGAAGGAAGGGAAGAAAAGAGAGAAAGAAAAAGAGGAAAGGAGAGGAGGAGAGCGAAGTGAGAGAGAGAGAAAGAATAGAAAATTAAAGAATTAGTCTAAGAGATCCAAAATCTGATAGGACAGAAAAAGAAAAAAAAAATGAGGAAAAGCAAAAGCAAACCTCAAAGAAATAATTAAAGAAAGGTGTTTCCATGTTGAAAGTTCCTACAAATTGCTGAGAAAGTTGGTCGAAAGTAGACTCATGTTAAGACACATCATCATGACATTTCAGAACCCTGAGGCTAAAAGATGCTAAAAACGTCATAGAGAAAAAGCAATTTTTGCATAAAAGGCCAAAATAACATTGGCATCAGACTTCTCAACAGAAATCCTAGAAGATAATGGAGCAATTCCCTGAAAATTCTGAGACATTATCACAGAAATAATGCCGCTCCCTTCTAGATATGTCACATAAGTACAACTATGGTGACTTGTCCAAGTGCTGGTCATGTTAACCTTGATGGCCTGGTCAGATTGGTATCTGCCAGGTTTCTCCACTATAAAAATCACCATTTCCCCTTTGTATTTGGTTAGTGTTTTGTTGGGAGATATTCTGAGGTTACATCAAGATGCTGTCCCTCTTCATCAAACTCCTACCCACCAGCCTTGGGATCCACTGACAAGTACTACCTAGATCAACTATCTTTATGATGTTTGCCAAATGATGTCACTATTAGCTGACATTCTGCTGGCTGGAAGAGCTTTCTTTCTCCTCCATTTGTATATGGATTAATTCATTTATTTACTTACTTATTTTCTTATACCAGTATTGATTGGGGGTTTATATTTTATTCAGTAAGTTGTAACCCAATACTCTCATTGTTTATTTTAGTGCTCATACTGCCCTAAGTTTGGCTAGTGGGAGCCCTTTCAAGCTGGCCCCTTTTTGTCCTTTTTGTCAAAAGGCCCCTTAATTTTTTGAGCACTACCTTACTTTCTAACATAGTAAGATATTCCAGACTCATCCTGTAATTCTCTTGCCCCAGCCTGAATTCAGCCATTTCTCCAAGAAGATCCATACATACACATCTGTAATCATCTGTATATTTGGTTGGAGATTCTCTATACACCCATGAGTTCATGATGTTACTTCCAATTCCAATCCAACGCCCCAGAGTTCTTTTAGCTTCCCCCTTTCCATACTTACAAATCCCTGCTCATCTCTTTCTTCCTGTATTTCTGCTTTATTCGTCTCTTTTTCTCTCTCTGGGTCAGCCTTCTCTAATTTACATGATAGAAAACATAGCTGCCAACAATTCCTACATTTTATGCTACAGCTTCAGCTAACCAGAGAGAAACAGAGCTCTCCTTCTCTTTCTAACTTAAACATTCCTAGGAAAGAGGAAATGGCCTGATCTCTGTCAGGTGCCCTAAAAGTGGCCTGGAGTTTGGGCCATGTGGTCCTGGCCCTATGGATGGAAGAGGAGAGAGTTGGCCCCCAGAAAAGGGGTGGGCAATTCCTAAAAATGTGGGGTAGGGATTGGTGCTGAGAAGGGAAAACATAGGTGTCTACCATAGCTGGAGAACTGAGGGTGTCAACAGGAGGCCTGAAAAGGGGACTCGGTGAATGCCAGGAGCAGTTCTCAAGCTGTTGGAAAGCTCTGTGTCAACACAGTTCTTACTCAGAGATTCTCAAGTAAAGAAAACAAATCCACATGAGGTCCAGAAAAAAATACAGCAGAATGAGAGGAAAGGAAACAATTCCAAAATCCAGGAACAGAACAGACATGAAAACGATCTAATGCAAGATTCAAAAAACTAATTTCATAAAACTTCTTGGTATTTTCAAAAGAATGCAAAAACAGAGGCAAGCCTTCTTGAAAGAAAAAGAAAAGATTGAAGGATAACAAGACAAGGTGAAAAGAAATATGAATGAGATAAGAAAATTAGAAGCTGAAAGCAGGCCGGATGCAGTGACTCTCTCACGCCTGTAATCTCAACACTTCAGGAGGCTGAGGTGGGAAAATCACATGAAGCCAGGAACTTGAGACCAGCCTGGGCAACATAGCAAGGCTTCATCTCTAGAAAAAATATAAAAATTAGCTGGGCATGATGGCACATGCCTGTAGTTCCAGCTGCTTGGGAGGCTGAGGTTGGAGGATCACTTGAGCCCAGGAGGTTGAGGCTGCAGTGAGCCAAGATCATGCCACTGCACTCCAGCTGAAAGTATATGTGCAAATCAAATTAGTATATAGAGAAAAAAATCTAAGAGGAGAAGAAATTTATGAGAGACATTGCAAGTTATGTACACGTACAAGAACCTGTTGAAAACTAAGCCCTCAAATATCTGTAATGAATAATCAAGACTAAGGACTAGAATTAATTTTCATAAAAAATGAAAATGAGAAACAGATGTGTGTGTGAGTGTGTGTGTGTGTATGCGTAGTGTAACATACATTAAAAAGCCAAAAAAAAGTGGGAATACACATTGAAAGAGTAGATCCCATCCTAATGAAAAATCAATGAGCAGAAACACAAGTTGAAGCATATCTTAGAATGTTAAAATATCAGATCCAGATAAAAATGGTCTAAAGTTCTAGGAATAATGTATTTTTTAAAAAAACAGATTATCTTCAAAGGAATAAACATTAGACTGCTTTAGAATTCTATGCTGCAGTACTAACTGACAGAAGAAAAGTTTACATGGTTTTGAGAGTCTGTGCCCCAGGATTTAGTCCCGGGAAAATTCCCTTTCACATATAAAGGAAAGATGTGATCATATCAGCAAGGGGTATGATAGTTCCTTAAAGAGCCATAAATATTTAAATAGAGTTCCAGGATAGAGGACTGATGGTTCAAAATGATGACTGAGTAATTACACCAGACACACAGAGGGTTAAGTATGAATAACTGTTGTGTCTTGTTAAATAACTAATTGCAAATGTTAAAAATTACTTCTGAAACAGAAGATACACAATGTAAAAATAACAATTTAGAAACAATAATCTGATGGTTTCATAGACGAATTACTTCAAACTTTCAAGGAACAGATAATTCCCATGCTATTTAAACTTTCTCAGAGCATATGAAAAGATGGAAAACCTCCCATTTAATTTTACAAAGTCTGCATAAATCTCAAACCAAAACTTAAGGAAACACAAAAAGAAAAACCAGAAGTTAATATCATTTGTTACTTTAATCTAAATTCTAACAAAAATATTAGCAATGGAATCCAGCAGTGTAGTGAAAGAATAATACTCCATAACCAAATAAAGTTTAATCCAGGAATGGAGGATGACTCAATATTATTAAATCAATAAATCAATATACATTAACACAATAGTAAGTGAAAATGTATGACTATCTTTAGGGAAACTAAAAAGTATTTAAAAGAATTTAACTGTCATTCTGATTTGTTTTAAAGACAGTAAACTGAAAATAAAAGAATACTTCCCTAGGCCGGGCACAGTGGCTCATGCCTGTAATCCCAGCACTGTGGGAAGCCGAGGCAGGAGGATTGTTTGAGGCCAGGAGTTCAAGATCACCCTCACCACCATAGTGAGACCCTGTCTCAAAAAAATAAAAAAAAAAAAAAATACTCCCTTAACCTAATCAAGAACACTATACTTCTTTTGGATCAAGGTTCACTATTATACTTGGTGATTAGACATTACATAAATCATCTTTAAAGTAAGGGACAAGACACAGCTATTAGCTATCACCACTATTAACTAGCATAAAGGTGCTAACCCATGCAATAAAATTAGAAAAGGAAACTCTACAAATCATGTCCAAACAAAGGAAGATACCTGTTACCTATAATATCAACTTTTAAAATGAACAGAATTAATTAGAAAGGAAAGCGTGTAATTACAAATATATGTACAAATATCGGTACCTTTCCTGTGTACCAGGAATGCAAGCATAGAAATTATCAAAGAAAAGATACTATAGATGCAACAAAACAATCAATAAAATATTTAAGTTTCACTTTAATGAAGTTGTTGATTTCTGGACAAGATAGTTCTATCAGTTCATGCTTTGACACACCGTTGTTATGACAGGTAAAATGTAAAATAAGACACTAGAAAGCTATAGCTAGTTCAAAAATAATGTAAGCATCACCATAGATCAGAAACTGCAGAGAAATACAAAGCAATGAGTAAGGCTGAAGCTATGGGCCCTCTGGGCTTCCATCCAGAAGTAGGCCGATCACTCCAGAATTCAGTCATTTAAAGATAAAATGCACTAAGCATGCCCTATACCAGACAGAGGATGGGAGCCAGGCTCATTGCTCAAGGGCAAGAGATAATGCAGTAATATGTTTAAAGCCCTAAGGGAAAATTATTGTCAACATAGGATTATAACCAGCTAAACTGTATTCAAGAATGAGGCCAAATTAGAACATTACAGACCTACAAAGGTTTAACAATTTATATCTAACAGTCCCTCACTAAAAGAACTACAAGTATGTGCTTCAGCAGAGGAGAACAGCAAGACCACAAGGAAAGGCACGGGATTTAAAAAACAATAGTGAGCACAAAAATGAATAGATTTGTTGGTAAATTTAATCATATATATGATATTTAGTACTTATTAGGAGTTTTTGTGTTTATCATGAGTAAAAATGAAAACCTTAGACCTGATATGACCTGATATGGCAGCCACTAACTATATGTACCTACTGAGAATTGGAATGTGGCTCATCTGAATTGAGGTATGATGAAGTGCAAAATACACACTGGATTTCAAAAACTGTGTGTAAAAAAATAATGTAAAATATCTCATTAATGATTTTTTTTAGGGCTGGGTGCAGTAGCTCATGCCTGTAATCCCAACATGTTGGGAGGCCAAGGCAAGAGGATCATTTGAGCTCAGGCGTTTGAGACCAGCCTGGGCAACATAGCAATAACTTGTCTCTACAAAAAATAAAAATATTAGCTGGGTGTGCTGTCCTGTGCCTTTAGTCCCAGCTACTCAGAAGGCTGAGGGAGGAGGATTGTTTTGAGGCCAGGAGTTCGAGGCTGCAGTGAACTATGATGGAACTATTGCACTCCAGCCTAAGTGACTAAGCAAGACCCTGTCTAAAAATATATATATATATAATATTGAAATGACAATATTTTGGATATTAATTTTTAAATATAGTATTTACTTTTTTACTATTTCCTTTAACTTTTTAAAATTTGCTACTATGAAATTTAAAATTACATGTGCAGCTCTCAATAACGGTGTTCTAGGTAACAATTTTGAGATGATAGAAGAAAGGCAGGGGAGAGAGGGTTGTTGAATAGGTTGTCAATATGTAAGTTATCTGCCATTTTTGGAAGAGGCTAGACACACTAAAGAACTATAGGTCATGTTGCAAAAAACCTTATACTTAAGTATGAATGTTTCCAAAAATAGAAATGTCACCCAGAGCTTCCAAATCATCTGAGGAATAAAATGGGGGAGTATGGAAAACTTTATCAATAAATACATGATAGGAAGGAAATACGGTATGCAGAAAAAGCAAAGAAAAGGACAATTAAATGAAAAAAATAACATGGAAGAAATAAGTCCTAATTTTCAGTAATTACAAAAATTGTAATCTCAAATATTAAATTCAACTTTCTTTGAAATGCATTATACATATAAGAGAGAATTTTCTACCCAAAAATGGCAAACATAATTTTGAATAACATACATAATTTTTTCAAAAATTAAACTTATCTTAGGTTTTAAAGAAAGTTTCAAATAATTTCAAAGAATTAATAACACACAAACCATGTTCTCTAATATTGGTGTAATTAAACTAGAAGACAAAAATAACAAGATAGTTTTTAAAAATCATAGAAATTTTAAGATGAGCTCTAAAATAACTTATGGAATAAAGATGAAATCAAAATGGAAATGTTAAATATTAGAGCTGAATAACAGTACAGGTGGTAAATATGAAAACTAGAGGGATATAGTTACATTGATATTAGAGTTTAAATTCGAGACTTAAAGTCACTCAGCAAAAAGTTTTTTAAAGATTAAAAAAAACTAAATACTCAACTCGCAAAGCAAGACAGACTCATCATAAATCCAAAAAAAAATGGAAGCAGGAAAATAATAAAGTTAAGAGCCAAAATTAATTAAATACAACACAAAAAATTATACTGTGTATTAATAATACTAAAAGATGGGCTTTATAAACATAGTAGGATAAACCTGCAGTAAGACTGATCAAGAATAAAAGGCACAAATCAACATATTTAAAGCAAAAAGAGAGACATGATCTCCAAAGAGTAGAGTTTTAAAAAATGTTTAGATAAGAATATGAATTAAATGCTAGTAGATTTGAAAATGTAGATAAATTAGATAAATTATGAATTATCAAAATTGGCTTAAGAAGAAATAGAAAGCCTCAATAAACAAACAAACAAAAAGCCTAAAGAAATTCAATTCCTAATCAAAGCCTTTCCCTCCAAGAGACACAAGACCAGAGTGTTTTAAGGGTAAGTCTTCCAAAATATTCAAGTCATTCTTGATAATTCCAATGGATGCTGAAAAGACATTTGATAAAAGTCAATACCTGTTCACATTAAAAAAAAAAATACGGCCAGGCTCAGTGGCTCACACCTATAATCCTAGTGCTTTGGGAGGCTGAGTTGGAAGCCTCACTCGAGGCCAGAAGTTTGAGACCAGCCTGGACAACATAGAGAGACCCATCTCTACAAAAAAAAATTTTTTTTAATTAGCCAGGTGTGGTGGCCTGGAGTCCCTGCTACTTCGGAGGCCGAGGCAGGAGGATCCCTTGACCCCAGGAGTTAAGGCTGCAATGAACACCACTGTGCTCCAGCCTGGGCAACAGAGCAAGACCTTGTCCCTAAAAAATAGATGAATAAATAAATAAATAAATAAATACATAAATAAATAAATAAATAAAATAAAAATTTTTTAAGTTTAGGAAATTGGGAATAGGAGATGACACCCTTAATCTTATAACCTATATTATTAAACATGATACAAAATCTATTAAACATCATAATTAACAGTATAACTTGAGAATCATTAACAATACAGTAAAAAATGAAATAAAGACACCTACCATCACTGCTTATGTTCAACATTAAACAGTGGGTTCCGGCTAATACCGTAAGATAGAAGAATAAAGCAAATAATAATAGAAAAAGATGACCTAAAACTGTCCTTATCCCCAGGTGGTGTGATTTTCAACATAGAGAACAAACCTAAGCATTCTACAAACTATTATAACTGATAAGTGATATTAGCAACATTTAAAAATTAATAATTTACATCTCCACTGGCAATTACCAATTAGAGATTATGATAGAATATGATAGAAAAATAATTCCATTTATAATAGCAAGGAAAACTATAAAGAATCTATGTATAAATGTAACAAAAATGTTTAAGACACATTTGTTGGAAAAATCACAAAGTATTCATAATATACATAATGAATAAAACACATTAATAAAGAAATAAGTACAAAGTCCATGGATAAAAAGAATATTATTAAGACACTAATTCAACCCAAATAAAATCTTATAAATTCAATACAACTCCGATCAAAATGTTAACACAATTTTTTATGAATTTGATAAGTAGATCTAGAATTCATATGAAGAGCTAAGAATCACAAAAAGGCCAGGCATGGTGGCTAACGCCTGTAATCCCAACTTTGGGAGGCTGAGGTGGATGGATCACCTGAGATCGGGGGTTTACCAGCCTGGCCAACATGGTGAAACTCCATCTCTACTAAAAATATAACAATTAGCTGGGCATGGTGGCAGGTGCCACCTGGGCATGAGGCAGGAGAATGGCTTGAATCCAGTAGGCACAGGTTGCAGTAAGCCGAGACCGTGCCACCACTGCACTCCAGCCTGGGCAACAGGAGCAAAACTCCATCTCAAAATAAAAGAATCACAAATAAATCAATTTAAA